>NC_000009.12:41569114-41899725 GCF_000001405.40 Homo sapiens | reverse complement strand
AAAAATAAAATCAGATATAGTGGTTATTACTCTAAAGACAAATGGACTAAATTCTGTCAAACTAGGTTTAAAAACAACAGTTAAATGCTCTTAGAATATTGAAAATGAAGGGGCATGCCAAGAACTAGCAGGCAACAGCTGATAAATTTAAGAAATGCAGCACTACTTTCAGATAAGATTGAATTTAAGATTGGAATATAATCGAATCTTAAATGAGATAAAGAGGGATATTATCTGATGACAAAAGATACAGTTTATTAAGATAATATGAAAGTCATCATACAAAATAGCAACTATAGTATGAAGGATTTCCAGAGCTCTGCCCTCATCTCCAAGAGTCGCTTTTCTGTAATCCTCCGGATTATTGGCTGTGAGCGCCATTAAAATTTTATTTTAATGCTATATTGTAAAAATTAAATGGCAGAGGATTTCTTAAATTTATGCCATGTAACTGCTTTCCTATGAAGCTCTGTTACTTGCAGAGAGCCAGCCATCTGCACTTGAACAAATCTGTTAAAAACCTGCCTTTCATAACCCTGACAATGGAAATAGTTGCCAAACAGGTAAAGATTCAGGGTGACCTCTCCTGGAGTGAAGGAACGAGGGGATCGGAGGGACCTCTCCTGGAGTGAAGGAACGAGGGTCGCTGTCTTGCAGATGCGGGGTGTCCCTGCGCCCCCATCTCCGCCGCTGCGCCCTAACTGTGTGTTCCCCTTCTGTCCTCAGAGGCTGCCGGCGCGGACCCGGACACAAGGCGGGCGGCGACTAGTGGCTTCACTGGCTGCCTCTCGGCGGTGCGCTTCGGCTGCGCTGCTCCCCTGAAGGCGGCGCTGCGCCCCAGCGGCCCCTCCCGGGTCACCGTCCGCGGCCACGTGGCCCCTATGGCCCGCTGCGCGGCGGGGGCGGCGTCCGGCTCCCCGGCGCGGGAACTGGCTCCCCGACTCGCGGGGGGCGCAGGTGTGTGGCCCTCCACCCCTGCGCACCTGAAACTGCGCTTCTCTCAAATGTTTTTGAATTTCTCAAAAGCCTTCTTTTCTCCGTCTCTGTCATCCTTCTTTTTTTCCTTTTTTAAAATACATTTTTGTGATGTTCTTATTTTAATTCACTTTTAATTGACAAAAGTTTGCTATGTGTAAATTGTGGCGTGATTAAATCAAGCTATTAAACATCATTCTTCCTTTCCCTGTTGTAGGTCGTTCTGGACCAGTGGATGAGGGAGAGCCCTTGGTTAATGCAGACAGAAGAGACTCTGCTGTCATCGGAGGTAACAAGGCCCTGAATGACCTGGTGCTTGTCATTATCGCTTTAGATAATGATACCATTACTTAGCACAATGGGAAATATATGTAAGAATCAATACTCAATGGTGAGGTCAGAGGGGTGCTATGTATTGCGGTTGGTGGTGGTTTTTTGTTTTTTGTTCTTTGTTTTTTTTCTATTTGAGACAAGAGCCTCACGCTGTCACCCAGGCTGGAGTGCAGTGGTGAGATCTCCACTCACTGCAACCTCTGCCTCCTGGGTTCAAGCGATTCTCCTGCCTCAGCCTCCTGAATAGTTAGGGTTATAAGAGTGTGCCACTATGCCTGGCTAATTTGTTGTGTTTTTGGTAGACACAGGGTTTCTCCGTATTGGCCGTGCTGGTTTCGAACTCCTGGCCTCAAGTGATCTGCCCGCCTCAGCCTCCCAAAGTGCTGAGATCACAGGCGTGAGCCACCATGCCCGGCCTTCGTTGATTTTCTGAGGCAGTATTTGCTGATTTCAGCTTCCCTGGGGGTGCTCAGCATGTAAGAATTCTGCTGAAACAATTTTTTTTGAAGAACAGTTACAAAGCTAATAATGAAAAGTTATTAATTTGAAAATAGCTGTATTCCCTAGGACATGCGGGATATTTGTCACGGTAATGACAACTGTTGGACGGACCTGAAGTAATTATGTTCAAAGCAATGGAAACCTCAGCTAATTATCAGAGCATACACTTTATGGTACTTTTCTTCAATGACAAATAGTATGATTTAGATACTCCCATGACAGTGTTTCACTTATTTAAGAAGTTTTTGTTTGTTTGTTTGTTTTTTGAGACGGAGTCTCGCTGTGTCGCCCAGGCTGGAGTGCAGTGAAGCAATCTCGACTTACTGCAAGCTCCGCTTCCCGGGTTCACGCCATTCTCCTGCCGCAGCCTCCTGAGTAGCTGAAACTACAGGCGCCCGCCACCACGCCCGGCTATTTTTTGTATTTTTAGTAGAGGCGGGGTTTCACCCTGTTAGCCAGGATGGTCTCGATCTCCTGACCTCGTGATCCACCCGCCTCGGCCTCCCAAAGTGCTGGGATTACAGGCGTGATTATTTAAGAAGTTTTAAAGGCACACATTATTTAAAGTGTATTGTTATTTTAAAGTGTATAATTCCCTGTCATTAAGGACATTTACAATGTTGTGCAGCAGTAGCCATTGTATGTTTCACTTTTAATCATACTTTGGAAAGAACTAATCTAATAGGCTAAGAATGTTTTGTGGTTATTTTTAATTGAAGAAAAGTGAAGTTAAGCATAGCTTAAAAATATGTTTTGGCAATGAAAACTTTTTTTCTAAAATATAATTTATTTAGAGCTGGTGCAAAAAATAAGCATTCACCTTTCTTTGTTAATTAATGAGTGAATTATTGAAATCTTTGTTTGTTTGAGACGGAGTCTCGCTCGTCGCAAAGGCTGGAGTGCAGTGGCGCCATCTTGGCTCACTGCAAGCTCCGCCTCCCATTCTCCTGCCTCAGCCGCCCAAGTAGCTGGGGATACAGGTGCCCACCACCACGCACGGCTAATTTTTTATATTTTTAGTAGAGACGGGGTTTCACCGTGTTAGCCAGAATGGTCTCGATCTCCTGACCTCATGATCCACCTACCTTGGCCTCCCAAAGTGCTAGGATTACAGGCATGAGCCACCATGCCCGGCTGAGTTATTGAAATCTTAATTGTATTCTTATTCTGCAGACTCTCCATAGCACATACAAGAGTAAACTAGTTGTGTTTGTTTCCTTCAAAATGACAGGAAACAATTTTGACATAATAAAGTTCTGACTAAATTTCAGTTGAGGATATTCACATTTCCATCACTATCTCAATTCTTTTTGTCTTAGAAATCAGTAAGGTGTAAATTAAAAATACATGACCTGATGAACAAAAACTGTTTTAAACAGTTTCCAGTGGGATTGTGGTCAATAATGCATATCTAAAAGGTATACTTTCGGGGTCAATTTTAAATCAAATCCAATCCTAAATCAATCATGCCTTTTTAGGAGATTTTTTTCATTGCAATGCAAAAGCAATTTCAACATGCCGAACATTTTCACGCTAGGTTTCCAAGTCCTACAGACGTTTACACAATGTCAGGGTTAGTACCCAGCTTTTGGTGAGAAGGAAATGGGCAAGTTGATCATAGAACCAGCTCTTTGGAATTGTATTATATTGCTGGTGGTCAAATATCACTGGCAAGATTGACGGAGTAAACGTAAGGAAACATCTTAGCAGTGTTCTCTTCCGCTGAGAAATTCTTAGCCTGAACGAGGGGATGAAAAGGAGTCTGTGGAAGGCTTCCCCTGGGCTTTCCCAAAGGCAATTTGCATTTTCTAATAGGGACTGGCTGAAGATATAAATTAATATTTGTGTGAAGTACTTTAAATGTACGATGTAGGCAGTAAAAGCGTGGGGGAGGAAATATAATTTCTCCTCATCATTCCTAACTTTGTAGTTGGGACAGACCTCTGATTAACAAGAGAAAAACAAGCAAGTTTACTAAGGCATGCGGTCCACAGCACGTGGGAGAAACCTCAGTGAAACTCAAAGCGCAGTGGCTTAGAAGTCTGGCTCATCTTCAACAATACATTTGTGGAGAAATGACAGGACAATGGAAAGCAATTTTAGGTGTCCGAAGGCGAGAAACCGTGGGAAGATAAATATATGGGAAGAAACTAGTGGAGTACGTGTGTTTGTACATTCTTCTGCTGACATCCCTGAGCTGGTAAGAATGGTCTCCGGTAAAAGATAATTTACATCCTGTCTTTAGATGAAAAGAGGGGAGGATCTAGAGAGCTCTTCCTCCATTGGCTGCTTCTTAATTGCCTTTACTTCAAAATATTTGTCAAAAAGGCATATTTGGGGGTGACATATTCTGATTACCTTCAGAAGCTTGTCTTTATACACATTTATTTCTTTTAGGGTAGATTTTACTTTCATTTGTCACTAATATGATTGCTTCAGTACACAGCATTCTGTGGCATGGCTTCATGCTTTAGCACTCTGGCTCTGAATTAAAGCCTGAAACAATTTATAAAGATACTGGTATCCAGGCCTTCCATTCATTTATTCTGATTTACTGACTTAGTGTGCAGCTAGAGTCGAGAATCATGGACACTGCTAATGGTTTCAATATTTTAAAACATTTTGCCCAGGTCTTTCAAATAATCCACATTCCAGGTAAAAAAAAAATGAATAAATATGCCTGCAATATTTTTGGTAATAGGGATTGATTACATATATGCGACCCTACTGCGTTTGAAAAGTATATTATCGGCCGGGCGCGTTGGCTCACGCCTGTAATCCCAGCACTTTGGGAGGCCGAGGCGGACGGATCATGAGGTCAGGAGATCGAGACCATCCTAGCTAACACGGTGAAACCCCGTCTCTACTAAAAATGCAAAAAGTTAGCCGGGCGCTGTGGCGCGCGCCTGTAGTCCCAGCTACTCAGGAGCCTGAGGCAGGAGAATGGCGTGAACCTGGGAGGCGGAGCTTGCAGTGAGCCGAGATCGCACCACTGCACTCCAGACTGGGCGACAGAGCAAGACTCCGTCTCAGAAAAAAAAGAAAAGTGTATTATCATAAAAGTATTTGAAAACAATTTCATTAAAATGTACCCATTTCATTGTACTAACAATAACATGTAATGATCTATGATGATGCAAACACTCTATACTTGTAAAATGATTTAAAATTTCCCACTTGTTAACTGAAGGATGTACGCGGTCTTAGAGACATGTATGTCTCTATTCTTTTAAATCTGAAAGCATTATCTAAAACCCAATCATCATATACCTGTAGGGAAAAAGCCTAACACAGCCATATCCAAAAGTCATAGTCCGTCAGAAGTATGTTAAATGTTATAAAATTACTTGACCTCAGCATTTCTGAGTTTTGGTGTTTTCAATTTATAATATAATAGGTGGTTGGTTTATTTTAACCAAACTTAAAAAGCAATGATGTCTGCAAAGCCTCTGATTGGACCAAAAGTCACCATTTATACTCTGACATTGAGGCCAGGCACGGTAACTCACACCTGTAATCCCAACAATTTGGGAGGCCAAGGTGAGAGGATCACTTTAGCCCAGGAGTTCGAGACCAGCCTGGGCAACATAGCAACACCCCATCTCTACAAAGAATAATTGTAAAAAGAAAAAAAAAAATAAGCTGAACGGTGGAGTGGGCCTATAGTCTCAGCTACTTGGGAGGATCAAGGCTACAGTTAGCTGTGATCATGCCACTGCACTCCAGCGTGGGCGACAGAGTGAGACCCTCTCTCTAAAAAGAAAAAAGAAAAAAAATTATGATGTTTTATTCTTTTCTCTCCCTAGGTGTGATAGCAGTGGAGATATTTATTTTGCTTTGCATCACTGCCATAGCCATACGCATCTATCAACAGAGAAAGTTACGCAAAGAAAATGAGTCAAAAGTCTCAAAAAAAGAAGAGTGCTAGGACAGCTCTAAACAGTGAGCTCGATGTGCAAAACGCAGTCCATGAAAACCAGAAAGAGTGAGTCTTCTGATTGGCAGCTGTGGCTGTCTCTATCATCGTGACTGTGGACTTCCCTGCTGTTGCCATCAGGGTGCACACAGCAGGTGCAGTGCTGTCACCTGGCTGAAGATCTGCAGCCTCAGAGCCTCTGGGAGGTCCCTTTCTCCCTCGGTGAAACACAGTCCTCCACATCAATTTCCAAACAATGAATTAGGTATGGCCATTCATCACTGTTCAGTAGTTTCCCCGTCCAAAGGCTCTCTTCCAAAACTGCAGTTTGATCTGTGTTAATAATTGTGGGGTTTTAGATGAGAAAATGACTATAAAGCTGTGGCCCTACTTTATTTTTTAAAAATGACAGAACTTTTGTTCAGATGTAAAAGACAAAATTGCACTTTAATGTTTTTTGTTACTTGAAAACATATCTGGGATCCCTTTTTTTGGTCCTCTGCTGATATTATAAAACAAGAAATGCTTCTTGGACTACCTTCACTGGCATTTCCATAGTCCTGGAATCCAGAGCCAAGTGGCCTATCTAAAATTCACAGCCCTTTTATTCTCCTGTGTGATGGTTAATACAACACAGTTGAAGCCTGGAAACACTACCATTATTTTTGGTGTATTGCTTTTTCTAATTGACTGTTTTTAATGATTTTGATACATTTTAATGTTGAAATTAATATTGAATGTTAGCTATGAAATTTTAGTATTGAATTTTATAATGGAACAGAACATTGGTAGGTAACAAGATGCAAGAGGATGTCAATACAAGATTGTCTGCCTGTTTTTCTTTGTAATTTGTAATTACAGTTTTTGTAACTTGTGATTATGTTTTTAACTAAATTTACCACCAGATACAAACACTACTTCTTACACAGAGTTATCCTTTATTTATATCATTAAGACGTGAATGAAACATCATCCTAACTTACTTCCCCAAGATATTGAGAGGTCATATCTGTTTTTCATCATTCATTTCTTTTTCTAAAAGTTGTTACTGATATGCTTTTGATTTCCTATGACTCTATTATGTTGTACAGAACATCTTTTCAATTTATTAAAAAAAATAGCTTAACTGAAGATCACTAATTCCTTTTCTAAATTTTGAACTGCTCTAGGCATAAATATCATTGTGTATTATCCTTTCATCTAATCACTTTTGGAATGTAAACTGAAGGCTGTTCACTCCAAGTTAAGTTAACATTTACATGATGTTTATTAAATCTGCCAGTCTGATCAAAGGTTTATGACCATGGGGCCAAATTCCCATAGATTACCCAAAATTGAATATGTGCAGTTAACTGGAACATGTCTCATTAAGGTTTACATACACACTAAGACAGCAAAGGATTGGAATTAACTTTATGGAGACAGTTCCAGGGACTAATATTGAAGCAGTGGTTATTTGATAATGCATGGAACCACCATTTGGATTCAATAAACCAATTACATAAAAGCAATGATGCTACGCTCTTCATATTCCAGATACCAACTGCCTACCAAGGACTAATGAGATGGTATATTTCTTCCACATCAGGGCAAGCTGAAAATATATTGATTCAGCGTTACTGTTATGTAAATGAATTTCCATCTTCTCATATGTGTTATTTTTGAAAGAATGAATACACTCTCTGTCTTAAATCCGCTCTTAACAAATGATCTCTTCTCAGAATACTACATCTGTATTGAGAGTACAGACAGCCCATTGGTCACTGCACCTTTTGCAAGACAGCGAAACGGATGCATCAAATTGCATTGATACATCATCACCATCAATCTTTTGCACTGATTTTTAGACTTAATCTTCTTATTTGAAAATAAACTCATTTTTAAATAAAATAAAAAATATTTTAGGGAAAGCTCTATAAAATTAAAATTACAGAATTATATGCTTTTTAAAATTTATGCAAAAATGTGCAGACAAATGTATTCTGTATTGGTTTATGTATCACTTTGCCCTTGTATATTTTGAGATTATTAAGATTTGTTGACTTTTTTGGTTTGATATTTATCATCTGTTAAATTTTTCCTTTTAAATTATTAAATGCAAAGTGCAAGAAAAAGAGATAAATATTTACTGATTGCTAGATGTAAAAATATCTATGAATATATATATTTAAACTTCTGCCAGAGAGCAACCATCTGACAGTCAACTTACTAAAATCTAAATTGAGTACTTTTTACTGTTGCAGAGAATTAAGTCACTAAACGTTATTTAGATATATAGATGCTAGTTGCAAGTAACACCCTTTTGTAATATAAAAGTAAAAGCATAATAATTTCCCAACTTTTGTCTTCAAATTAAAAAAGAAAATAGCATATAATTACCATTCTTCATTTGAGAAAGCTGAAGATTCTGATGCTTAAAAACTTCAGAATTCTAATATTAAAAATAGAGTGGTTCATGTGACATTGAAGGCTTATCTCTGTAAAATAGTGACACTGGTGAGTGGTATTATCTCAATATTTTTGTCCAAATTCACCTTAGGAAGTCACTGTAAATCTTCATTGTTTCCTAAAAGTCATTATTACGGCATAAACTTAACATACTTTGATAGTAGTTAGTACTGATACGTGACATATTCTACCCCGTGTCTCTGTTACTCTGTCTCTATTACTGTGAAAAGTCACAGTAAATTTAACATTTTCTTCCAGACTGTGTATGATCTTTCATTGTAATAGAGACATGGAGTAGGATAAGTCATGTATTAACATATAAGATTTTTTTAACCTGCTCCCTCAGTTTTATAGATGAGACAAAGATAAGGTTGTAAGAGCTAATCTCTTCAAGTAGGCAGTACTAGTAAGTTGTCATGCGTGGACTGAACTCCTGGCACTTCTTTCTCTTAACTTCAATCCATAGAGAAGCCCACCTTCCTGCCTTCCCAGTATTATTTAGCAGAGGAGAAAATCATATTAGGCTGTTTGATACTCTGTTTGCCTAGACTGATCAATAATTCTGGATCTTTGTTCACATCTTCTCTGAAAGAATATTTGATGGGAAATCTTTTTTATTTTTTAATTTTTGTGTACATACTAGGTGCATATATTTATGGAGTACATGAAATGTTTTGATACAGGCATGCACTGTGAAATAAGCACATCATGGAGAATGGGGTATCCATCCCCTCAACATTTATCCTTTGTGTTACAAACAACCTGATTACACTCTGTATTTTAAAATATGCAGTTAAGTTTTTATTGACTATAGTCACCCTATTGTGCTATCATATAGTAAGTTTTACTCATTCTTTCTACTTTTTTTGTACCCATTAACCTATCCCCACCTCTGCCCCACCATTATCTCAGCTGTCTACTACTTTTTTCAGCCTTTACTAACCATCCTTCTACTCTATATCCATGAGTTCCGTTGTTTTGGTTTTTAGATCCCACAAATAAATGAGAACATGGCAATGTTTGTCTTTCTATGCCTGGCCTATTTCACTTAACATAATGACCTCCAGTTCCATCCATGCTGTCGCAAGTGACAGGATCTCATTCTCTTTTATGGCTGAAGAGTACTCCATTTTGTATGTGAACCACATTTTCTTCATTCATCTGTTGATGAACACTTAGGGTGTTTCCAAATCTTAGCTGTTATAAACAGTATTGCAACAAATAAAAGAGTGCAGATGGAAAATTGATTTTGATGGCTTTTTTCTTTAATAAAACATTAATTTCTTCATGTATAACTGGAAGGCAAACAAATGATCCATTTGCTTAGTTTATTCTTGAATCCATAATATAAGTGACAGAAATGGATTATTAAAATATACTTGAATTTGGGGAAGAATGATATGGACACATTTTAAATCAAAACATGATGAATTGGCTGTTTAACCTACTACCTCATTGGCCAATCTGGGGCAAGATGAAAGTATTTGTAAACACTGTTTTGGCAATTATGTGTAAAGAGAGAACCAATT
Source organism: Homo sapiens (assembly GCF_000001405.40). NCBI lineage: Eukaryota > Metazoa > Chordata > Mammalia > Primates > Hominidae > Homo > Homo sapiens. Next base: position 41,890,023 of record NC_000009.12, on the reverse strand, counting down.
TTTTAATTAAAAAATTGAATTCTAAGAATTACAGAGCTTTTCTATTGGTAAAGACATTAAATATCATAGAGTCCAACGCTTTTCTCTTCCTTCACATCACTCCCAATGGATGTAGCTCAGGCTAAGTTCATTGCTGATGTGTTGTCAGAACAGCCACTAACGGTTTAAGTTGGTATACTTAAGTGCAAATGTAACCTTAAGAAGGTTACATAAAGTTGCCATTACTAAGAGTAGTAGCAGAATTTATTATGGATTAATCATATCGTCGGGAAAATGTACTGAAGCACTACTTCCTGTGGTATTTTTTTTTACAAAATGATAACATAGTTTATTGCCTATAGGTTGATTATGACCTAAAATTATATTTTTGCATTTTATTGTGCCGTTATATATTTTAAAATGTGAGGTTCACATGGTTGCATTTGCTCTGTGAATAAAAATGTCTAAAATGATAAGATGAACTTTTGTATTTTGCGATATGAAAATTTCTAACTTAGCTAGCTTGTGATGGTACCTAAAAATTTAAGAAAGCCCTTAAAATAGAACCTCTGTGACTGCATGAGCACTTTGTATGACTCATATCACATTTTAACTCCTTAAGCAAGCCAATGAGGTAAAACATATAATTGTCCCCATTTTTGCAAAATTCACAAAGGCCTTCACTGCTTTGAGAAAACGTTACACAGATAATTACTGACAAAAATGGGTTAGAATGCAGGTCCTGAGATGTCTAGTTCCTGACCAATTCTACAGGTTGCCTTGCTCCCATAATATGCTCCAATCTACAATGTTCATCTTAATCTGCAGTGAGTAAACATAATTGATAGCTAAATTTACTTCTTGTTCCAAATCTTTAGGATATGATTCATGTGTGTTATATACATACATATATATATGTGTATGTGTGTTTATACTTACATATATTTTTTTTTCTTATTTTACTTCTGGCTAAGATGGAGTAATAGGCAGCATATTTACCCTCTAACCCTCCTGCATGAAACAACCTCAAACCAGACAAAATATATGAAACAATGGTTTTCAGTACACTGGACATGAGGCACGGAATGTAATCCCTGAAAGACAGGAAACATAAGATGTCTGCTGTGAGTATCCCAGCTTACAACTTGACAGAATTTGAGACAGCAGTGACAATGGAGATAGATAGCTTAAGGAAGCCTAGCAAGTCTCTGAATGGAGTAGCTGTTGCTGAGAGTTCAGGTACACGAAGGTGGCTAGAGATTGCAGGATAGAGTACCGGCGAGGAAAGAGCTGCATTGGAGAAAACTTTGCAAATCTGGAGAGGGTCGCCCTTCAGTGTGTAACAAAGTGCATGAAACTACCTGAGGCAAGGGAAAGAAACACTCAAAAGAATTACAGCGGCATTTATCAACCTTTAAAAAATTATTATTGACCTCAAGGAATCTTTTAAAACATCTTTTCTAGTCACCTCTCTATGAATTTTTTAATTTTTATTTTATTTTATTTTATTTTATTTTATTTTATTTTATTTTATTTTAGAGACGGAGTCTTGCTCTGTCGCTCAGGCTGGAGTGCAGTGGCGCGATCCTGGCTCACTGCAAGCTCCGCCTCCAGGTTTCATGCCATTCTCCTGCCTCAGCCTCCCGAGTAGCTGGGACTACAGGCACAAACCAACACGCCCAGCTAATTTTTTTTTTTTTTTTTTTTTGTATTTTTAGTGGAGGCAAGGTTTCACCATGTTAGCCAGGATGGTCTCGATCTCTGGATCTCATGATCTGCCCACCTCAGCCTCCTAAAGCGCTGGTATCACAGGCGTAAGCCACTGCGCCGGGCCTGAAATTTTAATATCGCACATGCACTGCATATCTCTTTAGTACTATATGTATATCTGGGCTTTACACAAAAAGAATATTTTTCTTCTCTTCACTTCTCCCATCCCCCCAAAAAAATCTAATTTCTGTCATTTTGGGGACAATATCACTCTCACTGAGAGTGCATGTTCACATACAACCATGAATAGAGGTGGTTGCCATGGGCTATACCAGAAATCCCCATAATTAATAGGGCATTAGGTAGACTATTCATAGGGGTCTTGCCTCAGTCCTGGCAAGTCCTAGACCACGTATTACTATGGCGGCCCCACTAAACAAATTTTCAAAGATTTGGAAAAAAAGATCAAACCGTTTCCAATAACTAATTGGCATCTCTGAGCAAAGTTCACATGTATTTCCAGTAACATAAAACTATCCAACACCAGGCCGGGCACGGTGGCTCATGCCTGTAATCCCAGCACTTTGGGAGGTCGAGGCAGGCAGATCACGAGGTCGGGAGATGGAGACCATCCTGCTAACAAGGTGGAAACCCCATCTCTACTAAACATACAAAAATTAGCCGGGCGTGGTGGTGGGCGCCTGAAGTCCCAGCTACTCGGGAGGCTGGGGCAGGAGAATGGCGTGAACCCAGGAGGCGGTGTTTGCAGTGGGCCGAGATTGTGCCATTGCACTCCAGCCTGGGCAACAGAGCCAGACTCCATCAAAAAAAAATCCAACACCCAACGAGGTAAAATCACAATGTCTGGTATACAATAAAAAATTACCAAGTGTGTGAAGAGGCAGAAAAATAGGACCTATAATGAGGATAAAAATCAATCTAAAATGACCCAGCACATACACAGATGTTAGAATTACTAATGAAAAATATTATGACTATATTCCGTATTTTCAAAGATTAGGATGTGACAAGAAAAGGCTTAAATTAAACTTCGAGAGATGACAATGTTAATGTATGAGATTAAAAAATACAATGGATGTAATTAATGGCAGATGAGAGTTTTCAGAAGAAAATATTAATAAACTTGAATATATATAGCAGTAGAAAGCATCCAAAATGAAACAGAGACAGAAAAAAAACAAAGAATAATCAGAGTATCGGTGATCTGTGGGACAACTTCAGTTGCCTAATCTGTGTGTATTTGGAGTTCTCAAAGGAGAAAAGAGAGTGGATGGATAGAAAAAAATATTTTTAAAAATTAATAGGTAAGCATTTTCCACATTTGATGCAAACTATAAACCCACAGACCCAGCTCAACATCCCCAAGTAGGGGTGCTATTAAGAAAACCATATCACAACACATCCTAAGCAAATGGATCAAAACTCAGTGTGGTAAAGAGAAAAAGACAAATCTTATACAGAGAAGAAAAACAAGGATGATACCAGACTTCTTTTTGGAAGCAATGCAAGGGGAAGGGCAGTGGAGAAACATCTTTCATGCTTCCAGTGAAACATCTTCCAACCAAAAGCAGAAAACTGTCTCTCCTAGGTTTCTATACCCAGCAAAACCGTCTTTCAAGAAAGGATGAAACAAAGATATTTTTCAGACATAGAAAAGTTAAAAGTAATATATTATCAGCAAACCTGGACTATGAGAACAGTGTAAAAGCCTTTCAGGAAGAAGGAAAATAAAGAATAATATCTTTGTGCAGATAGAAACATGGATCCACACAAAGAAATGAAGAGCACTGGCAATAGTAACACCATAAGTAAATATACAATACCTGCCCTTATTACTTAAATATCTTTTAAAGATAATTGGCTGTTTAGAAATAATAGCAGTGTCATGTGAGTTCTGCAGCATGAGTAAAAGTAAAATATATGACAACAATAACCTAGAGAGACTAAATGGAAATATAGTTTGTAAGGTTCTTAGACTGTGTGTAAAGTTGTATAATGCCTATTAAAAGTTGGCTATTACAAGTTATCTTTAAGTTAAAACATCTGTATGGTGTAATCCCTAAAGCAAATGCTAGAGTAACAAAAACAGTGATAATATTACAATATTACACAATAATATACAATGCAGCGATGAAATAGAATAAATTTTCAAATGCTTGAAAGTAGACAAAAAAGATGAGAAAGAGGACAAAGAACAAATGGGACAAATAGAAAGCAAATAGCAAGATATAATATAAAAATCTGATAAATTTGACCTTAAAATTAACAACTCTCCTTTTAAAATACATTGTTAAGAGAATAAGAGTCAAGCTACAGACTGGGAGAAAATATTTGCAACACTTTATTTGAATGCTGTAAATTTTTTTCAGAATATAGTTCATAAAGAACTCTTAACAACTCAATAATTAGCAAAAATAAAATGAAAATAATGAATATAAGAAAAAATGATGAAAAGTGCTACACCAGTGGACAAAAAGCACACAAAAATGTTCAATATCGTTTTGTCATTAAGGAAATGCAAATTAAAACCACAGTGAGTTATTCTTCCCACTAAAATGGTTATGATTAAAAATATTGTCAGTACCACGTGTTGTTGAGAATATGGAGCAATTATAATTCTCATACATTATTGTTGGAATGTAAAATGCTACAACCACTTAGGAAAAATTGTTTAACATTGTTTTATATAATTAAGCATACATGAAACCTATGACCCAACAATTCCAATCCTAGGTTGAAAAGAAATGAAAACTTATGCCCATTATAAGACTTACACAAGAACGTTTATAGCATCTTTACTTATAATATCCCCAAACTGTAAACTGCCTAAAAGACCTTCAACAAGAAAATGGACAAACAATTTGTGTGGTATTAATAATGAAATACTCTTCAGCTATAAAATGGACAAAACTACTGGTAACTGCAACAAACATGGCTGAATCTAAAAAACCTTGTGTTGAATGAATAAATCTAGACACTATAGGGTACATTCTGAAGTCCTAGAACAAGCGAAACTAAGATATAGCAGTAGAAATTGTATCAGTAGTTACCTGGGTTGAGGTGGGATGGGAGTTGACTGCAGAGAAACACAAGGGAAGTTTCTGGAGTGATGGAAATGTTCTATGTCTTGATCGACTATGGTTACATTGGTGTGGACATTTGTCAAAACTCTGAATTTCATATTTGGAATTTGTATATTTTGTATATAAATTATACTTCAATAAATATGTACATGTATATATATGTGTATATATAATACATTTTGATATGTCATGATGTCTATCACTTCACAGCATATTATATTTCTATCATACCATATTTACATAATGGAAAAAGATGAAAAGGATGCTGTATTTTGGGGAAATCACAAGAGATTATCACCTTTATTTATTTTTTATACAAATACATATAAATCTTTCACAGTACAATACAAATGTCAAAATGTGGTATTTTCATTGTTCTATAAATTCTTATATGTTCTATGTATGTAATAAATGTTAAAAACAGTGTTTATATGTTGTATATGTTTATTTGTTCTATGTGTTTATACGTTCACTGTTCTATAAATTCTCATATATTGTATACTATACAATCAGGTGATGAGCTGCTCAGTAAATAAGTGCTGAACACTCTGCATCCCTCATCACGTCAAGCATTTCACATCCCTTTTCCTGTAGGCTTCCACAGTAGACATTTGACTTGCCAATTACATTTTCATCCATCATTCTGGAGAAGCCTGGAGAAACAGCTAGACACAGGGGACATACTCTATACCTTGCTCATTGTGCCTTGGAATTATACATATTGAAATATTGTAAAGATTTGCTTCATTTGTATCAACATGGCTGTGAAATTAGATGTCAACTCTACCTCACTTCCAACTTTTAGGAGGAATCCAGATAGTTTATTAGAAAATAGAAGTGCAAAAATGTTTGCTGTTTGATTCTCAGACCATAGCCTGAGATTAGCAGTATTAAAAAAAAAATAGCAGACAGAAGAGGCCCAAGTCTCTCCCAGCTCCTGGGATGCATGGAAGCAATGGGCTGTGATGTCCTACTGAGGTAAAAGAAGTAGTGTTTGTTATAGTCCCACGAGCAGAAGCAGTAAGAACTTGAGGTAGGGTGCACCTAAAACTGAGAACAAGGGAAAGAAAGCTGAAGTAGGAAGTGTCACCAGGGAGGGACTATGGGTCCTTACTATGCGAAGAGAGAAAAGGATTTAATTAGGTCCAACAGAATATAATGCCATTTCAAAAACATTTTCTGTTAGGACAGTTTCCAGAGACTCTAAGTGGTTGTTTTTTGTGTGATGATTTTTGAGCTTGGTAGAATTTTTCTAGTCTGACTGGATCAGTTCTAGAAAGCTGCTCAGATGAATATGCAATGAATGCTTTCTCTCTTCACATACTTCTCAGTTAGAAGGAGAATATTTCAGTCCAAAAGGATGCAAGACCTTAGTTATATATGCCACAATCAGATCAGTGATTTTAATTTGCCCACCCTAAAGAAATATGAGTATATACCACTCTAAAGAAATCTGTCATTCTAACATGTCTATCACTTTCTTCAATGATTCCATAGCAAACAGTTAATGAAAAACAACAATAATAGCACATGTATTAATCTTCACCACTTGTAATTTTCCAAGGAATTTAGACAGATCTATTGCAAAAAAATTCATCAATTCTTATGTTCTTTCCAAATAGTTTTTGCACTAAATGATATTATTCAACATTTCTCCATGTCTACCTGTACCTTCAGACCCTCACTAAATCCAATTAACCAAAACCCAAATTGGTTAGTGATGTTAAGCATTTTATGTCTTATATGTCTTCTTTTTATTTTATGCTTATATGTCTTCTTTTGAGAAACATCTGTTCATGTCCTTTGCCCAGTTTTTAATGGGATTTTTTTCTTACTGAGTTGTTTGAGTTCTTTATTAAAAAAATGCTCAGTATCACGAATCATCGGAGAAATGCAAATCAAAACCAAAATGAGATATCATATTACACTAGTCAAGATGGCTATTACTAAAAAGTCATAAACAACAGATGTTGACAAGGATGTGGAGACAAAGGAACTCTTATACACTGTTGGTGGAACTATAAATTAGTAAAAACTCTAAGGAAAACAGTATGGAGATTTCTCTAAGAACTAAAAATGGAACTACCATTCGACCCAGCAGTCCCACTACTGGGCATCTACCCAAAGGAAAAGAAATCATTATATTAAAAAGACGCCCACACTTGTATGTTTATTGCGGCACTATTCACAATAGCAAAGTCATGGAATCAATCTAAGTGTTGCTTGGATAAAGAAAACTTGTGGTAAATATACACTATGGAATACTATGCAGCCATAAAAAGAATAAAATCATGTCCTTTTCAGCAACATGGATGGAGCTGAAAGCCATTATTCTAAGTGAAGTAACTCAGAAAATTAAATACTGCATGTTCCCACTTACAAGTGGGACCTAAACAAAGAATACACGTGGACATAAAGATGGAAATAACAGACATAAAATAGGCCTTTTTCGGCCGGGCGCGGTGGCTCAAGCTTGTAATCCCACCACTTTGGGAGGCCGAGGCAGGTGGATCACGAGGTCAGGATATCGAGACCATCCTGGCTAACACGGTGAAACACTGTCTCTACTAAAAATACAAAAAAAAAAAAAAAATAATAATCAGCCTGGCGTGGTGGCGGGCTCCTGTAGTCCCAGCTACTCGGGAGGCTGAGGCAGGAGAATGGCGTGAACCCCGGAGGCGGAGCTTGCAGTGAGCAGAGATCGCGCCACTGCAGTCCAGCCTGGGCGACAGAGCGAGACTCCGTCTCAAAAAAAAAAAAAAATAGGCCTTTTTCTTTAACCAATACAACATCACTATTTCTACTGCAAGTGTTTCAAAAACATCTGTGCTATTTTGAAATATACCAAGTTTAAAACTGTCACAAGAAAAATGTCTTTGCGGCCGGGCGTGGTGGGTCACACCTGTAATCCCAGCACTTTGGGAGGCCGAGGCGAGCGGATCACTAGGTCAGGAGATCGAGACCATCCTGGCTAACATGGTGAAACCCCGTCTCTACTAAAAATACAAAAAAAAAAAAAAAAATTAGCCGGGCGGGGTGATGGGCGCCTGTAGTCCCAGCTACTCGGGAGGCTGAGGCAGGAGAATGGCGTGAACCCTGGAGGCGGAGCTTGCAGTGAGCCAGGATCACGCCACTGCACTCCAGCCTGGGCGACAGAGCGAGACTCCGTCTCAAAAAAAGAAAGAAAGAAAGAAAAGAAAGAAAGAAAGAAAAGAAAGAAAGATGTCTTTGCTATCTTTCCCAGGTCTCCAGCTGCCTCCACACTGGCGTAAGAAACACTGGAGGAAAAATGACCGCCTCACAGTAGTTTAAGCTGTTCTTTTGCCCATAGATGTACACATTTAAACTTGCTCCTAGCTCTCCAAGATTGCTTATTCGCTGATATGTTGCAATGACAACAAAATACAACTTCTGTTTGATTAAAAATAAAAGCAAGTAAAACATGTTTTTCCTCACTGGGTTCTGAGTTGATTAAATCCAGCTTATCATTGATGTTTTAAAATTGAGGTTATATTATATAGTTTAATTTTCAAAAGAGACTTTGATATATGGAAAATGTAAGCCAAGGAAAATAAAAATATGAAAATTCAGAAATACCATTGCTAGCTCATCACATATGTTTATTTAAATTTGGTTAGTATGCTGGAGAGAATTTGGGATTGAATTCAATTCTTTGTGCTATATACAAAATAAATTTACTAGCAGTTAGATGGAATTGGCTTAGAAACCTAATCCTATATGTAAATATTATAAAAATTTTTAATTCCAAAGTAGTTCAATAAAAAGAACTGGGCTTTGAAATCAACATGCTGGATAAATAGACAACTACTGTAGTTAATTCTAAATAAGCATCCTTACAGCAAAGAGATACACATTTTTACAAGGCTCTTTCTCTCAACTTTGGAAATAACAAGTATCTTTAAATTGCCATTGTCAGTATCTCTTCAGTAGATGCCCCTTGGCAGGGTGTGCTCTGCACTTCTCCGCTGTGATTATGTCTAGAGGAATTGCATCAGGATGGACAAGAATGGTTGTGTGGAAAAAGAATTTAGATTTGCTGTGAAAAATGGACTCCACAATGGATCTTCTGGGTTGATTAGTTAAGCAATTGAAACACGAAACCCAGTGATTTGAAATAACAAAACAAATTGCCTAATTTAGAAATATAATGAAAACACATATATTATTCAAAGACATGTTGCAACAATAGATGGCTAGCTGATGACTAGTTTTTAGTATTTGTAATATAGGGTGTATGTAATTTCTTTTTGAATTTAGCAAAATCCCAGCTTTTTTATATGGTATCTGAGTAAGGAAGATAAACATCTTTTTTTTTTGAAATGGAGTCTCGCTCTGTCACCCAGGCTGGAGTGCAGTGGCGTGATCTTGGCTCACTGCAATCTCCACCTCCCAGGTTCAAGCAACTCTCCTGCCTCAGCCTCCCAAGTAGCTGGGATATCTGTATTGGCCAGGCTGGCCTCAAACTCCTGACCTCGTTATCCACCCGCCTCAGCCTCCCAAAGTGCTGGGACCACAGGCGTGAGCCACTGCGCCCGGCCAACATCTTTTTATAGTTTCTGATTTCCAATGTACAATTAAACTCTTGGCTATTAGGAGCATCTATACATCCCCCAACTCAGAGTAACCACTTTAGCTATTCTTAGCCAATGAAGCCAAAGAACACAGAAGACTGTGCTCCTGTTCTAGTTCTTTTATGTACCTTGTTTTAAGTCTTCCTTGTTCCCCGCTCCCTCTCACCATAAGGACGTGGCTCTGCTGACTTTTCTCTTTAAAACTCTCTATCCTACCCTGCTCCATTCACCTCTTTTATACTAATTAAAGCCTCCTCTTCCTTCTGATCTCAGCTTAAGAGACACTGTCTTGAGGCACCCTTCGTTAGCCTTCCAAATCTGGCTCTTTCATAAAACCATCCTACAGATCATTGTTCTTTTTCATCAGCATGGTTGTCTCAATTTGATGACTGATGTGATGATGTGACGGGTGCATGTCTTCAGTGAACTGTCGGAAAGCGGAGCTCGTGTGCACTGCAGAGTGTATTCCTGTGAGTGTATTCCTGTTCCCTTCCAGGTGCGTGTGGATGACCCAGCAGCCAGGTCCAGCACTGGCCTAAGGCTCCAAACTTCTACAGTTAGAAAATTGGCAAAGATACTGATTTAACTTTGGCGCGTTTGTTAGGCTTCTTCTTCTTCTCTCTCTTTTTTTTTTTTTTTTTTTTTGGATAACACTTTAAATAACATATGATAGAAAATGAGAAGAGTTTATGGAAAATAATTTTATTAGTGTTTGTGTCCCTTAATGACTTAAGCCCTAAGTAGAGACTTCATAATTTCAAACTTTCAAAAATGTCTTGTAACATGCAGTAAAATGTGTCTTATTCGTGAGAGTAATGTCTATTCTAGGCAACTGTTCTCAGTTTCCATGGACAGAGGAAAAATTAGACGTACATATGTTTTATGGGGAGGAATTTGGACTAAACATAAGAAAGAATTACCTGGCCAGGAAGTTGTTGTTCACTATTACATTAACTCATTTTACAGGAATAAAGGAAATAACATGATTTAGGAGGAATGTAACCCAGAAAGAGATAATGAATCAGAAGCCCTCCAAATTTCCTTTGAGATTTGTTTAGCATATGATTATGAGATTTGGTGAAAGTATGTCATTCCCAGTAAGTAGGTGTAATTTAAAATATGTAAGAAGTTCTACATATGTGCTTGGTAATTTTAAGGGTTATTGTATATAATCATTACTGAGATCACTACACAGCTATGTCCTGCCAGTAATCCAAAAAGAAAAATCATTCTAGTTGTCATCAATTATATAAGATAATAAAAATAAACTTAAAGTCTTAGGCAATATTTTAGATATTGCTCAGAAGTACATTTCTTTGTGTTATAATTAATGACCTTCTATGTGTGATTATTCAGATTATTGAAAGTCTTAGTATTAATCATTCATAATAATTAATTTTAAATATTTGAGTAGTCAGTTCTAAAATAATTGAAATCATTAAAACCTGAATGTTATTCAATCAACATGACTTAGAAATAAAATAATATTATTAAAATAAGGAATTAAAGACTATAAATTTAGACAATGGGGAAATTAACAGAAACACTTCATGTCTTTGCCTTTATTTGGTAAAGGATAGACTCTTTCATCCAATAACTTTTTTAATTACCATAATTTTGAAAATGTGGGACTTTTTCTTACATCTTACACAGTATGTTGCTTGTCTGGCAAATTGAACACGTGGAGAAAAGAAATATCTTTGTCAAAATGAGCGCTTTATGTAGGACACTTTACATTATATTATAAAAATATATTAATAAATAGGTCCATAGTCTGTAGAATATATAATAAATATTCTGAATTAGTTCTTAAGACTAATGAACTTCTTTTGTCCTAATTTTTTTTTTTTTTTTTTGAGACGGAGTCTCGTTCTGTCACCCAGGCTGGAGTGCAGTGGCCTGATCCTGGCTCACTGCAAGCTCTGCCTCCCGGGTTCATGCCATTCTCCTGCCTCAGCCTCCCAAGTAGCTGGGACTACAGGTGCCCGATGCCACGCCCAGCTAATTTTTTGTATTTATAGTAGAGATGGGATTTCACCATGTTAGCCAGGATGGCCTCGATCTCCTGACCTCGTGATCCACCAGCCTCGGCCTCCCAAAGTGATGGGATTACAGGCGTGAGCCAACGTGCCCGGCCTTGTCCTAATATTTTTATCTGGCAGATGCTATACTTAACACAGCATTGGATTCTTAATGCCATTTGCAATCTAAAATAATAACACCAAACCCCAGTTTTGAGGTGAAATTCGTATAAATGAAGGTATATGGAATATTTGAAATATAACTGCTAATTTCAGCTTATTATTAATTATATATAGTTATTTTAAAGAAGAGCTGAGACTAATAATTTATCATCTCAACTAAGATGAAGGATGTTTTAAATTCTGCTACCACCAAAGTAAAGTTTTCTGATTTGCCATCTTCGACTAGGCTCCTCCTTGTCTTCAAATTATACCCATTATGATAGTCCCCTTGTGGAAAGGGACTGGATTTTACTTTCTCTAAATTGCTAACATCTAGACAGTGGTGTACCACATTTAAATAGCATTCAGTAAATAGATAAATACATGCATTAATAAAACATTAATATGTCTCCATTTTTGGCAAATATCTAATAGAAATGTGGAAGATAAGAGGAAGAAATCTACCCTTTGGAACAAATATAATTGGAAATAATAGTCTTTGGATATATTTATATGGTAATCATAAAATCTCAGGAATTGTCTTAAATGATTTGCATAGATTAAGTCAGTAAATCCTCACAGCAACTTTGTGAAGTGAGTTCCTAATATTCCCATTTTATAAATGAACAGACTGAAGCAGAATTAGTTTAAATAACTTCCCTAGGGTCATTTGTAATCAAACAATCAATGGGCTTGCTACCCGATGTGCATAGAGGCCAATACCATGGCACAGGCTTGAGAAAAGAGAAGCTGTATTGCTGGTTGACTGTCAAGAGACAGGAGAAAATGCTCAAATCTGTCTCCCTGAGCTGGGGGCTGAGTTGGGTTTTATAGGAATAGGGTAATGAAGTGTTATCTGATTGGGTCTTGTGATGAGATGATGCTGGGAGGCATGATCTGACTGAATCCTGCCATGGGGTACCACAAGGGCTCCATTTGATTGGATCCTGGATCTTGCCATGCAGTGTCCCCTTTTTAATCCAGTCCCACTTCTTGGGCTGAGCACTTAAGTCCCGCCCATCATTGCAAGTTTGGTTCATTTGGGCATGTTCAGGTTATGGGAACTTCAGCCTGGGAGTCCATGGCAACTGAAAAACTATTCATAACTTTTTTACATAAAAGTTGAAGAACCAGACTGGTTTTGTGTGGTTACACATTCACTTAATAAATGACTGAGCTGGAATTTGAACTCAGGCAGTCTGGCTCTTGTCTGACTCCAGCGCCCAATCTCTTAGCCAATATGCACTATTGCCTGTGATAGAGATATTATTTTTGGTTATTGGGATAATGACAGCCAAGGGAATCTATAGAGTATTATTCCACAAAAATAATTCTAAATACGGCCAGGTACGGTGGCTCACGCCTGTAATCCCAGCACTTTAGGAGGCCGAGGCGGGTGGATCATGAGGTCAGGAGATCAAGACCATCCTGGCTAACACTGTGAAACCCTGTCTCTACTAAAAATACAAAAAATTAGCCGGGTGTGGTGGTGGGCACCTGTAGTCTCAGCTACTTGGGAGGCTGAGGCAGAAGAATGGCGTGAACCCAGGAGGCGGAGCTTGCAGTGAGTGGAGATCGCGCCACTGCATTCCAGCCTGGGCGACAGAGGGAGACTCCGTCTCAAAAAATAATAATAATAATAGTTCTAAACACATTAAATTTCTCTATAGGATAACTTATTATTTTCTTAATGCTTGACATAATTTATGCCGAATAAGCTCAGTGGTTAAGCAAAAATATTCAGATATTAAGAAATATCATAAATCATTTAATGCTGTATTAAATACATATAATTTAATTGTCCAAAAGTATTTTCCTGAGTGAAAAAATGATGGTGCAAATTTTGGATATTATAAGACAACTTGAAGAAGAGTAGAGTGCAGAAAGAAGTTATATTTTAGGTGGGCTAGAATAACATAACATTTATGCAATAGCCCCAATTTGTGATATAACACTTCATAAAAATGTTCAACAGTTTACAAGTGCTTTATCTGAAAACAATGGAGAATTAATAGCATAAACTGGGAAACTTACTTTATGATTAACAAAGTTTTTTTAATGAAAATGATTAAAAGTAGACTAAATTGTTTTAAGTATTTCTTTTTCATTCAGCATTCAATTGCCAAGTCATTTCATTCACAGTTTTTAAGGATGTTCTGAAAATTCTGGCATAAGACCCAGGAGATGAAATTATTTGCCAAATGTTGATGTATTATGGGAAAAAATGACTCTGTTTACAACTGTAGCCATGTGAAAATTAAAGTTATTTAATCCCAATTTCAATTAGCCAATTATGAGACAAAAGCAAAGAACTAGTGAAATACTACAAAACACTTTTTTGATATATTATACAATTAAGTTATCATTTTGCACCAATGGATAAGAATAGGGTTGCCATAGGGGTTCATCCTAATGCTAGGAAGCAGACCATAAAATCTAAAATTACTGGTAGAATTTATAGAGAATAGACTCTGACATTAAGATGTAACACAATTTAATTGAGTAGCACAAATATAATTGTCTTGCCTCATGGCTAAGTATCTCTGTAGAACTGCAATTTTAAAAAATGAAACCCAGCCAACAAAGGCAAGTAAAAAGTCCATAAGAATTATGAACTCTGTCAAAGTGAATACAATAGAAGACTCTCAGTCATAATTCTTTAAATCCTTCTAATTCCTTGATATTCAATATCTTTAATTGCCATAAGGCCCTGAGGTTGCTCCCTCTTAGCTATTAAGCTGACCTCCTACTAATATGTAGCTCTTTGCTGCTTCTCCCTCTTGGTCTTTATTTTCTACAAGCTGACCTCTCAGCCCTTTTCAAATGAAAATTGACCCATTGATCCTATGCTCTTAGAAAACCTTCATGTACTTCAACCCCTTCTCCTGGTCCTATATATCAAAAGGCCAAGTTCTAGGGGTCTGTAGTCTCTAATAGTGTGATGATATGGCTACCCTGAGAAGCAACATCTCATCCAGGAAACCCTGATCAGCATTTTTCTCTGCAAGTGGCGTCGCAGGATTGTGAATTGTAAACAGATAAAAGGATTCTTAGTGGTACCTCTGTCAAGCTCATTACACATTCCAGAATCAATCAAGTCTCCTGCTAGCATTTGAAGAATATCACCAAAAAATTGGTAGCTGCGTTGTTTCCTTTGGACATGCAAGTAGATAACTATCAGTAACTACCAATAATAACAGCCAGTCAGCTCAGGCTGCTGTAATAAAATAGCATAGATTGGGCCGGGCGCGGTGGCCGGGCGCGGTGGCTCACACATGTAATCCCAGCACTTTTGGAGGCCCTGGCGGGCAGATCACGAGGTCAGGAGATCAAGACCATCCTGGCTAACACGGTGAAACCCGGTCTCTACTAAAAAAAATACAAAAAAAATTAGCCGGGCGTGGTGGCGGGCACCTGTAGTCCCAGCTACTCAGGAGGCTGAGGCAGGAGAATGGCGTGAACCTGGGAGGCGGAGCTTACAGTGAGCTGAGATCGCACCACTGCACTCCAGCCTGGATGACAGAGCAGAACTATGTCTCAAAAAAAAAAAGAAAAAGAAAAAGAAAAAGAAAAAATAGCATAGATTGGATGGCTTAAACCACAGACATTTATATCTCACAGTTCTGGAGGCAGAGAAGCCTACAATCAAGGTGCTAGTTCATGATCAGGCCTGGCCCCTCGCTTGTGGTCAGCCTCCTTCCCATTGGGCGTCACGTGGCCTTCCCTGAGTGTGTGGGGGATGGCAAGCGATAAGAAGATCTCTGGCTCCTCATCCTATAAGGACACTAATCTCCTCATGAGGGCCTCCTTCCAGGATCTAACCTAAACCTCATGACCTGTCAGAGGCCCCATCGCCAAATACCATCATATTAGTGGCTAGGGTTTCAACTTAGGAGTTTTAGAGGGACACAGCGTTCGGCTCATAACAAACTGTAAGTACAGTCAGCTTCACTAGATCACATTTTCTATTTTGAGAGCCCATTTTGAAAATTTTAAAAGCTTTGAGATTTTGAATATGATCAAAAGTACTGAGAACAAAGAAAATTCATTTGGAAAGACAATTGGTAGTCTGCTCACAAATGAATAATCTGGGACACTTAATAATATATCTGAGTTTTGTTCTACGTTAATGAATAATGTAGGTCCTGGCATCATGGAGAATAATTGCACTTTGCTTCTGCAAACTCCTAATAAGTGTTCTGCCAACAGGCAGGAAAGTAGGGTTTTCTACCGCAATGAAATCTGCAGCTTTATGTCTTTAATCCCTGTGGTTTCATAGGAAGGCAGTTCTTTCTATAGGATAAAACTTGAAGAACATGACTGCATTCAGATTTAAGACAAAAAAAAAAACCTAAAATGGAAAGAGTATTAAAACTATGTCAAAGCATATGATATTGATGCCTCAGTGTTCCCCAGTGTTCCTGAGTTCAACAGAAAGTTCTAGTAAGGTTGACAGATTTCCATCTCAAGAGTCTGCCTTGTCACTCTTCCCAGGGAAGAGTTTTGCATAGAAGATTGGACACATGCAAAAACAACCCAGAATTACATGTGTGTGGCAGGAAGAGGGGACAATGTCCCTGGAGGTTACATCCAACAAATGCAGGATAGCAATCAGTGGACAGGAAGATTCTGAGACACGTTCCATGGGCTGTCTCAGAGAGTCCCCAGAGGGATTAGCTACATAGCAAATAATACCCCACAGTGGTGACTTTTCACATTTTAATTTGCCAATGCGTTTATTGAATCCTTTTATCTGTGTCCTCCTAATATGCTCTGGGAAAGAGGTTGAGGTTGCAAATCCCCACAACCCCGTTTGAGTTTTTGATGGAACAGCTGCTGTCCACTTCTGATCAACTGAGGCCCTAGAAAAGGCATGTAAGTCCTACTCCCTCACACTTCTGTAGTGTCACGTGTATTTGTCCTTATAAACCTGAATCAATCTGGAAATTCATTGCCAAACATAAGGGTTCCAGGAAGTCTAACTTTATCAAAAGGACTTTAATGAAATTAATAAAAAGTAGAAACTTTTAAAAATATTGATCTGTAAACTGCTTAGGACAAAATATGTATAAAACTAAACTGAACTATTAAACTTTACATTAAAATCTAGGGAGTAATAAACATCATTTACTATTTAATTTCTCAAATGGAAGTGACATATTGTCATTGATTCGCAACAGTGAGTGTGGTATCAGAATCGTTTCTGGAATCTTTTCAAACTATACCTCCCTGCTGGAAATTCTGTTATATCCTCAAGTTGTGTTTCAGAAGGCAGAAACTATTTCCACAGTGAGGCACTATTTCGGATATATCATCCCTCAAGAGGAATATGTACAGGGAAAAGAGAATATGTACACTTGATAATGAATATATGTTGTCTGATTTAAAAAGTGTGCAGGTTATTAAGTTGGTAAGTTAAAGATAATATATTTATCCATTATTTAATATGTTAGTAAAGGTAATTATTTCAAAATTAGAGTTAAAAAGTTTAAATTTATCACCTATTTGAGTATGTTTAACATACACACACACACATGTATATGTATATATATAATTATATCAAGATTAACAGCTTATAAAAATCATTTCAAAATTTTGGTCTTCAAATATAAGTTGTGTGTTTTGGTCAGGATCTTCAATCATTTATGGCAAAGGTTTCTCACTTCTAAGACTTCCTCTTGCTTTGTTTGTTTAAAGTATCATCACCTATAATAGGTATCCAAAACTAATGTCTAACTTTTGCTGTAATTCCTAGTTTTCTCTAAAATTCTGGGTCTTCCTTTTTCCTTTTCTTTTGTTTTCTTTTCTTCTTTTCTCTTCTCTTCTTTTTCTTCCTGTCTCCCATTCTTCTTTTTTTTGTTGTTGTTTTTGTTTTATAAATTTAAGTTATGAATTTATGGGAATAAAGCTGTTAAATGTTGTTCGTATCTAAAGGTCTTTGGGGTTTCTCAGATAGCTACTGGATAATGCTCTACTCACATTATTCAAGAAGAAATTTGTAAAGTAATTAGATATGTTTGATACTGTCTATATTCTGATTATCTCAACCACTGTATGAGGTCACTAGATCCCATGCCCCAGAGCCTCTGTGCTGTGATTTAGATGCCCAAAAGACTGTGTGTTTGTTAAGCGAACATTACAACAACCCCCAAGTTAGGCACTCCTTTTTTTTTTTCTAATTCTTCCAACTTTTATTTTAGGTTCAGGGGGTATATATGCAGGTTTGATACATGGGGAAATTGTGTGTCATGGGGGTTTGATGTGCATATTATTTCATCACTGGAGCAATAAACATAGTACCTGATAAGTAGTTTCTCAATCCTCACCCTACTTTCACCTTCCGCCCTCAAATAGGTCCTGCTATGTCTTGTCCCCTGCTGTGTGTCCATGCATAATCAATGTTTAGCTTCCACTTATAAGTGATAACATTTGGTATTTGGTTTTCTGTTGCTGTGTTAATTCACTTAGGATAATGGCCTCTAGCTGCATTCATGTTGCTGCAAAGAACATGATTTCATTCTTTTTTATGGCTGCGTAGTATTCCATGGTGTATATGTACCATGTTTTCAACTGCTGTTGGTCATTTAGGTTGTTTCCATGTCTTTGCTATTGTGAATAGTGCTGCAGTGAACATAGATGAGTGTGTATCTTTATGACAGAATGACTTACAGTTCTTGAGGTACATACCCAGTAATGGGATTGCTGGATAGAATGGTAGCTCTGTTTTAAGTTCTTTGATAAATTGTCAAACTGTTTTCTACAGTGGCTGAACTAATTTACATTCCCACCAGCAGTATGTAAGTGTTCCTTTCCTGCACGACCTTGCCAGCATCTGTTATTTTCTGACTTTTTAGTAATAGCCATTCTGACTGACGTGAGACGGCATCTCATCGTGGTTTTGTATTTCTCTAATGATTACTGATGTAGAGCGTTTTCTTCATATGCTTGTTGGCCATGTGTATGTCTTCTTCAGAAAAGTGTCTGTTCACGTCTTTTGCCCACTATTTAATGGAGTTGTTTGGTTTTGGCTTGTACATTTGTTTAAGATCCTTATAGATTCTCGGTATTAGACCTTTGTTAGGTTCACAGTTTGCAAATATTTTCTCTCATTCTGCAGGTTGCCTGTTTATTCTGATGTTAGTTTCTTTTTCTGTTCAGAAACTCTTTAGTTTAATTAGGTCCCATTTGTCAATTTTTGTTTTTGTTACAATGGTTTTTGGCATCTTAATCATGAAATCTTTGTCAGGCCTATGTCCAGAATGGTAGTTCCTAGGTTTTCTTCTGGGGTTTTCATAGTTTTAGGTTTTACATGTAAGTCTTTAATTCATCTTGAGTTGATTTTTTTATATAGGGTAAGGAAGGAGTCCAGTTTCAATCTTCTGCATATGGGTAGCCAATTATCCCAGAACAATTTATTGAATAGGGAGTCTTTTCCACACTTCTTGCTTTTGTCAACTTTGTTGAAGATCAGATAGTTTTACATGTGTGGCTTTATTTCTGGGTTTTCTATTCTGCTACGTTGGTATATGTGTCTGTTTCTGTACCAGTGTCAAGTTGTTTTTGTTACTTTAGCTTGATAGTATCATTTGAAGTTGGGAAATGTGATGCCCCCGGCTTTTTTCTTTCTGCTTAGGATTGCCTTGGGCTCTTTTTTGGTTCCATATGAATTTTAGAATAGTTTTTCCTAGTTCCCTGAAGAATGCCTTTGGAAGCTTGATAGAAATAGTAATTAATCTGTAAATTGCCTTGGGCAGTATGGCCATTCTAACAAAGGTGATTCTTCCTATCCATTAGCATGGAATGTTTTCATATTTGTGTCCTCTCTGATTTTTTTCAGCAACGTTTTTAATTCTTGTTATAGAGATCTTTCACCTCCCTGGTTAGCTGTATTCCTAGGTAATTTTTGGTGTGAGTATTGTAAATGTGATTGCAATCTTGATTTGCCTCTCACCTTGGATGTTGTTGGTATGTAGAAATGCTACAGATTTTTGTGGAATGATTTTGTATCCTGAAATTTTGCTGAAGTTGTATATCAGATCAATGAGCTATTGGGCAGAGACTATGGGTTTTTCTAGGTGTAAAATCATATCATCTGCAAAGAGAGATAGTTTGACTTCCTGTCTTCCTATTTGAATGCTATTTAATTAATCCTATTTAATTGCTTTGGCTAAGACTTCCAGGACTGTGCAGAATAGGTGTGATGTGAGTGGGCCACCTTGTCTTCTTTCAGTTCTCAAGGGAAATGCCTCCACCTTTTGCTTGTTCAGTATGATGTTGGCTGTAGGTTTGTCATAGATAGCTCTTAAATTTTGAGTTATGTTTCTTCAATATCTAGTTTGTTGAGGGTTTTTAACATGACGGACTGTTGAATTTTATCAAAAGCCTTTTCTGTGTCTGTTGAGATGATCATACAGTTTCTGTTTTCAGTTCTGTTTATGTGATGAATCACATTTATTGATTTGCATATGTTGAACCAGCGTTGTACCCAAGAAATAAAGGCTGCTTGATTGTGGTAGATTAGCTTTTTGATGTGCTGCTGGACTTGATTTGCTAGAATTTTGTTGAGGATTTTTGCATCTGTAGTTCAACATGGATATTGGCCTGAAGTTTTCTTTTTTTGTTGTGTCTCTGCCAGGTTTCAGTGTCAGAATGATGCTGGCCTAATAAATGAGTTAGAGAGAAGTTCTTCCTTCTCAATTTTTGGGAGTAATTTCAGCAGGAATGGTACCAGTCTTCTTTGTACATCTGCCTGAATTTGGCTGTGAATTTGTCTGATCCAGGGATTTTTCTGGTTGGCAGACTTTTTATCACTGATTCAATTTTGGACCTTGTTATTGGTCTTTCAGGGTTCAATTTCATCCTGGCTCAATCTTGGGAGGCTGCATGATTTCAGGAATTTATCCATTTCTTTTAGGTTTTCTAGTTTATGTGCATACAGGTGTTTGCAGTAGTCTCTGAGAGTTGTTTGTATTTCTGTGGAGTCAGTGGTAATGCCCTCTTTGTCATTTCTGACTGTGTTTATTTGAATCTTTTCCCTTTTTTCTTTATTATTCTAGCTATGGGGCTATCAATCTTATTTATTATTTCAAGTAACCAACTGTTGGTTGCATTGATCTTTGTATGATTTTATTCACATCTGAATTTCATTCATTTCAGACCTGATTTTGCTCATTTCTTTTCTTCTACTAGCTTTGGTATTGGTTTGCTCTTATTTTTCTAGTTCCACTAGGTGTGATGTTAGGTTTTAATCTGAGATCTTACTAACTTTTTAATGTGGGCATTCAGCACTATAAACTTTCCTCTTAACATTACTTTAGCTGGGGCCAGGCGCGGTGGCTCAAACCCGTAATCCCAGCACTTTGGGAGGCCGAGGCAGGCAGATCACAAGGTCAGGAGATCGAGACCATCCTGGCTAACATGGTGAATACAAAAATACAAAAAAATTAGCCGGGTGTGGTGGCGGGTGCCTGTGGTCCCAGCGATTCGGGAGGCTGAGGCAGGATAATGGCATGAACCCAGGAGGTGGAGCTTGCAGTGAGAAGAGATGGCGCCACTGCACTCCAGCGAGACTCCGTCTCAAAAAAAAAAAAATTACTTTAGCTGATTCACAGAGATTCTGGAATATTGTATCTTTGTTTTCGTTAGTTTCAAGGAGTTTCTTGACTTCTGTCTTCGTTTCATTGTTTACCCAAAAGTCATTCAGGAGCAGATTGTTTAATTTTCATGTAATTTTATGGTTTTAAGATATTGTCTTCATATTGATTTTTACTTTTATTGCACTGTGGTCCAAGAGTGTGGTTGGTATGATTTTGGTTTTTTTTTAATTTGTTGAGAATTGTTTTATGGTTAATCATGCGGGAAGTTTTTTAGTAAGGGCCATGTGCAGATGAAAAAATATATATAGTCTGCTGTTGAGTGGAGCATTCTGGAAATGTCTGTTAGGTCCATTTGATCAAGTGTTGAGTTCAGGTCATGAATATCTTTGTTTTCTGCCTTGATGATCTGTTTAATACTGTCAATGAGGTGTTGAAGTCTCCCACTATTATTGTGTGGTTATCTAAGTTTTTTCGTAGGTCTCTAAGAATTTGTTTTATCAATCTGAGTGCTCAGTATTGGGTGCGTTTATATTTAGGATTGTTAAGTCTTCTTGTTGAATTGAACTCTTTATCATTATGTGATGCCTTTCTTTGTCTTCTTTTTGGTTGTTATTGGTATAAACTCTGTTTTATCTGAAATTAGAATAGCAACCTTGCTTGTTTTTGCTTTATATTTGCTTGATAGATTTTTCTTTATTCTTTTACTTTGAGCCTATGGGTGTCATTGCATGTGAGATGGGTCTCTTGAAAACTGCATGTCATTGGGTCTTGCTTTATTCAATTGCCACTCTGTGCCTTTTAAGTGTGGCCTTTAGCCCTTTTACATTTAAGGTTAATATTGATATGTGCGGATTTGATCCTGTCATCATGTTGGTAGTTGGTTGTTATGCAGACTGGATTACATAGTTGCTTTATGTCGGTGGTCTATGTACTTAAGTGTGTTTTTGTGGTTGCTGGTAATAGTCTTCTGTTCCCATGTTTAGCACACCCTTAAGGATCTCTTGTAAGGTAAGTCTGATGGTAGTGAATTCCCTTAGCATTTGTTTGTCTGAAAAGGATCTTATTCCTCCTTTGATTATAAAGCTTACTTTGGCTGGATATGAAATTCTTGATTAGAATTTCTTTTTTTTAAGAATGCTGAATATAGGCCCCCTATCTCTTCTGGCTTGTATAGTTCCTGCTGAAAGGTCTGCTGTTAGCCTGATGGGCTTCCTTTTTAAGTGACCTACCCCTTCTCTCTAGTTGTCTTTATTATTTTTTCTTTCAGGTTGACCTTGGAGAATCTAATAAATATGTGTCTTGGGGGCACTTCTTGGACATCTTGTGTAGTATCTCAAGGGGTTCTTTGCATTTCCCGAATTTGAATGTTGAGCTCTTTAGCAAAGTTGGGGAAATTTTCATGGACAGTTATCATCAAATATGTTTTCCAACTTGCTTGCTCTCTCTTCCTCTCTTTCAGGGATGCCAATGAGCCACAGAATTGGTCTCTTTACATAATCCCATATTTCTCTGAAGTTGTGTTTATGCTTTTTTGTTCATTTTTGCCTGATTGAGTTGATTCAAAGATCTGGTCTTCAAGTTCTGAGATTCTTTCCTCAGCTTGGTCTATTCTGCTGTTAACATTTCTGATTGTATTATGCAATTCTTGTAGTGAGTTTTTCAGCTCTATCAGATGGGTTTCATTCTCAGAATGGTGATTTTGTCGTTTACTTCTCGCATCATTTAAATAAATTCCTTAGATTCCTTTGTGTTTCAACTTACTCCTGAAACTTGGTAATCTTTGTTCCTATCCCAATGCTGAATTCCATGACTGTCATTTCAGCCTGATTAAGAACCACTGCTGGGTCATTTGGAGGCAAGAAGACATTCTGTTTTTTTGAGCTGTCAGAGTTCCTGTACTGGTTCTTTCTCTTCTGTGTGGGCTGATGTTCCTTTAATGTTTGAAGTTGCTGTCCTTTGGATGGGGATTTTCACTTGTATATTCTTTGATTCCCTTGGGGGTTGACTATGGTATAAAGTGAGTTAAGTGAACTGGTTTCATCTCTGGAAATTTTCAGGGGGCCAAAGCTCAGCTCAGCACTCCTGGGCTGTGTACTCTTACCCTGGAAGGTGGTACTAGGCCTCCAGCTTTGTTCTCTGGCCCCTCCAGGTTAAGCACCTGTTGCAGGAGGTGCTTGGAGGAGCCAAGGTGTTCCCAGTCCACTGGCAACAAGACTCTGATGGGGAGTGCCAGCCAAAACACTTCACCAGGGTAGTGACAGTAGGGTCCACATTGGCTGGCATTTCTAATGAAAATAAACCTTCTCCATTATTTGTGCATAGAGATAACATTTTGCTTTATGGTTTAAAAATTGATCACAAGCTCATTGCCTACATTAACATTTCTCTTGACCTTGTGACTAAGGTTTATTCACTTTGTTTAGGTATAGTGGTAGCCCAGCTGATAAAGTCTTAGCAGACTTCCCTCAGCTCACTCTGTATAGGGTCTTTGACAAGAGTGTCATTAGTATAGAACAACACATGGCACTTCTAGGAAAACAACATCATTGCTTATATAATCTTTTGTTGGCTACTTCCCCAGAAAACCTTTAAACTCTGCTATTAACTAAATCTAGCTACTGATTGAGGGAAGCAGTCTACCATGAGCCTTGCGTAGTTCTGAAGGTTCTTGCTGGGTATGTCAAGAATGCAAGTCTCCTTACTTCACACCTATTAGGATAATTAATATCAAATGAACAGAAAATAATGAATGCTGATGAAGAGGTAGAGAAACTAGGGCCTTTATGATTACTGGTGGGAATGCAAAATGATAGAGTTGCTGTGGACCAGAGTATGGTGATTTCCCAAGGAATCAAACACAGAATTACCATATGACCCAGCGATTCCTCCAAAATTAATTGCAAGCAAGGACTCAAACAGATATTTGTACATCAACATCCATATTAGCATTATTCACAGTAGCCAAAAGTAGAAACAACCCAAATATCCATTGGCAGATAAAGAGATAAAATGCGGCATAGACATAGAATAAAATATAATTCACCCTTAAAAAGAAAGGAAATTCTGCCACATGCTACAATATAGATAAATTTGAAAGACCTTACACTAAGTAAAATAAGGTAGACACAAATGGAGGTATATTTTATGATTCTACTGACATGAAGTACTCAGAGTAATCAAATTCATAGAAACAGAAAGTAAAATGGTCATTGCCTGGGGCTGGGGGGAGTAAGGAATTGATAATTAGTGTTAATGGGTACAGAGTTTCAGTTCTGCAAGATGAAAAAAATTCTGGAGATGGATAGTGGTGATGATGGCACAACAATGCAAGTGTGCTTGCCACTGAATTATACACTTAAAGTCCTTAAAATGGTAACATTTCATGTTATGTTTATTTATCACAGTAGAAAATTTGATATGTAGATGTAGACAAATAAGAATAAATACCTGTGCCAAAAGGGAAAAAAATTTAAATGTGAGGTTCTGAATGCTCTTTTTCCATACCATTTCTCTAGGTTGTATTTCTAGCAGCAACCTTGAGAGGTGAAAAAATGTTTCCCTTTGGAACGTTAAGCAGACTTGTCTACTGCTTAATGTAAAAGCAGTACATCCCCCAAGCTCAGTGTTTCTTTGCTGCAATACAAATTTATTATAGCATGTTCACCATTGACTTGGATTCCTCTGCTTTATCCTTGTGAGATTTGGGGGACAAAGTTGACTGATACAACATGACACTCATGCTAGCAATGCCGTGAGTAATGAAATGTTTGTCTCTGATCCAGGACTGTTGTGTCTTCCCCCTATTCATGAAACAGTAACAGACTAACTTATTAGCTTATAAATGGGGTAAAATCTCAGACACTACATTTCCTTGTTAATATAGGTGACTATTATTTGTGTCTACCAACTATTGAAACTTTAATCATGCACTTTTGGGACTAATGTTCCTCTACAGAACCTTGATGTAATATTAATGTGATCCAGGTATATATTTTACAGTATAGGCTATAATTTTTGGATATCTATTATAGAATCTGCCATTTTACCAATGCTTAGTTCTTCTCAAATGGTTAAACTGATAGGTCTAGTGTAAGCATACAACCCTGCTATAGCTTTAAGGCTTAGCTACCACAAGTAGAGTAGATATTCCTCTGAGACTTTTTATGAATCTAACAAGCTATGATAACAAAGGAGTTCTCTAATTTCGCTGGGTACTTCAATCAAACACTGAAAATGATTAATGACTTTGAGGGCAACACAATATTCAAAATGAATCTTGGTTATTAAAATGATAGGCTATAATTTAGTTGATATATTAAAAACCACAGAGAACTTTCTAGATGACTACTGTATAAAAGTAGAAGCCCTTATTGGTTTTTCCACCAACTGGTAAAACCAATTGCTCAAACTGATTTTATTAATCCAAAATACTTATTCAAATTTCAAGAAAATCACAAAGAAAATTTCTTGGAAATAACTTATTTGTACTTAGCATAACCAAAGATCAGTTACCAAAGTGTAAAGTTTTAAAAGTCATTTACCAAAGAAGAAACTTTTCATTTTAATTAAAGCTTTTGTTTGAGCTAAAGTTTTACTCCTAGATAAAATGTTAATGTGATCTTGTCCCAAAATGCTCATAAACTCTCATTTTCTAAATGTTACAAGAAGGTACGTGACTCTTGGCTTGAATCCTGCTCTGACAGATTCCATATCATTGAATTTGTATCCTGTCAAGTATTTACAAAATTAATATATGTGCAGAGTCATGTGCACAATTAATACAAAATGTATTTCCAAGAGGGATATGATTGGACGTATCCCTCCAAGAGAATGAGTTTATTGGAAGAAACACACTTAGCATTAGAACTATGCTACAAAAAGCCATTTTGATTAATTTTTTAATCACAAAGAATCTGTTTAAGCTCTATGAAAAACACTAGAGAAGACATGATTCTAAGGATAAAAGTGTTTAGGGTCCTATAATCTGGACATCCAGACCCATGTTAAATCTGACCTAGAGGCCTATTAAAAAGCCTCCAGAAGCAGACAACTTCCAGTAGAGATATTCCTTCAAAAGTCTATAGATCAGGAAGATGACATTAAAAGTACATTCAGTCATATGAAGCTTTCACTCAAGATATTTCAGGTAAAACTTCATGATCAGAAAAACATGCCCTCATTTTGATTCTATTTTATCACCTGGACACCCCTCTTTTTCTCACTTTCTTCATTTTGTCTTAGTTCAAGGTATTAGGCTATGCAAATTGAAATCCCAGTCATTTTTCTCATTTTCTTGACTAATTTCATTCTGATAAACCCTGTGAACTCATTGCAACTTTCCAGAATATTACTAATGCTAAAGCATCTAGACGTTATGGCTAAAATGCAGGTCCTCAAAATTAGCTGCAGTTGCTGATATTTTTTTAGAGCCTCATGAGAAAGATAATGGCATATGGAATTAATGATAAATTATGACCAATTATTTTCTCATAAAGCTACACAGAAATCATTGCATGTTTTTTCTAAACTCTGGGATTTTATTCTGAATACAAAAATTAATTAAATTCAGGTGACATTTGATAAATAATAGTGACTATGAAAAACATACTTGTGTCTCCACAAGACATACTCTTGGAATTATTATTATGAAGAAATCATGATTTTCTATAATCATATTCAAACATAAACATTGTTTTGGACATCGTGTTCTGGCCTTTCCATTTACTGAAACAAACCATTCAGTTGCTCATATTTTATTGAATCAATGTGGTAGTTTATAAAGAGGGACTCAAGACATCAGAATTTATCATATATATGTACATGTATACATATGCGTTCCATTTTGTGTGTGTATGTGTGTGCTTGTGTGTGTAGGTGTGAGTGTTTGTGTGTAGGTGTTGAGAGGTGATAGCGTGCTGGCAGTCTTCAGAGCCCTCGCTTGTTCTCGGCACCTCCCCTGCCTGGGCTCCCACTTTGGCGGCATTTGAGGAGCCCTTCAGCCCCCACTGCACTGTGGGAGCCCCTTTCTGGGCTGGCCAAGGCTGGAGCCCTCTCCTTCAGCTTGCAGGGAGGTGTGGAGGGGGAGGCACGAGCGGGAACCGGGGCTGCGTGTGGCGCTGGCGGGCCAGCTGGAGTTCTGGGTGGGCATGGGCTTGGCGGGCCCCACACTGGGAGCAGCCGGCCAGCCCTGCTGGCCCCGGGCAATGAGGGACTTAGCACCTGAGCCAGCGGCTGCGGAGGGTGTACTGGGTCCCCCAGCAGTGCCGGCCCACCGGTGCTGCGCTCAATTTCTCGCCGGGCCTTAGCTGCCTTCCCACAGGGCAGGGCTTGGGACCTGCAGCCCACCATGCCTGAGCCTCCCACCCACTCCATGGGCTCCTGTGCAGCCCGAGCCTCCCTGACGAGCACCGCCCCCTGCTCCACGGAGCCCAGTCCCATCGACCACCCTAGGGCTGAGGAGTGCAAGTGCACGGCGCGGGACTGGCAGGCAGCTCCACCTGCAGCCCCGGTGTGGGATCCACTAGGTGAAGCCAGCTGGGCTCCTGAGTCTGGTGGGGAGGTGGAGAGTCTTTATGTCTAGCTCAGGGATTGTAAATACACCAATCAGCACCCTGTGTTTAGCTCAAGGTTTGTGAGTGCACCAATCGACACTCTGTATCTAGCTGCTCTGGTGAGGACGTGGAGAGTCTTTATCTCTAGCTCAGGGATTGTAAATACACCAATCAGCACCCTGTGTTTAGCTCAAGGTTTGTGAGTGCACCAATCGACACTCTGTATCTAGCTGCTCTGGTGAGGACGTGGAGAACCTTTATGTCTAGCTCAAGGATTGTAAATACACCAATCAGCACTCTGTATCTAGCTCAAGGTTTGTAAACACACCAATCAGCACCCTGTGTTTAGCTCAAGGTTTATGAATGCACCAATTGACACTCTGTATCTAGCTGCTCTGGTGAGGACGTGCAGAGTCTTTATATCTAGCTCAGGGATTGTAAATACACCAATCAGCACCCTGTGTTTAGCTCAAGGTTTGTGAATGCACCAATCGACACTCTGTATGTATCTAGCTGCTCTGGTGGGGCCTTGGAGAACCTGTGTGTGGAAACTCTATATCTAACTAATCTGATGGGGAGGTGGAGAACCTTCGTATCTAGCTCAGGGATTGTAAACGCACCAATCAGCGCCCTGTTAAAACAGGTCACTCGGCTCTACCAATCAGCAGCATGTGGGTGGGGCCAGATAAGAGAATAAAAGCAGGCTGCCCGAGCCAGCATTGGCAACCCGCTGGGGTCCCCTTCTACAGTGTGGAAGGTTTGTTCTTTTGCCCTTTGCAATAAATCTTGCTACTGCTCATTCTTTGGGTGCACGCTGCTTTTATGAGCTGTAACACTCACCGCGAAGATTTGCAGCTTCAGTCCTGAGCCCAGTGGGACCACCAACCCACCAGGAGGAACGAACTCCGGACGCGCCACCTTAAGAGCTGTAACACTCACCGTGAAGGTCTGCAACTTCACTCCTGAGCCAGCGAGACCACGAACCCACTAGAAGGAAGAAACTCTGAACACATCTGAACATCAGAAGAGACAGACTCCAGATGCGCCACCTTAAAAGCTGTAACACTCACGGCGAGGGTCCGCGGCTTCATTCTTGAAGTCAGTGAGACCAAGAACCCACCAATTCCGGACACAGTGTCAGTGTGTGTATGTGTGTGTGTGTGTTTGTGTGTATGTGTGTATGTGTATGTTTGTGTGTGTAGGTGTTTCTACCTTATCCAAGTTGTTTCCCAACTAACATACGTGATCCATAATTTATCCTTGACTATGGACTACGCAGTAAACAAAGCACTTCAGGTTTTAGAAACTCAACAGAATAGCAGCAACGTGTTGACTAGGATAGTCCTAAATAATAGATAATTGGCAATTTAATGTCCTTCCAAGAGAAAATCTTCACCATACCTGAAATATCTGGAATCTGAATAAACATTAGGTAAGTAAAATTGATTTAATTGATCTTAGGAGTTATTTTTCTCGTTAAGCTAAACCCAAGAAAAACTTAGATGCTAAGTGAGCTCCAAATATTTCTTAAAATACTTGGGATTATTCCCAAACTTTTTATCTTTTTTAACCTTCTCATTATCTTGATTTTTTTTTTTTTTTTTTGAGACGGAGACTCACTCTGTCGCCCCAGGCTGTGCATTGGCGCCATCTCGGCTCACTGCAAGCTCCGCCTCCCGGGTTCACGCCGTTCTCCTGCCTCATCCTCCCGAGTAGCTGGGACTATAGGCGCCTGCCCCCGCGCCCAGCTAATTTTTTTTGTATTTTTAGTAGAGACGGAGTTTCACAGTGTTAGCAAGGATGGTCTGGATCTCCCGACCTCGTGATCCACCTGCCTCCGCCTCCCAAAGTGCTGGGATTACAGGCTTGAGCCACCGCACCCAGCCTATCTTGATTCTTATATCTTGCTTCACAGCCGTAACCCTGACCTGACATTCAACTCATAATACAGTGTTGAAGAAAAAAAAAAAACCTCTATAGGAAAAATCTGTTCATCTAGGAGCTGGATTTTAACCAAAGAAAACAGGGATATAAGATCTATTTTAAAGGGATATGATGCAGTCTGATTTAATTGTGTTCAGAGTGGCAATAGAAGGAGAGTGGCACGTAATGCCTGGACACAGTTTGTCCTAGCGGAACTGTCGAGCCTTTTCAGATAATCTAGAAATAACTGAAAGTTTTCTCTGTTGACTATCCCAGAGACTGACCCCTTAGTGTCCCTCTTGTCAGTCAGTATACTCAGGATAAAGAAAACTAAACTCATTTTTCAGACTTTTTTTAAATGCCTTTGCCCTTTTGTTTTATAAATCCAATTTTTATCTCTGATGATAATCTATTGATTGTTCTCCCACATATATTAAAATTGCTTGTTGATAACTAAACTGACATGGAGTTATTTTTGACAACACAAAAATGTAGAGTACAATACAGTTGCATTTAAAATCAATAAGACAAGTGTAGTCTATTATTATTTAGGGACAAATGTCTGGTTTGTTTGATAAAAGTAATATTAGACTCCTACCTCCCGCAATTTAGATATATAAATTGCAGGTAAATTTTTATAATTTTACATATATTTGTCAGAAGAAAACAGAAAAATATAATAAAGTTCAAATACAAATTATAAATCTTTATGCCATCTGTCCCGCCAATTAGAAAAAAGTCATAAAATTAAATGAGATGTTGAGTGGAGGACTGCCTCAATACTTTCTGCTTAAGATGTGTGTCTAAGACAAAATGGTAGCTAAAGATAGAGATAAAAAGGGTTACTGTGCATATAATGGACAACTTACAGCATTTAATAATAAATTTAACCTTCAGAAAACACACATCGAAGTTAATATTTATATTCACAAACTTGATGATTGAAGGTACTGTGAATTTCACACTATTTGAATATGATGGCAGAGTTAAGAGATTATAAACCAGTCTGAAATATTACTTAAATGTGACTGTCTCATCTGCATGCAAATAGCAGTTATTTTTTACATTCCTCTTTTTTATTTTTCTAAGGCCAGAAATTAAATATTTATACATGTAAGAACTTGCTTTTTTCCTTAACTCTCCAAGAGTATTCTTATCTGGTTTTATTAGAATAATACGGCCTCTGGGAGCAAAGATACCACCTAGCACTCAGCACTGGAAGTCAAGGTGGAGAATATTTCCAAGGCAACCATGACCTTCCCTTTGGTGCTATGTTACACAGTATGGAAGGTAATTCAAACAGTACATAACATCAGCATGCTGAACATCAAGAACTTGGCTTCATTGAAGGTGTCAGGCAGGCTCCTGGCCAGGAAAGCCAAGATGAAGCTCCCCAGTGCCAAAAAGGTCAAGAATCCCAGAACAGAGTGGAAGGCAAAGAATACCTCATCATTGAGAGTCCTGATGGCACTCTTTGATCCCATGCCAAATTCCAGAGAGTTACTTGGATAAGGAAACAGATGAAAATAACTGTGCTAAATACTCCCGGTCCCCAAAACCACTTTGGCTTTCTCTCTGATGCTGTAGCCTTACAGGCTATAAGCACAGTGATAGTTTTAGCTAACGCAGTTGAAACAACCACAGTAAAAATGATTCCAAATGTTGTCTGTCAGAGGTTACAAGTGACTGTGTTTGTACAGCCAGTGAAGAGCAAGGAGCAGAAGAAAACAGACAGAGAGATGTCGCTGAGAGTCTTGACTATGAGTGTGTGTATGTGCTTCACAAAGATCATAAGAACCATGGCTGTATTAGTCCATTTTCACACTGCTGATAAAGATATATCAGAGACTGGGTAATTTATAAAGGAAGAGAGCCTTAATGGACACACAGTTCCACGTGGCTGGGGAGGCCTCACAATCACGGCTGAAGGTGAAAGGTACGTCTTACCATGGCGGCCTGCAAGGGAGCACGAGAGCCAAGCGAAAGGGGAAGCCTTTTAATAAAATTATCAGATCTTGTGAGACTTAGAACAGTATGGGAGCAACTGCGCCCATGATTCAATTATCTCCCACCAGCTCCCTCTCACAACATGTGGGAATTATGGGAGCTATAATTCAAGATGAGATTAGGGTGGGGACACAGCGAAACCATATCAATGGCAGTGAGGACAGAGAAACAGAGAGCTATGCTGGCCAGTGCTGTCCCCAGTGCATCTTCAAAGTCCAGGAAGGTCACAACTCTGTGAGGCAGTGATCGCTCTCACTGAATACTGGTTGTCTGGGCATTTTGCACATTCATTGGAGTCTGATTTTAAAAAGTCAAAAGCTTATTGTCTCAAGTTCTGAAATGCTTCCTTTTTCCACAGGACTAAACAATGATAACATTAGTCATCTTAAAGCACATTGTCCACCTATTCTCCATACTTCATGAAATTATAAGATTTTACAAATTAACTCATTCCAGTTTAGCAGTATTTATCCCCCTTGTCATTTATATGAAGAAAGATTTTTTTTAATCTTTTACATAGATGTGCATGCTACTCCTATTTTTTATCTGATGATGAGACCATTACAATCTTTAAGACATTCCAAATATCTATTTGGCAGGCTAAGCCTTAAATTTGTTCATTTATACAAGAAATTTATTCGTTTACACAAGAAAGCTTTAACTGGCGAGCCAGACCCTTAGTTGAATTCTAGAAATACTGCAATGACCAAGGCATACTGCTTTTTTCAAAATTAAAAAAAAACACCCCCTCAAACTCCCATTAGATTGACCATGAGACATTAAGTTGCACTGGTCCAGAATCTGGGCATTACTCATGATTTTTTACTTCACAAAAAAACACAACTAATACATCAGCGAATCCTCTTCACTCTCCCATCAAAATACTTCCTAATTCTAATCACTTCTTGTCACTTCCACTTGGCCGTCCTGATCTAAGACAATGTAATCTCTTTAGTAGAGACGGGGTTTCACCATGTTAGCCATGATGGTCTCGATCTCCTGACTTCATGATCCACCTGCCTCGGCCTCCCAAAGTGCTGGGATTACAGGCGTGAGCCACCGTGCCCAGCCTGAAGGCCTACTTTCATGGGGAAATGATCTAAGAAAAAGAAAACAAAAAAATCTTCTTGCCAGTGAAAGGAGATAAGTTCTCAGCCTCAGTTTGGAGTCTGGGTGGCAAAAGAGAAAAATGTCTCTTCTGAGAAATTTTTATTCAAAAACTTGTCTTCATACTGGTTTGGGATTTAATTTTAAATGTATTTGTATAGTCAAGGAAAACTTTAAGTGCATAAATTAAATGTCTTCTGATTATTAACAACGCAGGTGCTTGGATGAAACACAGGCAATCCTGTAAGAGGGACTGATCCTCGAAATATTTATTACTCACCATGAAGTTATACAGACACTAAGACCAAATGAACATGTAAACCACACAATGAAGAGTCAACATAAACAACAAACAACAAAATGCAACCAGAAGGCATTTTAGACTTTATAATTTTCAGATATAGGATCAAAATATGTATAGGCTTAAACTCTTTAAGGAAACAAATAGGGTGTCAAATTGTGAGCAGGAATTGGGAGATGAACAAAATCAATCAGCAAGATTCTTAAAAAAATAAAAAATATAAATATAAACATTAGAATTATGGGATGAGCTAATATGCATGTTAATAGCCATAGCAATGCTATCAAACAAAGCCACTTCCTCCAAAAATGGGGTCTTTACTTGTTCGGTGCTGCAAAGGCAATACACAAAACTGAAGGTGAGCACCAAGCAGTGCAAGCTTTACTTGATGGCCGTGGACTTGAGAAGCAGAAGCATGGCTCACAAATCACTTCTCGACTAATGAGAGGTGAGGAGGTTAAAATAAAATACAGGGTTTCTCTAATGAAGGGATTGGACATTAAAAGCAAGGGGAAGAATATTCATGCATTTTCCAGGAATGAGCAGCAACTTCACAGAACTCCTAGTGCCACCTTCCTTTTTGAACTTTTATGATTTCTGGTCAGCGTCATGATGATTGTCAAGTGTCATGACACCAGTGGAAGTGTCTTTTTTTTTTTCTTTCCTTTTTTTCTTGGTGATGGAGTCTCACTCTGTCACCAAGGTTGGAGTGCAGTGGCACGACCTGGGCTCACTGCAACCTCCGCTTCCCGGGTTCAAGCAATTCTCCTGCCTCAGCCTCCCAAGTAGCTGGGACTACAGGCGCACGCTGCCACGCCTGGCTATATTTTTTGTATTTTTAGTAGAGATGTGGTTTCACTGTGTTACCCAGGCTGGTCTCGAACTCCTGAACTCAGGCAATCTGCCCGCCTCAGCCTTCCAAAGTGCTAGGATTTCTTTTCTATTTTAAGAGATGGGGCCTTGCTCTGTTGCCCAGGCTTGAGTGCAGTGGTGCAATCATGGCTCGCTGCAGCCTTGAACTCCCGGGCCTAAGTGATCCACCCCCTTTAGCCTTCTGAGTAGCTGAGACTATAGGTGTGTGACACCACACTTGGGTAATTTTAAATTTTTTTTTTTTTTTTTTTTTTTTTTTTTTTTTTGTGGAGACCAGGTCTTATTCTGTTGACCAGGCTGGTCTCAAATTCTTGTGCTCAAGCAATCCTCCTACATTGGCCTCCCAAAGGGCTTGGATTACAGGGATGTACAACCGTGCCTGGCCAGGAGTGCCATTTAGCATGGAAATGAGATTATAATGAAGCCTGAGGCTTTAGCTATCCTGGTTCTAACAAGTGTCAGTGGGTCTGGTTACAAAGGGAACTTCCTAGAGCAAGTGTCGTGTTTTTTAAAGATAAGCAGAGTTAGGGCAGTGTGGAAATTCAGCTATGTCATGGCAGCATGCTACCACTTAACAGTAATATCTGAAAAATTAGTAACATGGAAATTTTTTGTACATTTTAGACAGATCATATAAAAATACAAAGAAATAATATATGTGATAAATATCAAGTTACATATAAAGTAGAATAAAAATGGCTAAATTATACTGGTTACTTTTTATTTCATGAGTTGAACTCAACAGGATATAAGGATTGAGCATCTGCCTTTATATGCATATAGTCCAATTCAAACACAAACTGTGCAGTGGAATAACAAGGAGAAATTGACAAATTTGACAAATCTATCCATGATGGTAGATATCAATGTATCTCCCTCATGAATAAAGAGTTTAATTAGACATAATGTAAAGAAGAATACAAGTAATTTAAGGAACATAATGAATAAGACTGATATAATAAACATGCACAGAACTCTGAACCTCCAAGTCAGTGACTACTCATTTTTCACAAGTACACATGGACAGTTCATTAAAATTGAGCATTCACTGGCTAAAGAGCAAGACTCTTGTCTACAATACAATTAAATTAGTAATCAATCAACAAAATCAAAATCCTAATTTTTTTACATTTTAAATATATGTATAAATAACTAATGGATCAAGAAGA
Source organism: Homo sapiens (assembly GCF_000001405.40). Taxonomy (NCBI): domain Eukaryota; kingdom Metazoa; phylum Chordata; class Mammalia; order Primates; family Hominidae; genus Homo; species Homo sapiens. The sequence goes on along the minus strand of NC_000009.12, from coordinate 41,854,928 downwards.
AATAAAAAATTTAAACACAAAACCTATAACTTAGAACTTATACATCAGCTGAAGGAGAAATACAAAGTTAAAATAAACAATATGTATTAGTCCATTTTCACACCGCTATAAAGAACTAGTTGAGGCTGGGTGCGGTGGCTCACGCCTGTAATCCCAGCACTTTGGGAGGCCGAGGCGGGCAGATCACAAGGTCAGGATCCTGATCGAGACCATCATGGCTAACACGGTGAAACCTCGTCTCTACTAAAAATATAAAAAATTGGCCGGGCGTGGTGTCGGGCACCTGTAGTCCCAGCTACTCGGGAGGCTGAGGCAGGAGAATGGCGTGAACCCGGGAGGCGGAGTTTGCAGTGAGCCGAGATCACGCCACTGCACTCCAGCCTGGGTGACAGAGCGAGACGCCGTCTCAAAAGAAAAAAAAAAAAAAACTACTTGAGAGTGGATAACTTACAAAAAAAAAAAAAGAGATTTAATTAACTCACACTTCCACAGGCTTAACAGGAAGCATGACAGGGAGGCCTCAGGAAACCTACAATCATGGCAGAAGGTGAAGGGGAAGCAAGGATCTTCTTCACGTGGTGGCAGGAGAGAGAGAGAGAACAGGGAAGTGCCACACACGTTTAAACCATGAGATCTCATGAGAACTCACCCACTCTCACAGAACAGCAAGGGGGAAATCCACCCCCATGATCCAATTACCTCCCACCAGACCCCTCCTCCAATTCCACCTGAGATTTGGGCAGGGACACAAATCCAACCCATATCACAATAATAATTTAAAATAGAGTTAGTTGTTAAAAATAGAGCCACAAGATACACACCAGAGCCATGTGATCTTATACCCAAATAACAGTGTTCAAGAAATAGTAAATTTTCATCTTTTAATAAATTAGAAAAAGACTCCTCGATTTGAGAAGCTAGCATACCATTGATAACAAAACAAATCGTAGAATGGTAAAGTAAAATTAGAGAACATTTCCAGTTAGGAATATGGATATAAATACCCTGTGTACCACAAAATATTAAAGAAAGCATCCTGGTGGAGAAGGAAGGAGGGATGGATAGGTGGAGCATAAGGGACTTTGAAGGCAGCCATAATATTTTGTCTGATACTGCAATAGTGGATACATGACATTATAAATTTGTCAACACCCATAAAATTCTATAACACAGACTGAACCCTAAAGTATGGATTTCAGTTAATAATAGTGTATCAATGTTGGTTCATCAATTGTAACACATGCATCACCCTAACGCAAAGTGTTATAGAAAATACAAATTATAGAGAAACGGGGAAGAAGGGAGGTATATATACTCTTTGTACTTTCCCTTCAAATTTTTTAAAACGTGAAACTACTCTAAAAAATAATGTCTATTAAAAATTATGATCAATTTCAGTTTATCCTAGGAAAGCAAGGATAAGTTAATAGGTATACATATATACATATATATAAATTTAATAATCTATACTAACAAATCATTACAGAAAATCATACGCATTTTAGTAGACACCAAACTAACTTGTAATTCATAAAAGAATGTCTGAGTAACCTGTGGCCGGGAGTGGTGGCTCACGCCTGTAATCCCAGCACTTTGGGAGGCTGAGGTGGGCGGATCACGAGGTCAGGAGATCGAGACCATCCTGGCTAACACGGTGAAACCCCGTCTCTACTAAAAATACAAAAAAAATTAGCAGGGCATGGTGGTGGGCACCTGTAACCCCAGCTACTCGGGAGGGTGAGGCAGGAGAATGGCATGAACCTGGGAAGCAGAGCTTGCAGTGAGCTGAGATGGCATCACTGGACTCCAGCCTGGGCGACAGAGCGAGACTCCGTTCCGTCTCAAAAAAAAAAAAGAATGTCTGAGTAACCTAACAGTACAAGTAAAGTTATTACCAGAAATATACAGAAAGCATCAAGGTGAAATATAAGAATTATTCCATTTGAAAGGGGTATGATATGCACAAAGATGAAAATTGAGCTCCTATAAAATAACATAAGGATTTGAAATAAAGACACAAAACTTACTGTTTAGAGTTAGTATCATTGACTATAAAAACCAAGACAATCTTAATTATAACAATGAGGAAGATAATAGAAATTCAGAATATCAAAAATATTTTTATGTAGAAATAAAAACAAAACATTTAATTTTAGAAATATATTATTTAATGCATTTTTGTTACATGTGTAGTGATAAAATAATAAAATAAATTTAGAAAGAAATATATTATTTAATAAGATATAAAAATCTGAGGACCAATACAGTATTGTGGTTAAAACCATGGATTTTGACAGGAACTCCTTTGGTTAAAATTGTGACTCATCACTAAGAGTATAATGGTGAATAAGTTACTTAACGTTCCTTTGCACCCCTTTTCTTATCTAAAACAAATATGAAAGGGATCTGACTCATAGCAGTGTTCTGAGTAATATAACAGACATACATAAAACCACTAAAACAATGCTTGGCACATAGTTAATGATTATTCAGTACCATTATTACCATCATTGTCATTTTATTATGCAATTTAATGTTTGTTCTTTGGTAAGCAATGAATAAGAAATATTAAAAGGTAGAAGCGTGTATAGGTGGGATACGTATCAACATACATATGTATAGGCGTGTGTACATATCAACTACGTAGAGGGTTCAAATCAGGTGAAATTACCTGCATGAATCAACTCTATTCTGGTATCCATATTCAGTAAAAAGCTATCTTTGAAATTGTGACTAACCTCTGAAAACAACAATGGCCCATTTGATCCTTTCCTCGTGTATAGTAAAATCTTGACCACGTGGAAAACACATTCTCCTAGCTTCCCTTGATGTTGGAGACCATCAAGCAAATTACAATAATTCAGAATATCATACTATGCAACAGAGTTCCTATTCTAATCTGGGTACCTGATCATCAGCACTGGTCATAAATTCCGTGGTCCTTAAGAGAGTAAAGCTAAAAGGGATGCATCAGGGAGTAATAAAAAAAATGCATTATGCTATGAAACGTTAACTGAAGCATTGTTCCTCCCTGATCCTTGAAGACTAAAAGCTCAAATTCAACTTTATACTTTGATGAAAATAAAGACAATTGTGGTTTCGATTTTTATTATTATTATTTTTTTTTGAGATGGAGTCTCATTCTGTTGCCCAGGCTGGAGTATAGTGGCGCGATCTTGGCTTACTGCAACCTCTGCCTCCTGGGTTCAAGCGATTCTCCTGTCTCAGCCTCCCATGTAGCTGGGACTATAGGCACCCGCCACCACACCCAGCTAATTTTTGTATTTTTAGTAGAGACAGGGTTTCACCATATTGGTCAGGCTGGTCTCAAACTCCTGACCTCAGGTGATCAGCCCCCCCTCAGCCTACCAAAGTGTTGGGATTACAGGAGTGAGCCACTGTACCTGGCCACTTTCAAATTTTTGATGATCCATTTACAGGCAGTGTGTAAGAATTTTACCGAGTGTCTCTGAATATGAGTTTTTCTCATACATAAAATAGAAATAGCAATTCATATCTCTTAATGTTATTTTGAATTAAAAGAAAAAATATAATCACCATTTATGCTGAACACAAAGTAAGGGCTCAAAACTAATTTCTTTTCCCCAGTCATTTCTAGACAGTTAATATCATAGATCAAAAAATTTAAATCAGATTGAAAATGAGTATTGGAAATACGGGACAAACATTTAATCTTAGAACAAATATGACAAAGTTTCTTCTAGCCAGAGATATCTATGTGACGATCATCTATACACACACATACACACACACACACACACATATCAAAACTGAAAACTCTCCGGACTATATATGGTTTCTCATTGTAAAAGCAAGTAGACATATTCATTTTCAGAATTTATATTCAGAATGTAAAATTTCAATGTGTTTTGCCTGCGTTATTATGCAGGTTTTGAGAAAATCTCATTTATGACTATATGTTTCAAGAATCGATGGGCTCCAGGGCCGACAATGCCCTAGCGGAAATCATTACCTGCCAGGGATGAAACAGCACTGCATCTACATTTTCCTCATATCCCACTGTATTTCTAAAAGCAGCACTTAGCATAGGGCATTGGCTGCACACGCAGCATCATAGATGGTCTTAATGAAATCAGATGCAATCCAGTCAAAGCAACGCAAAGGCACAGGACCCAAGAAAGCATTTCGTGGGCAACCTCCTAGGGTTTCACAGCCAGAATCAGAAAGGAAGCAATCCAAGGAAAAAAGCCACGGTTTATTATGGAAAATGTGTTCTGGGTGTGCGGAAGGGCTGTCTGAACAAAATGCTGGAAGCCAGGCATCTCACTGTTCTGCTTTGAAAAAGTGAGAGTCCCATGGAATGGATTAAGTATGAAACTTCCCCCATGTGTGATAAAGTCCCACTGGGAGGTGGTAACACACGCTTTCCACGTTTTCAAAGTATTCCATCCCAGAACGTCAGGAGGATTAGGGGGTCTGTGTCACCACAGACAGCAGTCACATTTGTTGATGGATCTTCAGTCTTGGCCAATGTTATCCTGCCTGCTGATGGCAGAACACCCTCCAAGACAGTTTCTTTGTAAAGCCTGAATAGATGCCTTCCCTGGCCACTTCTCTCAGTTCCTAGAAAAAATGCCCACTTTTTTTTTTTCTTTTTTTTTTGAGACGGAGTCTAGCTGTGTCGCCCAGGCTGGAGTGCAGAGGTGCAATCTCGGCTCACAGCAACCTCTGCCTCCCGGGTTAAAGCGATTCTCCCGCCTCAGCCTCCTGAGTAGCTGGGATTACAGGCATGCACTGCCATACCCAGCTAATTTTTCTATTTTTAGTAGAGACGGGGTTTCTCCATGTTGGTCAGGCTGGTCTCCAACTCCCGACTTCAGGTGATCCACCAGCCTTGGCCCTCCAAAGAGCTGGGATTACAGGCGTGAGCCACCGTGCCTGGCCGAAAATGCCCACCTTTTATGTCATCCGAGACAAGCAGCCCTACCAGATCTAGCTAAAATGCTGCAACAGCTTCACCATGCCAAGAGGCAAAGATGATTCCTTGGGACCATCTGATACAGAGATGGAAACTGTCCTTCATCATTAGGCAAAGGATCAAATGGACATAACTAATCTTAGAGGAAAAGGAAAAACAATATCCATTTATATTCAGAAGTGATTTGAGGGAGAAGGGCACAATCAAACACAATACATCAGGCACTTCACTTTCTACTCCTAGAAGAAATTCAAAGCTAGCAAGTAAATTACTAGAGAAATTGATGAACGTGTGTAAAGGCAAAATGCTCAGAGTTTTTCTTAACAAGAGTTAAAATTGTACTCAACTCATTCATGAGAAAACCATCCTGAAGACAAAAGTCCTGATTTGTAGACCATTTGAAGAGCAAGGTTTCATATAGCCATTGGCAAACAGGTAAGCTGTAATAAAATTTCTAAGAAACATACAAAATTGGTTAATATTATCCAGGGTAATAAAATTGTAAACAAAGTTTCTTCTCTGCCAGCCTCCCTTCCCCTCCCCAAAATCTCAGTTTACCAAATCTCCCTATAAGCTAATCTGTGGGTTTACAGGGCTATAAAAATTCCAATTTTGACTATTAGTCAAGGATACGATTCTGGAGAGAGTCAGAGGATGGTCAAAAATTCTTCGCAAAGCCGGGTGCAGTGGCTCACGCCTGTGATCCCAGCACTTCAGGAGGCTGAGGTGGGCGGACTACCCGAGGTTGGGAGTTCGAGACCAGCCTGACCAACATGAAGAAACCCCGTCTCTACTAAAAATACAAAAATTAGCCAGGCGTGGTGGCGCACGCCTGTAATCCCAGATACTCAGGAGGCTAGGGAAGGAGAATCACTTGAACCCGGGAGGCAGAGGTTGCTGTGAGCCGAGATTGCACCATCGCACTCCAGCCTGGGCAACAAGAGCGAAACTCTGTCTCAAAAAAAAAAAAAAATTATTTGGAGATATAGCAGTTAGATAATAACAGCATGATAGTAAAGAATAAAGCAATTATTATTTCACCATTTTGAAGCTGAAGATACTACATTCTCTTTTGGAAAGGGGAAGATTTACTTGTTGATTTTTTTTTAATGTATCATCTTCCCTCTGGGAAAAATTAATCTGGAAAGTAAGTGTTCAGATATAGAGTTCCCAGAGCTGGCCTGGCTGTGCCAGCCAGGGATGCCTCACTGCTGCCCATCTCATTCTGCCTCCTTCTTACCCTAAATAAACACTGGCAGTGCAAGGACTTTCTGTCACCTTTGGGGGCATCAAAGACTGTTCTGAGCCACCTTTTGTTGACATGCCTTGTAATAACAGCAAAGGACATTCAATGTCATCTCTGACCCACCCCATCCTGTCTCACCTGTGGTAGTTTGTAGATTTCCATCAACATCTCCAACTGAAAAACAAATGCTGATATAGTTCCTTCAATCGCTGCTATGGATTTGCTCTGCCTCTCACATGTATAATTGGGAAGGTTCTCGGCCCCTCCTGACAGCCAAAACAGAGGGCCCTCCAAAGTCCTCTGATTAATGTGGTAGGTATTGTAGACGTGATACCCCAAAGACATGTAGAGTAAGAGCAGCGGGCCCCTGTTGATGTCCTCGATGGCAAAAACGAACACGAAAAGAGTCAAAATGCATGTTTAGAGGACAAACTCTCACACCTCCCACTCAAGGCCTCACAAAAGCCATCTCTACCCTGACCTGAGCATGTGAAAATGAGGTACACGAGACTCAGAGCCGTGAATTAGCTGAGTACCAGAGGATAAATCAGTATGCAAAGAGAGTACAATTTAAGACGCTGCAATTTAATGGTGAGTTGGGTTTCCAAAGGAGTCAGTAAGTGGCAGGACTTCAAGGGCGTTTATTCACTTTGTTTACCAAGAAACTAACGAGTGGCTGAAATTGAAACTAAAGTAGACAGTGGGCGTGGGATAAGAAAAGATATTGAGGATAAAAGATCAGGGTCCATATAAGAGGCCAGGCTGGACAAGGAATCAGAGAGGGCAGGTAAGAAAGGAGAATGTATTTTGGAGGAAATGGCCTCACACATTGGCTGGGTTGCGGATGCTTAAACATCATTTGGTTGTGCCTCTTGGGTGAGAAAAAATAAATCCAGGCTTTAGAGCCCTTAGAAAAGAGTGGGGGAAGCATGGCATTGTAATGATTCTGGGAGAAGCATAAAGAGGCCAACAATGACTAATCACAAGCAAAGAAAATTCTAAAAGCATTGTGGCCTTTAAAAAAAAATTTATATCATCCAAATACCTCAAGCAATGCTGGCAAGAGCTAAATTCAATTTTCCTTCACTCTTTTTCTGACTTACAAGCAGCCTCATTTCATGTTGAAATGCCTCCCTTCCCCAAAGTTGCAGGATAAGCACAATCCCAACAAATGACCCAATAGAACAAGGACTGCCTTCAGCTATGTTGTTCTTTCTAATTTTCAGTGGAAAAAGCAAATTCTTAAAGGTCTTCAAGAGGTAGAAGGGCTGTAGGAGGCATTCGGGTATTATAATAATTGCAGATTCTATGGTAGCCTATGTATAATATTGTGTGTGATATTCTCAAGCCCACTGCTAAGTACGCATAAATATCCACACTTCATATGTGGTAATATTTCCTGAAATAGGATAAATGCAAGATAAATTCTAAGCACAAATTTAAATGCACTTCTGACTTTAAAACTTGTTATCTCTTATATATCCTTTGACCTCCTTAGAAATGACATTTAACTCCCTAAAAAAATACTAGAGCTTGTTAGTCAGGCAAACTACATTTACTAGACTTACTAGTACTCTCATTGAAGAAACAGTGAGTGTATTAGTCCATTCTCACATTGCTATCCAGACACACCTAAGTCTGGGTAATTTATTATTTTTTTATTTATCTGAGGCAGAGTCTTGCTCTGTCACCCAAGCTGGAGTGCAGTGGCACGATCTCGGCTCACTGCAAGTTCCGCCTCCCAGGTTCAAGCGATTCTTCTGCCTCAGCCTTCCAAGTAGCTGGGATTACAGGTGTGCACCACCACGCCTGGCTAATTCCATGCCTGGCTCTCTTACTGTAAATGAGAATAAGAAAGAATATAGTCTGCTCAAAGTCTCAGTATAATAGCATGTCTCAAAATAGAATATTGGGCAGAGTGTTCATAGGGTTTCAGACACTCAGCGGAATGTTAAAATCACCCAGGGTCTAGGCTGGGTGCGATGGCTCATGCCTGTAATCCCAGCACTTTGGGAGGCCGAGGCGGGCGGATCACAAGGTCAGGAGATCAAGACCATCCTGGCTAACACCGTGAAACCCCATCTCTACTAAAAATAAAAAAAATTAGCCGGATGTGGTGGTGGGCGCCTGTAGTCTCAGCTACTCGGGAGGCTGAGGCAGGAGAATGGCGTGAACCCGGGAGGCGGAGCTTGCAATGAGCCAAGATCACACCATTGCACTCCAGCCTGGGCGACACAGCGACGCTGTCTCAAAAAAAAAAAAAAATTCACCCAGGGTCTTACAAGGAGCAGAACAAGTTGGGACTAATCAGAGTTTCTGATATAACAGCTGTGGACTGCAGGAGCTAGCTAAGTCTTAAAGCAAACCTTAATAAATCAGCTCTTAGTCCAATAAGTAAGTTGTTGAATTGGTTCAGCCTTTTTTTTTTCCAGGAGCAGTTATTCCCTGCAACAAGCAGTTTTTTTTTTTGACTTGTTCTCGGTGTTGTTCATCAAAAATAGGACAGTGTGCTTAATCTCAAGACTGTTTAGCACAGAGAGGGAGAGAGTATGTTGGCCTCAAAAACTGTTGAACATTATGACAGGAAACTATGCAGGTTTGTAGCATTATTGAACACAAGAACAATACATTATTTCCATATTTTTGGATTGACAATTGTTAAGGTCAGAAATGTTTGTTTACCCGTGGAATAGATCATTAGGATAGTGGCAAATGTTCATAGGCCATAGGACATGACAGACATTAGCCTAAACCTAAAAGAAACTAAACAAACTAAACTCTAACCAGTGAAAGATTTCCATTTAAAAACAAAGAAACTATTTTCATTTTAGTTCTCAAAAAATACTTAGAAAAGTAGAAATTACTGGAGTTTAGATGACAATATATTGAAGCTCAAAACAAAAATAAAATTTAACTCCTAACATGCATACACACGCATGCACATAAAAAACTCACGTGTGGCCGGGCACGGTGACTCACGCCTGTAATTCCAGCACTTTGGGAAGCCAAGGTGGGCGGATCATGAGGTCAAGAGATCGAGACCATCCTCGTCAACATGGTGAAACCATGTCTCTACTAAAAGTACAAAAATTAGCTGGGCGTGGTGGCGCATGCCTATAGTCCCAGCTACTCAGAAGGCTGAGGCTTGAGAATCATTTGAACCTGGGAGGTGGAGGTTGCAGTGAGCTGAGATTGCACCACTGAACTCCAGCCTGGCGACAGAGCCAGACTCTGTAAAAACAAAAACAAAAACAAAAAACACCTCATGTGCACATGCAAATGCACACAAGTATAGATGGAGGCATCTATCAGTAAATACACGTATTACTCAGACCTGGTGGGTTATCTCCATGGCCTGTCCAAAATCCTTGGGGATTATAATCCTATCCACCAAATTCTTCCTCTGTGTTGATTTAGATTTTCTAAAAAGAGAATGATACTTAAATTGATAACTATAATTTGGACAGATTAACATAGCAAAGTAAAATATTTTGAAAAATAATTGCTTAACCATAATCATTTTTTTAGTAATTTTATTTTGAAATTCTTGTGGACTCCTAAGTTTTCTCCATTGTCATCTTCTACATGACTGTAAACAAGGTGGAGGTGTTTGAGACATGGTAGGCCTTTCATTTTGTTTTTATTTTTGCTTTTTAGCAATTATGGTGATAAACTGCCTTGAATCCTTGGGCTGAAAAGCAAAATGTTTTGAGATGCTTAGAGTTTTAAGGAATTAGATCTGAATTTGAAGAAGGCATTATACCAATGCTCACTGATATGGTTTGAATCTGTGCCTCTGCCCAAATCTCATGTCAAATTGTAATCCCCAGTACTGGAGGTGGGGCCTGGTGGGAGGTGACTGGATCATAGGGGCGGTTTCTCATGAATGGTTTAGAACCATCCCCTTGGTAATCTTCTAGTGATAGTGAGTTCTAAGGAGATCTGATTGTTGAAAAGTGTGTGGCACCTCCCTCCACATTGGTCCTGCTCCTGCCATGAGAGACATCTGGCTACTGCTTTGCCTTCTGCCATGATTGTAAATTTCCTGAAGCCTCTGCAGAAACTGAGCAGATGCCAGCATCATGCTTCCTGTACAGTCTGTGGAACCATGAGCCAATCAAACCTCTTTTCTTTACAAATTACCCAGTCTCAGCAGGGTGCACTGGCTCACAGCTGTAATTCCAACATTTTGGGAGGCAGTGGCATTCCTCACTTGAGGTCAGGAGTCCAAGACCAGCCTGGCCAACATGGTGAAACCCCACCTCTACTAAAAATACAAGAATTAGCCTGGCATGAAGGTGCCACCTGTAATCCCAGGTGTGCACCTGTAATCCCAGCTACTCAGGAGGCTGAGGCAGAAGAATTGCTTGAACCTGGGAGGCAGAGGTTGCAGTGAGCCAAGATCATGCCACTGCACTCCAGCCTGGGCAACAGAGCAAGTCTCAAATAAATAAATAAATAAATAAATAAATTTATAAAATAAATTACCCAGTCTCAGGTATTTCTTGATAGCAATGAGAGAATGAACTAATATACTCACTCACTATTTCTTCAATGAGAGTACTAATCTTTGTGCTGGTAAAGAAAATAAAATATTTTCAAGCCAAAAGCATGAGATTTGGGAGAAATATAAATTTATACCAGAAATATATAGTAAATTTTTCTTACAAATTGATATTTAATAAAATTTGCATAGATTTTTATCTCCTATGTGTCAAATTTCATAAAGTATATATATATATATATATATATATATATATATATATATATATATATTTTTTTTTTTTTTTTTTTTTTTTTTTTTTTTTGAGACAGAGTCTCGCTCTGTCGTCCAGGCTGGAGTGCAGTGGCGCGATCTCGGCTCACTGTGCGCTCTGCTTCCCGGGTTCACGCCATTCTCCTGCCTCAGCCTCCAGAGTAGCTGGGATTACAGGTACCCGCCACCACACCCAGCTAATTTTTCTATTTTTGGTAGAGACGGGGTTTCACCATGTTAGCCAAGATGGTCTCGATCTCCTGACCTCGTGATCCGCCTGCCTCGGCCTCCCAAAGTGCTGGGATTACAGGCAGGAGCCACCGTGCCAGGCCCATAAAGCATATTTTAAAAATAAGTGATTTTAATTAAAATAAGAAACTTGAATTCAGACCAGTATTTAAATCCAATCCCAGAAATGAACATTAGCTACCGAGAGGCAAAAATATTTAAGGAATCAAATGGGCCTAGAAATATTTAGTGTTTTGCCTTGGATAACTGCATTATTTGCAATGAACCTTCAAAAATCATGTAGTAGGTAATCCTGGTTAACCTAAATTAAATTGTACCCAGATTGATAGCACCTGCCCATTTTCTAGATAATGGCAGCCATCCACTGAGGAGAGGAACTGCCTACCATGACTGGGAAGAGTGAATGAGAACTTTATTGTAAAAACTCAAAGTACCCAGTGAAGTTTGAGATAATATTTGAGTCATTCATTCATTCATTCATTCTTTTAACACATATCCAGCGTCTTGTATGCGCCCAGGCACACAATATTCTAGCAAGAAGTTTTATAAAAGTGAGTAAGATAGATTAAAAATTCCTGCTCTAGTTTTATTTGCAATGCATTTAGGGGAAACATTTTTTTAAAGTAAGGCACAGGTGAAAAATTCTGGGGAGATGGGCTGGGCACGGTGGCTCACGCCTGTAATCCCAGCACTTTGGGAGGCTGAGGAGGGCGGATCACAAGGTCAGGAGATCGAGACCATCCTGGCTAACATGGTGAAACCCTGTCTCTATTAAAAATATAAAAGAAGTTAGCCGGGCTTTGTGGCGGGCGCCTGTAGTCCCAGCTACTTGGGAGGCTGAGGCAGGAGTGAGTCGAGATCGCGTCACTGCACTCCAGCCTGGGCGACAGTGTGAGACTTTGTCTCAAAAAAAAAAAAAAAAAAGAGTGATGTGATTGGATCAGTTAGTGTGAGTGGAGGATGTAGAGACAGGAGGGTGAGAGGGGAACCTGTAGGAAGAGGATTCCTCTCACTCCCATCTGTGGCCAGAGCATCCCTGCCCCCACTCTGAGCGCACTCCCCCGCCTCTGCTTTGCTTCAGTCACTTGCATGGTTAGAAACCGCATTTTACGCCGACCGCGGTGACTCACGTCTGTAATCCCAGCACTTTGGGAGGCCGAGGTGGGCGGATCACGAGGTCAGGAGATCGAGACCATCCTGGCTAACACGGTGAAACCCCGTCTCTACTAAAATACAAAAAATTAGCCGGGCTTCCTGGCAGGCGCCTGTATTCCCAGCTACTCGGGAGGCTGAGGCAGGAGAATGGCGTGAACCCGGGAGGCGGAGTTTGCAGTGAGCTGAGATCACGCCACTGCACTCCAGCCTGGGCGACAGAGCGAGACTCCGTCTCAAAAAAAAAAAAAAAAAAAACCCCATTTTACCTTAGGCTCACGGGGCACAGACTAGGTCAAATGAGCATTCCATTTTCGTTTTTAAATGTCTAATGTTCTTTCATACAGCACCCTTGGTAAATATTTTATAAAGAGGATTAGAATATGTATTGTTACTAAACAGACAATATGTAGTGGAGGAACACTCTTTCTCAATATTAGCTAATAAATATGTATTTTTAATAAGCTGATTAAGGCTTTGTTAGTTTCTCAATGATAACATCGGGCCCATGGTTCTCAATCAGGGTATGATTTTGCCCCTCAGAGGACATTTTGCAATATCTGGAGGCATTTTCAGTTATTATAAGTGGGGCTGGGTGGATGCTGCTGGCATCTCATGGAGAGAGACCAGAGATGCTGTTAAACATCCTATAATGCACAGGACAGGCCCCCACAACACAGAATTATCCAGCCTAAAATGTCACTAGTGCTGAGGGTGAGAAACTCTGACACATCGATTCAGTGATGTTCTGGCAACAGCCAATAAAGTCAGCAATTAAAAATTTGTATTGTAGGGCCAGGCGCGGTGGCTCACGCCTCTAATCCCAGCACTTTGAGAGGCCAAGGTGGGCAGATCACGAGGTCAAGAGATGGAGACCATCCTGGCCAACATGGTGAAACCTGTCTCTACTAAAAATACAAAAATTAGCTGGGCATGGTGGCATGCGCCTGTAGTCATACTCGGGAGGCTGAGGCAGGAGAATATCTTGAACCCAGGCAGTGGAGGTTGTGGTGAGCCGAGATTGCACCACTGCACCCTAGCCTGGTGGCAGAGCGATACTCTGCCTCAAAAAAAAAAAAAATTCATTGTATGAATATTCAAAATTATACATGATTGTAATTATAATTGAGTCATGAAGGCTGAAAATAAAGATAAATGAATCAAGCTTCATTTAAGTAGCAAAATGAAAGCCTCCCCATCCTCCATTATCGAACCAAGAGGAAGCATTTTACATTCCAATATTTTCAATAAGAGTGTTTTATTTTTGGTCGTTCATGAATAGCAAATAATTGATCTTACAGTCGGCATTAAATAAAGAAAGTTGGTCAGAAAAGCAACCCACTTAATCACCCTCGAACACAAATTTTGCAAATTGTCCAAGTCATTCAGGTAAAATATTTATTTTAATAAAATCTCTATTATTTTCACTGGAACAAGACAAGCCTTTCTTTTTCTGGAAGCATCTACCCCTCTTTCAGATTATACATATTTTAAAATAAATGAAACAACGTGGTTGCTATCTCAGTAGCTTTGGATCATGTGCCTGGCACTCTGCATGCAGCAGTAACCTGTGTGGTTTCCTTGGGTAAAACTGAAAGCATATTTAATTTTTTAAAAGTTTCTTCTCTAATTTAAATCAAAATCTGCTTTTTCTATCAAACTTGTACATTTTACTGTACCATTTTTTTCTCAGCAAAGAATAGCTTTGATTCATGAATTTATCAGATTTATTGGAGATTTGGAGGGACTTGATGGTCACAGTTTAGAAACAAGTCATAAAGCCCTTAGCGATCCCTAACTTAATATTCTATGCTGATGATTGCAGAATGTGTAATAATCAAAACGGTAAATAAACTTTAAGTTTTAAGCCTCTTGGGTTTGGGGTTTGTTTGTTGGTATTGACAAAGATTGCTTGGTGAAACCTTAGTGAGTCAGCATCCTGAACCTTCTCCTAGGCCCATCTATGTATGTCTTTGTAAAATCCAGTTTGAGCAAAAATCCCCGCTAAGTCAATTTAGCAAGCACCCCCATGCTGGATATCTGATCATCCTCCATATGAAATCAGGGTCTGCATCTTCCACTGTCCCCCAGGTGAGGTCTGATCACCCCCATCTGGCTTCGGCAGATTTAACCAGAATCCCCCTCACCCCTAATATTTCCTTCCTCTTAGTAACTTTTTATCCACTGACTCCCACACTGCTCCATAGCTACAAATTCCCACCTGCCCATGCTGTATTCAGGGTTAAGCTCAGTCTGTCTCCTCTCCTGCAATATTCTATTGCCTTGATGAATTTGTTAATTAAACATGACTTATTCATTTCACAATGTAAACATATATCAGAACATCACATTGTATCCCACACATATATGCAACTGTTATTTATACATTAAAAATAAGATTTTAAGAAGTCTAAAAACTAAAACACACACACAAAAATTTAGGAAACAGCACACACACACACAATGGTAACTATATGAAATGATGGTTATGTTAATTATGTTGACTATGGTAATTATTTTACCATGTGTACATATACCAAATCACTATGTACCTTGAGTATATGTAAATTCGTATTTGTCTGTTACACTTCAATAAAGCTGGAAAAAAAATAGCAAACTGAATCCAACACTGTGTGAAAAGAATTATACACCATGACTAAGGGAGATTTATTCTGAGTATACAAGTGATAGGGACAGGATGCAGGGAAATTCTGGGCAGAAGAGGGTGGGGCCCTCATGGGGGACCCCCATGAGGGCCCCACCCTCAAGCCAAAAAGCCTCTGGACCACGGCCCAAAGTGAAAACTTACATCCCTGTTTTCCCCCTCGAATGTTGCCTTTTCCTAAACCACCCATGGCTCCACCTCCCATCCTGTGCCTATAAAAACCCCAGAGCTCAGCCGGCAGAAAGAGGAGATGCAGCTGGACATTGGAGACTACGGCTAGACATCGGAGAGAAGCAGCTTGACTTCAGAGGGACATTAGAGAGAAGCAGCTTGATGGTGTAGCTTTGGAGAAGAGTCGGCTGGGGACAGCCAGACTCCAGGGGAAGATTACCTTCCTGCTCTGACCCCTTTTCAGCTCCCCTTCCTATTGAGAGCCACTTTCAATGGCAATAAAATCCCCCACATTTACCATCTTCAATTTCTCTGTGCAACCTCATTCCTCCTGGATGTCAGACAAGAACTCAGGTGCCCTGAGTGTGGGTGCAAAAGGGTGTCACACTGACCCTGCACTGAGCTGTTAACACTTTAGCCCTCCATGAATGGCAAAGCTAAAAGGGCACTGTAACACTTTCTCTGGGGGTTCAGGGGTCACGGGGACCCTCCCCTAGATGCTGCCACAGAGTCAGTACAGAGTTTACTCTTGCTGGTGCCCAAAAGCACTTGCCCCAGCTCCTACACCTACACCTGCACTCCCCCTCCGGCGAGGGGTGGAGCAGCAAGTGAATGGAGTTCGCCCCTGCAGGCACTCATGCACTCCAGTTCCTACCCATGAAAGGGTCAGGGAAATATACTGCTTTACAAGTTTGACTCAACATTTGAAAATCATTTAATGCAACCCATCATATCAACAGCCTGAAGAAAATGAACCATATGTTCATTAAAAAAAGGAAACAGAAGATCTGAATAGATATCTCACCAAAGATGTTATACATGTGGCAAATAAACATTTATAAGTTGCTCAACATCAAATGTCATTAGTTAATTACAAATTAAAACAGTATTGAGAAGCTATACACCTATTAGAATGGGTATAATAAAAAAAACCTGACAATACCAATTTCTGACAAGGATATGGAGCACCAGAAGCTGTCATTCATTCCTGGTGGGAATGCAAAATGATGCAACCACTTTGGAACACAGTTTGAGTCTTGCCAAATGATTCAACGATTTCACTCCTAGGTATTTACCTAAATGGGTTGAAAATACATGTCCACACAAAAGCTGCATATAAATGCTTATTGCAGCTTGATTCATAATTGCCAAAAATTGGAAGGAACCAATCATCATTCAAATTGTGTAAGGGTAAACAAATTTGGTATGTACACACTGAAATATTAGTCAGCAATAAAAAAGTTAATCATCAAGCCATGAAAATACATGGCAAAACCTTAAATGCACACTGCTCAGTGAAAGAAGCCAGTCTGAAAAGATGATATACTGTATGATTTTAATGATAAGGGATTCTGGAAAAGGCCAAATTCTAGAAACATTAAAAAATCAGTCATTGTCAAGTTGTAGGTGCAGAGGAGGAAAGGTATTGATTTAAAATTGTAATATAAAATTTATACAAATAACTAGTGTGGACTATTGCATCCTACCCTAGTTACCACCACTGTTAACATTATTCAGCTGCTCTTTTTCCCTGTCCAGGTCCCATGCCCATATCTACTGTGACAGTCACAGTAGAACCTCTTGAGGTAGGCCAGCTTCAGCATGACCTGTTTCTCTAGGATGTCGGCATGCAGCTCTGTCTATTACAATGGTGTAATACCTACATGGCAGGCATTTGGCATGAGGAAAGTGTCCCAACTTAAACAAAAGTGTCTGGCAGGCTTATGTCAGAGCAGAAAATCCCCTTTTCAAATCAGAGAATTTCCCAATTTAAAGTTATTTCATCATAGCCTGTCGAGGCCAGATGACATCATAGGTCTCCTCATTCAATCGCTTCATGCTGTGGATGAAGGGACTGAGTCTACAGAAGAGTTGGGTTATCTTCCCTTGCTTTTCATATGATGGAATCTTTAGTCATGCCTGAGTCCAGTGAGTGACTTTTGGGTTCTGAAAGGCTGAACTTCTACCCACAGGATGCTTGGCCTAATAAACAGAAGATTCAGGAGATTGACAACCACATTATGTTTTTTCTTAGCTTCATTCAGCACTGCTTTTTAGTCCATGCTTCAGTTTTCTCAGATCATTCTTAGCCTCAAACACTGGAGGTTAAGTATCTCCAAAAGGCACTCCTGGTTCAATTCCTAATTCCCCTACAGAATTCACTCCCCATTCAATAAATCTTCACCCAGTGTCCAACTGTGTGCCAGACACTATGCTGGGTACTTTGATGGAGCAGTGAAGAAACAGACATGGGGCTATTATATCTGCTATCTGGCCAGGCACGATGGCTCACACCTACAGTCCCTAGCACTTTGGGAGGCCAAGGTGGGCAGATCACTTCAGGTCAGGAGTTCAAGACCAGCCTGGCCAACATGATGAAACCCTGTCTCTACTAAAAATACAAAAAATTGGCCGGATGTGGTAGCAGGCGCCTGTAATCCCAGCTATTTGGGAGGCTGAGACATGAGAACCTCTTGAACCCGGGAGGCAGAAGTTGCAGTGAGCCAAGATTGTGCCATTGCACTCCAGCCTGGGTGACAAAAGCAAGAGTCCATCTCAAAAAAAAAAAAAAGTTATTTATCCAGTGAAGGAGAGACAATAACAAGGAAACAACCTGGTAAACAAGCAAGTGTAAATGATTTTCAGTGCTGTAAGGAAATGGTTGTAGTGAGACTATGGACAGGGTGTTGGCATCTTCCTAGAGTCAGGCAGCTTGTGTCCAAGAAAGCAGAGCCGGGGGCATGTAAACAAAATTGTGTTTATTTAAGGTATACAGGCCTGGCGCAGTGGCTCATGCCTGTAATCCCAGCACTTTGGGGGGCCAAGGCTGGCGAATCACCCCAGGTCAGGAGTTCGAGACCAGCCTGGCCAGCATGGTGAAACCCCATCTCTACTAAAAATACAAAAATTAGCTGGTCGTGGTGGTGGGTGTCTGTAATCCCAGCTACTCAGGAGGCTGAGGCAGAATTGCTTGAACCCAGGAGGGGGAGGTTGCAGTGAGCCGAGATCTCACCACTGCACTCCAGCCTGGGCAACAAAAGTGAGACTCTGTTTCAAAACAAAACAAACATCAAAAAAGGTATACAATCTGATGTTTTGATACACATATACATTGTGAAATGATACCACTACCAAGCTAATGAACATATGCATCACCTCAAATAGTCACCATTTGTGTGTGTGGTGTGCGTGTGTGTGTGTGTGTGGTGAGAACATCTGAGAGCTGCTTTCAGCAGATTCCAAGTATATAATACAGTATTAACTATAGTCACCATGCTGTAAATAAAATCTCCAGAAATTATTTATCCTGTATAACAGAAACTTTGTACCCTTTAGCCAACATCTCCCCGTTTTTCCCATCTTCTGTCCCCTGGTAACTATCATCCTACTGTCTACATCTGTAGGTTTCACTTTTTTTTTTTCCTTTTTAGATTGCATCTATAAGTAAGATCATTCAGTATTTGCGTTTCTGTGCCTGGTTTAGTTCACTCACTATAATGTCCTCCAGATTCATCCATTGTCACAAATGAGAGGATTTCCTTCTTTTCCAAGACTGAATCATATTCCATGGTACACATATACTACATTTTATTTATCCAGTGACTTGTCGACAGACACTCAGGTTGTTTCCATATTTTAACTATTATGAATAATGTTGTATTGAATATGGGAGTGCAGATATCTCTTCGAGATAGTGATTTCTTTTCCATTGGATATATAACCACTAGTGGTATTGCTTAATGATATGGTAGCTTATTTTTAATTTTTTGAGAAACCTGTTTTGGAAGAACCAGTCATCACAGAAACCTACACTGTTTTCCATAATGGGGGTACTAAGTTACATTCTCACCAACAGTGTACAAGGGTTCCCATTTCTCCACACCTTCATCAACACTTATCTTTAATCTTTTTTATAATACCCATTCTAGATTATGAAATTACACCTCGCTGTGGTTTGATTTACATTTTTTTCTGATGACTAGTGATTTTGATATATCAATATATTGATATTGATATAATACAAATATATTATAAAATTTTTTCATACATTTGTTGGCCAAATAGATATATCCTTTGGAGAAATGTCTACTTAAGTCCCTTGCCCATTTTTAAAACTGGGTTATTTGTTTTCTTGAAATTGAGTTGTTTGATTTTAGTATATATGTTGGATACTGACCCCTCACCAAATGTATGGCTCACAATATTTTCTCCCATTCTATAAATTGTTTCTTCACTTTGTTGATTATTGCCTTTGCTATGAAGAAGTTTTTTGGTTTGATGTAATCCCATTTGTCTATTTTTGCTTTTGTTGCCTTTGCTTTTGGAGTCGTATCCAAAAATTTATTCCACAGAATAATGTTAAGAAGGTTTTCCCCCAGTATTTTTACATTGTTAGGTGTTTAAGTTTTTAATCCATTTTGAGTTGATTTTTGCATGTGGTGTGAGACAAGGGTCCAATCTCATTCTTCTGCCTGTAGATATCCAGTTTTTCCTACACCTTTTGCTAAAGAGACTATGTTTTCCATTCTGGGTTCTTAGCACCTTTGTTAAAGATCAATTTACTGTAATTGTATGGATTTATTTCTGAGCTCTCTGTTCTGTTAAATGGTCTATACCTCTGATGAATGCCAATACCATCATGTTTGATTGCTATAACTCTGTAATATATTATAAAATTAGGTAATATAATTCATTCAGTTTTGTTCTTCTTGCTTAAAATTGCTTTATTTGGGATCTTTTGTGGTTCCGTATAGGTTTTTGGGTTTTTTTTTGAGATGGAGTTTCGCTCTTGTTGCCCAGGCTGGAGTGCAATGGCGCAACCTCTGCTCACCACAACCTCAGCCTCCTAGGTTCAAGCAATTCTCCTGCCTCAGTCTCCTGAGTAGCTGGGATTACAGGCATGCGCCACTATGCCCGGCTGATTTTGTATTTTTTTGTTAGTAGAGACAGGGTTTCTTCATGTTGGGCAGGATGGTCTCGAACTCCCGACCTCAGGTGACCCACCTGCCTCGGCCTCCCAAAGTGCTGGGATTACAGGCGTGAGCCACTGCGCCTGGCCTCCATATAAGTTTTAACATTGTTATTTCTATTTCTGTGAAAAATGCCATTGGAAGTTAGATAAATATTTCATTGAATCTGTAGATCATGGTGAGTAGTATGAACATTTTGACAATATTAATTCTTTCAATCCATTATCACAGGGTATTTTCATTTATTTGTGTCTTATTTCTTCCATCAATATTTTATAGTTTTCAGTGTATATACCTTTTACCTTATTGATTAAATTTATTTTTTTAATTTTTAAAGTTATCTATTAAATTTATTTCTAAGTATGTGTTAGGGATTTTTATATATTCGATCATGTCATCTGCAAAGAGAGACAATTTAACTTCTTTCTTTCCAAACTGGATACCTTTTATTTCTTTTTCTTGTTGACTAGGATACCCATTTGTATGTTGAATAAAAGTGGTAAGAGTGGGCATCCTTGTCTTGTTCCTGATGTTAGAGGAAAAGTTTTCAACTTGATTATACAGTGTCTTGGTGATGATCTCTTTATGTTTAATCTATTTGAAATTCTTTGAACTCATTGGCCTGGATTTTCATTTACTTCTCCAGATTTGGGAAATTTTCTGTTATTTTCTTAAAGAAGGCTTTTTCCTCTTTCTCTTTCTCTGTTCCTTCTAGGACTTTCTTAATGCATATTAGGTTTGCTTGATGGTGGCCCATAAATCCTGTCGGTCTTCTTCACTCTTTTCATTCTTTTTTTCTTTTGTTCCTCTGACTGGTTAATTTCAAATAAGCAGTGTTTGAGGTCACTGCCTCTTTCTGCTGCTTTATCAAGTTTGCTGTTGAAGATCTCTGAAATTTTTCAGTTCAGTCATTATGTTCTTCAGCTTCAGAATTTCTGTTTGGTTATTTTTTATGTTTTCTCTCTGTCACACTTTTCATTTTATTCACACATTGTTTTCCTGATTTTGTTTGGTTGGCTGTGTCTTCTTGTGTAGTTCATTGAGCTTCTTCAAGCCAATTAGTTTGAATTCTTCTTCAGGAAGTTCATAGATCTCCATTTCTTTAGATTGGTTATGGGTATTACATTATTTTTGTGATGTCATGTTTCCCTGATTATTTATGTTCCTTGTGGCTTTGCCTTGGTGTATTCATATTTGAAGAAGTAGGCACCTCTTACAGTCTTTACAGACACTTCAGTGGGAAATCCTTTTACCAGTCAGCTTGTCCAGAGATTCTGGGAAGGCCAACTGGAATGGTCCATGGGTGGGATTATTTTAGGGGGCTGGCCTGGTGCCTGGGTCAGTGGGCATGTGGGCCTGGCTCTTGAGTCTGCAAGGGTTGGCCTGGTGCCTTGGCCTGTGGGGGCAGGCCTATAGCCCCAGTCCACTCAGTGGACTATGAGCATGGGTCTACATGGGTGGGTCTGGATTCTGGGTCTGTGGGTGTGGACTGGCTCCTGGGTCTGAGGTGACTGGCCTGGTACCAGAGCCCACGAGAGTAGACTTGGTCTTCAGGGATAGGCCTGGAGCCTGAGTCCATAAGGCCAATCTGGCACCGGGAAGGGCCTTGAGCCTGAGTTCATAGGGGATATTCTGGTACCGGGCGGGCCCAGAACCTGAGTTTATGAGGCTGGGTTCAGCATAGAATCTATGGCAGCAGCCTGGCCCTAGGGTCAACTGAGACAGGCCTCATATCTGATTCCATTGGGAAAAGCCTAGTACCTAAGACCATGAAAACAGGCCTGGAATTGGGTCCATAGGGGTTGGCCTTATGTTGGAGCCTGGAGCTGCAGGGGCCATCCTGGAGCTTGAAGGTGTGGGTGCCAGCATGGCTCTGGATGGGCCTGTTGCCTGAGGTCATGTGAGCTGGCCTGGGGCCTGGAGGCCACAAGGGCTGGTCTAGATCTTGGGGCCACAGAGGCTAACCTGGTGCAGGTATTGGCCTGCAGCTTGGGGATGCAAAGGTTGACCTGGTGCTGGGGCGAACCTGGAAGCTGAATTGGTGTTGGGGTGAGCCTGGAAGCTAAGTCTATGAAAATGAGCCACATATTGAGACCACAGGGATCAGTCTGGCATTAGGCACACTGGTATTAGGGCACACTGGTACCTGATTTCATGGGAACAGGTCTGGTGCCTGAGACCATGAAGGTGGATCTGTAGCCTGGAACAATGGGACCTGCTTTGTGCCAAGATTCACTGGTAGGAGTCTGGTGCCAAAATCCATGTGAGAGTCAGGCACTCACTTCACTTTCCTTTCCCCATGCAAAAGGTATCTCTCTCTCTACTGTGATGTGTAAGCTTGGGGTAGACGTCACACTGGTAATGCAATACTGTCCTCCTTACCTTATTCAATGTGCCTTTTCTTATTTCTGTACTCTGTCCAGGTGCTATAATCTCTGACCTGGATTCCTTAGCTCTTGCAAAGGTATTTTCATTCATGGATGGTTGTTCAAATTGATTTTTCTGTGAGGAGATGAGTGCTGAAAATGCCTATTTCACCATCTTGCTGATGTCACACTGAAAATTCAAATTCTGTCTTATGATGCTGGTTTATGGATGGCTTTATAGAAACCCGTCCTGTAAAGAGAGAGGGAATTAACACATTCCAAGCAGAGGAAATGGCAATGGATGGAAGAACTCAGTGGGTTCAGGAAACTGAAATAATGGATATAGATCTCCAATATATAGAATACAGAGTGACAAAGAGGCCAGGACAGTTAATGGTGGGGATGGAGTGGGTGGGTGATCAGCCATAGGCAACCTTGAATGTCATGGTCTGTAGGTAAAAACAATAAATGGTCTCATATTTTTAAAATATAAAATGTATAAAATGATTTCAAAAGTCACCAGGTGATAGATGCAATTCTTTAGAAAGGTTATTAAAGCGACTAAATGAGCAAGTTCCAGATTTTAACTGATTCTAGAGGTTTGGATATAAAATGAGATATTTCATATTTGGCCTGCTTGTACTGAACATTTACTGACAGATGTGCTTTTCTTCTGAACTAATTCTACCATGTGTGTGCTAATAAATTTTATGTAAAAACGTGTCCACAGTCAATTACATCTGGTAAACGCTAATTTGAAACAAAAGTCTTCTTTGAACCCTTAACCTGGTAAACATTTAAAATCTCCAAAAATAATGTAGAAATGCAGCAGTTACTACATTTACTTGACCATTGCTAATTCTTTTATTGAAGCATCTTGAAAGATTAGATTTTAGGTCACAATATCTGGGTATTTTTGGTTCTAAGAGATAATAGAGACTGTACAACAACAAATGTCACTATAGGGTATTACTTGTTGTGGTAAACTGTTTCTGTTATTTATTTCCTGTTGAATTAATTTAGAAAATCATATTCTGAAAGAACGCAGTATACACTTTTTATTTTCTGTGGCAGAGTTGGTAGATTGAATAAAGCGACTTATTTGCATGTTGGTTCCAGCAAATGGGGTTGTCACCTGGCTGTGAGAGCAGCAGGAGCTAGCTCAGGCCTGGCATAGAGACAGAGGGCAGGGACTGATCCTCCAGCAGGCAGGAGCCGCTGCTTGCTCTGGCTCACTTTAGTACATTTTAGCAGAGAAATGCCTGCAATCCATATGGATTATAGCAGACAGCACGTTAATTAGGCTCTACATTATGGTGATCAATTATTTTTAAAAATATACCTCAGGCCAGGCTGGACGCAGTGGCTCACGCCTGTAATCCCAGCACTTTGGGAGGCCGAGGCGGGCGGATCACGAGGTCAGGAGATCGAGACTATCCTGGTTAACACGGTGAAACCCCGTCTCTACCAAAAATACAAAAAATTAGCCGGGCGTGGTGGCGGGAGCCTGTAGTCCCAGCTACTCCGGAGGCTGAGGCAGGAGAATGGCATGAACCCAGGAGGCGGAGCTTGCAGTGAGCCGAGATCGTGCCACTGCACTCCAGCCTGGGCGACAGAGCGAGACTCCGTCTCAAAACAAACAAACAAACAAAAACCTACCTCAGGCCAGGTGCAGTGGCTCACGCCTGTAATCCCAACACTTTGCGAGGACGAGGTGGAAGGATTGTGTGAGCCCAGGAGTTCAAGACCAACCTGGGCAATAAAGCGAGACCCTGTCTCTACAAAAAATTTTTTAGAAAGTTAGCCAGGCATGGTGGTGCATGCCTATAGTTCCAACTACTAGAGAGGCTGAGGCAGAAGGATCGCTTGAGTCCAGGTGGTCAAGGCTGCAGAGAACCATGGTCACACCACTACACTACATGTCTCATTCTAATGTTACCCAATTTGTTGGCAAAAGCCTGTTAGACGCTTGGTTTTCCTGACTTCAAGGCCCATGTACTTCATCCTTCATGCCCTTGAATCTGCCCTTTTGTATTAGGTTTAATTTGTCATTTGAGCTGACTAAGTTTCAGAAATCTTAGGCAGATTTTAAGTAAACTGAATAAAAAATAGTCCATTCTCTCAAATGTGGATTTTCTTTCTCTAGTTAAAATGGTAGCATTTTCATAGCAGTTTAGTAGAGAAAATAATTTCATAAAAAGGGAGTTTTTTAAAAAATCACATCTCTTTATGAATATAGTGCCATGCCAAAGGCATGTACCTTTTCTCCTAAACTAGGGCTTTTTAGGGTTATATAGAAAGAATCTTCACAGTCTAAAGCATTTTGAGTATGTTGTGGGCCAGAATACATTAACTGATAATTTACTATGCATGAATCAATTGACTAATGTGTCAATGAAGGACAGATAGCAAGCAAACACCTGCCTACTATAATTTATTACTCAATATAAATGAAACTTATCACATTCTCTTTTTCTGATTACCAGGAAAAAAAATCCTTTTAGTTCATTTTGGAAGAAAATTGAAACCTACATTAAAAGCATTATAATTTTTGGTAAAATATACCCTTGAGCAAATATATGATATGAAAAATGTTAATTGTAAGTTGGCTGTCATTCCTACCTAACATGTAGTTTATCTCAACACAAAGCTGAGCAGCCAAGCACAAAGATAATGCTAATTTTTATAGCCATTAATAGTTAATGCTAGAAAAGCTGTCATATTTTGTTTTAAAATATTCCCTAGAATGTAGTATTTCATATCTATGACATTTCATAGGAATACAAAAATGCATACCTCTCAACATTTATAACAACAACAAAATCCTTCAGGTGTGATATTTTGGCAAAAATAAGGAAGAAAGTTCCAACTTTTGAATAAATTAATCTTTAGTACTTTTTCTTATAGTTGAAAAATGAGACAAAAATTCTTGTGTAAGACTAGACAAATATTAAACTGTTTTCACATTTTGTCTTAATTACTCACTTGGTTACATTCCTATTGAAGAAAAAGTATATCAGTGAGTCAGTAAGGCAACAAGATGTCAAAGCATTAATACTACAGAATAAAAAAGCCTAATAAATACAAATGTCCACAGAACTATTTGTACACAAATGTTTATGGCAGCTTTATTTTTAATAGTAAGAAATGAGCCTAGATGTTCATCAACTGTTGAATAGATAAATGATTGTAGTATAACCGTCCAATGGAATAGTAATCCAATATTTAAAAGGAATGAACTATTAATGCAAATGAGTTAATTTCAAAATAAATATGGTGGCCAGGTGTGGTGGCTTATGCCTGTAATCCCATCACTTTGGGAGGCCAAGGCGGGCAGACCACGTGGTCAGGAGATTGAGACCATCCTGGCTTACACATGGTGAAACCCTGTCTTTACTAAAAATACAAAAAATTAGTCGGGCGTGGTGGCAGGCACCTGTAGTCCAGCTACTCAGGAGGCTGAGGCAGGAGAATGGCATGAACCTGGGAGGCAGAGCTTGCAGTGAGCCGAGATCATGCCACTGCACTCCAGCCTGGGCGACAGAGCGAGACTCCATCTCAAAAAAATAAATAAAATAAATAAATACGGTGAGTGAAAAAAGGCAGGCAAAAAGAGTACATACTGTAAAAATTGTATTTCTATGAAATTCTAGAAAATTCAAACCAATCTACAGTGACAGAAAAGAAATAAATAGTTGCCTAAGAAGGAGTGGGTACAAAGTGATTACAAAAACAAACATTGCCAAAGGACAAAGGAAACTTGAGAGTGTGGTGGATGAGTTGCCCTCCTTGAGAGTGGTGTTGGTTTCATGGATGTATGTATGTGCCTATGCTTGTTAAATTGTATACTTTATACGTGTGCAGTTAATTTTACATAAATTTTAACCTCATCAAGCCTGTTAATAAAAGGTTTTTTTTAGATAAATATTAAGGGGAGAAATTGTTCTACCTGTAACCATGGTTGACCAAGATACATTTTCTTGTCACCATTACTAAAATAGTTATAGTGGACATATCTATTTGGATATGTGCTGGCATCTTACTCCCAACATATGTAAATCGTAACTGAAAATAAAGGACTGATTTTTAAAGAATGAGGCTTGTAGTGTGAAGCTAAATGGGCTCTCTAAAACAAAAGGAATGAAACCCCTGATTTGTAGCATTTGCTGATTTCTATTGTGTAAATTCTCTCACCATGGCTTTTATTACAAAGGATATATCTAATACCTGGCTGGTAAAATTCTCAGATAGCTTCTCAGGAACACCTTCTATGACCAGTCAAGGTAAAGCTGAATTTCTTCTACCCATGGGTTACTCTCTTACCTGTGGACCTGCCTTTTCTTCTCAATTGACCTATAACACATTTGTGTTTTTGTTTGAAATAGTCTCCCTATATTGGAATAGAGCCCCTTGGGAGCACTGACTTCAGCTCACGCCTATGTTCCCTTTACCAAGAAGGTCTCAACTCACAAAAGTGTTCAACAATTATTTATTTATTCTCCCAACAAATGTTTTGGACTGGGTGTGGAGTTGGGGGTAAAGAGGTGAGCAAATTAGACATAAATTTGACCTCAAGGAACATATAGTCTATTCAGGGAGAGCTACTTTAATCAAATGCACAAATATTGGCAAAATTAAAGCTGTGATTAGTGATTTTAAAAAGAAATATGATTCATTGGAAGCATAAAATAGCAGAACCTGACTTACTCTAGGGAGTCAGGATTGCTTCTCTGAGGAATGACATTTGAGCTGAGATCTGCAGGATGAAAAAAATTAATGTGAGAGTTTTTGTAGTGAGAAGAGCAATTCAGAAAGTAGAACTGGCTTATGTGAAATCGCTGTGGCAGGAGAGCAAGGAGTGTTGGGGGCCTGAGTGAAGGCTGGTGTGGCACAGTGAGCAGAGTGGGAAGCCCTGTGCATGGTGACTTGGGGGGACACAGAAAGACCGTACAGGATTTTAGAGGCCTAGCTGAGTCTTTGGACTTTATCTCCTGGGCATTGGAATAACCAGAAGTCCTTGACACCACTGAGATAATGGGAATCCATTAACACCATTTTGACCTGTGGATGACATGATCAGGCTTCCATCTCAAAGATAACTGTGGATACATTGGGGATAATAGACAGGAAGGGGTCTGATATGGTTTGGCTCTGTGTTCCCACCCAAATCTCATGTTGAATTGTAGTCCCCAATATTGGAGGAGGAACCTGGTGGGAGGTTATTGGACTATGGAGGCAGATCTCTCCTTGCTGTTTTCATGATAGTGAGTGAGTTCTCACGAGATCTGGTTGTGTGAAAGTGGGTAGCACCTCCCCCTTGGCTCTCTCTCTCCCTTCTGCCAGCCATGTGAAGATGTGGTTGCTTCCCTTTGGCCTTCAGCCATGATTGTAAATTTTCTGAGGCCTCTCCAACTATGCTTTCTGTACAGCCTGTGGAACTGTGAGTCAATTAAACCTCTTTTCTTCATAAATTACCCAGTCTCAGGTAGTTCTTTATAGCAGTGTGAGAACAGACTAATACCAGCATCAAGAGTAGCTGGGCGAGATCAGCTGGCCACATGATGGTGTCACTGTGCCCAGGGAGTTGATGGTGGTTAATACAGATAAATTCTAGAGATAAAATTGACTTGATTAAGAAGACATGAATGTGAGGAAGACAGAAGAGTCAGGAATGTCTTTTAGGCTTCTCAACTGCAAAGATGGCAGTCATTTTTGACTCTGAAATTAAGAATAATCACCAAGAGGGGGTAGGAGGAGAGATGGTGACTTTGGCTTTACATACTGTTCTCATGCTTGCTCTCATGTTATTAGAGTCTACGTTACTGCTCCTGGACAAAATCTTCATCTCCAAATTATAAAAATGTGCTTGGTAAAATGCCTGTTAAATTTGAGAGAGACTACAATTTCCTAACAGCATAGTCTAAAACAGTTCTGAAGAATTACTTTAAAATGTTCCTTATAACCTTCATTATACTACCAAATAGTAATTTATTCATACTTGTCTTTATGACTGACTGGGAGAATTTAGAACTCAAGATTTTAAAAAAAATAATATTTATCATACAGGCTGAATAAAGAAAATGTGGTACATATACACCATGGAATACTATGCAGCCAGAACAAAGAGGAGGATCATGTCCTCTTCAGCAACATCGATGGAGTTGGAGGCCATTATCCTTAGCAAACTAACCCAGAAACCGAAAACCAAATACCGCTTGTTGTCACTTATAAGTGGGAGCTAAATGATGATAACACATGGACACATAGAGGGGAGCAACACACACTGGGGCCTCTCAGAGGGTGGAGAGTGGGAGGAGGGAGAGATTCAGGAAAAATAACTAATGGGTACTAGGCTTAATACCTGGCTGATGAAATAGTCTGTACAACAAACACCCATGACACAAGTTTCCCTATGTGATAAACCTGTACATGTCACACTGAAGTTAAAAGTTAAATAAAATTATCAGGCCGGGCTCGGTGGCTCACGCCTGTAATCTCAGCACTTTGGGAGACCGAGATGGGCAGATCACGAGGTCAGGAGTTCGAGACCAGCCTGGCCAATATGGTGAAACCCTGTCTCTACTAAAAAAATACAAAAATTAGCTAGGCGTGGTGGCAGGCGTCTGTAGTCCCAGCTACTCGGGAGGCTGAGACAGGAGAATCGCTTGAATCTGGGAGGTGGAGGTTGCAGTGAGCTGAGATTGCACCACTGCACTCCAGCCTGGGCGACAGAGAGAATTCGTCTCAAAAAAAAATTATCACCAAGAGATTAAGTCATGGTATGAACAAGTGATATATTGTCTAAAAATACTTCCCTGTAAGATGCTTTAAAATTTTAATTATTAAGTTGCCATCATTTCTATGGGAAAATCTTATATTATTTGACCTAAAGCACAAATACCAGCACTTAAATATGAGTAAGTAAAAGCAGATAAATAATATAATTGCTTTCCATTTACACTCAGGTTAGAGGCAACCTCAGTGATTTGAGGAGGTGGTAGTGATTGGGCTTTTCTATAAAATGTTTATTTAAACATTTATAGAAAATAAAATGCTAAATCAAATAGGATTTAAACTTAACAATAAACAAAATAACTGAATAATTGTGAAGTTTTTATCTTTTATCTCCATGACTTTTGCTCCATGAAGATAGTCAGATACAAACACTATGCCAGTATCAGAAATTAAAATTGTATACTTATTTTACCTTTTGATTTCAATTTTTGAAGGAAAAAAATACGAGGTTACTTCAGAAAAAATGTGTCAAAAAGATGTATTTTTTTGTTTTGCACAATTTTTAATTAGGACAGAAGTAGAAGCTGCTCTTAATAACTTTTCACTGACCCGGAGCCACTTGGAAAAGTCCTACAGAGGTGAAAAAACAAAAAAAACAAAAAAGCAAGAAAACCACACCTCCTCTGAAGTGAGTCTGACATTAAAGACAATTCAAACTCACTCCAACGCAGACATTTAGTGACGCAGACATGACACTTTATTGTGTGTGAGACAGGATGGGTAATGGGAACTGGGGTTAGAATCTCTAAGCAACAATTATGAAAAATGAATTACCGGCTGGGTGCAGTGGCTCACGCCTGTAATCCCAGAACTTGGGGAGGCCGAGGTGGGTGAATCACGAGGACAGGAGATAGAGACTATCCTGGCTAACACGGTGAAACCCCATCTCTATTAAAAATACAAAAAATTAGCCGGGCATGATGGTGGGCGCCTGTAGTCTCAGCTACTCAAGAGACTGAGGCAGGAGAATGGCATGAACCCGGGAGGCGGTGCTTGCAGTGAGCCAAGATCGCGCCACTGCACTCCAGCCCGGGCGACAAAGCGAGACTCCGTCTAAAAAAAATAAAAAGGAAAAGAAGAATGAATTACCACTGGATAAATTAATGAGAATCAGTATAAACTAAAATGTGGGATTCTCATGCTTTGCACTTGTTAACTTTTCCCTTTTACCGCATGTGAATTAACACATCTACAAAGACCACCGAAAAGAATATGCACGGTCATCATTTTATTCATCTATGAAAATTACTTCTGAGGAACTATCTACTAAACATTTTTGTGGACATGTCATAGTATAGTGACTTTAAAAAATCTTTGTTTTCTTAAACTTCCATGCTAAGATAATGTTTCATTCAAAAACTAAAAGAGTGTTCATTAATAGTAATCTAGGTGGGCATGCTATTTCTTTTTATAAAAAATTTTACTACTTATTTCTCAACATTTGAAGAGTGTATTTAGTTTCTGACTATTTAAGAACATGTATACCTGCCCCCTAAGAAAATACATAATCAACATTTTAATGTTGAAATAAATTGTACTGTGTTTTAATTATCAGTCTTGGTCCAAGCGTATCTGCAAATATTTCTTTTATTTAATTAAGTACATCATTCTAATTTTCATATTTCAAGCTCAAACTTTTCCCATATTTCTAGTTTTCTACTGTCATTAGGAACTTTGCATATCCCTATATCTGACACAGTTTCTCAGTAAAGTATTAATACATACAAATAATGCTGGCAACAAAATTCTTTCTGGGTTGAATAAAAACACACCACAAGGCCAGGTGCGGTTGCTCACTAATCCCAGCACTTTGGGAGGCTGAGGCGGGCAGATTACGAGGTCAGGAGATCGAGACCATCCTGGCTAACACAGTGAAACCCCGTCTCTACTAAAAATACAAACAATTAGTCGGGTGGGGTGGCGGGCGTCTGTAGTCCCAGCTACTCGGGAGGCTGAGGCAGGAGAATGGCATGAACCCAGGAGGCGGAGCTTGCAGTGAATCGAGATCGCGCCACTGCACTCAAGCCTGGGTAACAGAGGAGACGCCAGACTCCGTCTCAAAAAACAAAAAACAAAAACAAAAAACAACAACAAAAACATGCACCACAAATGTTCCCAAAGTGTCTGATAATATTGTTATGGTAGTTACGCTTGAAGAAGAAAATGCTAATATTAGAAGAACTGCTCATAAAAGAGAAAACAATGGGAAACATGATAAGAACCACAGTGATGGATTATTAGCAGATCATTTCTCCCAAGCTTTAGGTGAAAGCTTCCTTTGGAGTTACAGTGCAAGCGGGCAGGTAAATACTAGGGGTCCTAACAATAGCAGAGAACTGAGAGCAAAATAGCCTCTCACACATTTTCTCAAAAAAGATGTACATCTGAAACTTGCTTGGGGCCTTCTCAAGATAACACCTACAATCTTAATCCACACCTAAATTATCAAATTCAGTAAGTAGCTTTCCTGAATCTCAATTTCAGTTTTCCTGTGCATAGAAAATGCTCAAATTCCAAGTCCGTATTTTCCATGTCCTGAGAAAAGCAGATGTCAGGAGGGTGTGGGGTGACTCACGGGTTAAAATCTGGGTAAGCAGCAGGATAGGGGCAGCTAATGAGCGAGGGATTTTGGAGCAAGAATGCCTGTTCTGTGAAGTGAGGGCCGGGCGAGTGAAGATGCATAGACTAGACAGGAGAGACAGGGTCTCTGTGGTCCCCTCACGGTGCCACACGTCCTCCTGGATTTCTGAAATGGGGAATGTGGAGCGTTGAGGTCCAGGGGTATCCAGGGGCCTTATATATTCTATAGATATAAAGGGATAGAATTCTTAATCAATTGTTATACTTGCCTCTCTATTACAGAAATCTGCAATGACAGCTTTACTGATTTCTGTTTTGAATCCATTTAACCCCTGAGATCGAAAACATTTTGCTGGCCTTAAATGACCGTCTACAGAAAGCTTTAATAAATAAATTCTACTGAAGTCTGCACAGTTCTCCTACCCATACCAAGTGTGAATTTTTGTATGTATGTTGAATGTGAATATGTTACAAGATTATCTAGAAAAATCTGGACTATCTATAACAACCTTCCCAGATTATATGGGAAGAAGAGGGCTAGTCTGCCGGAATGGTGCTTCCAGAGCAGTGTATGTCAGTCATGTGGACTCACTCCGCAGCATCCTTGGGCCCAGCTCCTGCTGCAGGCTCTGGAGGGATGCAGGACACTATGGCCCAAGGCCTGCCTCCCGTTCTTTGGGACCTCACAACCCTGCTGGGGAGACCTGAAACCCCACCTCCAAAGACAGCAGAGCCTGGACTGACTGAGGGTCTGGCTCTCCCTCTGCTTCTCTGTGAAACAGTACTAATCATTTCATGTCTCTGGGAATTTTTCTGTTAAATAAAGGACCAGATTTCATGATTAGCAGGATTCTTTCAAACTCCAAAATTCTCTTTCTATGAGGGCAAGACAGCATATAATAAAATTTCACAGTATGATAATGTAGGGGTAGAAAAGATGTGAAATCTTTCCTTACCCATCATAAAGGTCACAGGCGACACTCCTATAACAAAAGACAGGTTAGCAAAAGTAATGCATGATACATTTATTTAATCAAAGTTTTACATGACATGGAGTCTTCAGAAATGAAGACCCAAA
Organism: Homo sapiens; assembly: GCF_000001405.40. Taxonomy (NCBI): domain Eukaryota; kingdom Metazoa; phylum Chordata; class Mammalia; order Primates; family Hominidae; genus Homo; species Homo sapiens. Next base: position 41,821,940 of record NC_000009.12, on the reverse strand, counting down.
GACCCAGGGGAAACTGTCTATTTTAATGCTTAGGTTCAATGAAGAATGGGCAGCCACGTGAAAAGGTGATTGGACATCTCTTCAGATTCTTCTTGGCCTTTCTGTATGACATTCCTTTCCTTCGGTGTAAAGCAGGACCGCTCTGGAACCAGGGTCTTGTGATCTGCTATCAAACAAGGTAGGTCAGAGAATTTCTTCATGGCCAGCTGCCACACGGAAAGGCAAGGAAGGTTAGAGTGATATTTCCAGGGTGTCACGGCTTGCTTTGGGCAAGAAGAATTCTGGTTTCCAGGACTCACTTCAGGGGAAAAGTAGGGGGTGGGAGACAGGGAGGCAGGAGGTCAGAGGGAAACTTGGCTTCTGGGGCCTTCAATCTCCTATAGTTCAAAGCACTCTGGATGCCAAAGCATCATACTTTGGAGTATAATTTTATGAGCCCCAGCAATAACAGTCTTTGTGGGAACTCAGAGAATGGGGAGGATGTGTGAGCTGAAAAAGAATGAAGGAAGAGACGTCAACTAAAGTCAGCTTTTACCCACGTGGCAAGCATCGTTCTCTTTGGTTTTATGGAACAACAGTTGTGAAACTGGGCAACTTTCAGACAAACCATTTCATTCCTTCAGTAAATATCTAAGCTCTTATTATTGTCTTAAGGTTCAAAACAGGTCTCCCCATCCCATCTGGCCCCTAAAAAGGATATGTACTTAGTTAAAGAATACAAGACAGGGAATTTGAAGAATGACATTTTCCCCCCAAAGGCCAAATTTCTAACTTTGTGGTTCTTTCTAATGAGCTGTCTGTAGCTCAAGCCATACCCCTAGCAGCTGGATGATAAAAAAGGCTGTTTATTTGATCTTCAGACTGGAGAGGAGCACTAGTGATTTCTTTCCCTGCTTTACTGGCCCTGAGAAGAATACAACTTCATGCTTGCACTCTGATTAGCAGCAGGTAGAAGAAAAAAGCTAATGTTAGAACTTTTCCCCTGTCCCTGATGCTCCAGACACTGATTCAGCAGAGGTAAAAGGAACCGTTTTCATTGTTCAGAGCTATAGATTTATGAAAATTGCTTCTTTTGATAGGCAGCCAGGCATGAAGCAGCCTTCTGCTTCTAGTCTCAAAAAAAAAAAATAATACTGAGGGCTAATGATGTAAATCGAAGATATTGCCATATTTCCTGGATTTGGATCTCATTGCTACTCCTAGAGCAAAGAATGGTTCCTATGACTGAAGACAGAAACCATACAATGCATTCAACATTCTGTCTTTGGTAATCCCTGAAAGCCACACTAGAAATTTAGGATTGTGTTAGCTGTAGGAAGGAAATCTGAAGTTCCCATGGAGAGAGGCAAGTCAAAGTGCAAATGTTGAAGCTGCCGTTTTTCTCCATCAGCTTTCTTGGGAATTGAGGTAGAGACTTAAAACTGTTTTCACTAATGGCTCTTTAGTGCATCATAGTGAGTTTTTTATTCTTCCCATTAGAACTGAAAAATCTAACATGCTGCTGCCTTCACACCTCGTTTTCTGTCTTCATTAGGAAAGTAAATAGTGGCATGCAGGAAGCCTGGTGTAGACTAAATCCTACTTGCCAGGAGGCTCTGCTGAGGTGGCTATTTAGAGGAAGAGAAAGAGCCCTGGACCCCAACTCAGAGGAAGAGTCAGGGCTATGTCTCCAATAGGATGGGAGCGGCAACAGATGGCTTTGCACTTCTGGGTCACGGGACTTCATCTGTGAAATGAGAGGGTGGGAGTGGGCAATTCTTGCAGGAATTTCCCCTACTATTAACATCTCCTGGTACATTTGTTACAATTGATGAGCCAATACTAATACACTATTATTAAGACCGTAGTTTACATTAGGGATCACTCTTTGTATTTTACATTCTATAGGTTATGAGAAACACACAATGACACATATCCATCATTACAGTATCATACAGAATACTTTCACCACCCAAAAAAATCCTCTCTGCTCCACCTATTCATCCCTCCCTTCCCCCAGAGGTCCTAAAGTATGTAGCCTTTTTGGATTGACTTCTTTCACTTAACAACTTATATCTAAGTTTCCTCAATGTCTTTACATGTCTCTGCTAGCTCATTTCTATTTATCACTGCATAATATTTGGTTGTCTGAATGTACCACAGGTTATTTATCCATTTAGCTATTAAAAGTCATCTTCCAAGTCTTGGCAATTATGGACAAAGCTGCTATAACCATCTGTGTGCAAGTTTTTGTTGAACATATCTTTGTTTTCAATCTCTTTGGGTAAGTACCAAGGACTGCAATTGCTGAAACATGTGGTAAGAGTATGTTTAGTTTTGTAAGGTACTGTCGGCCTGGCGTGGTGGCTCACGCCTGTAATCCCAGCACTCTGGGAGGCCCAGGCAGGTGGATCACGAGGTCAAGATGTCGAGACCATCCTGGCCACCATGGTGAAATCCCATCTCTACTAAAAATACAAAAATTAGCTGGGCATGGTGGCACGCACCTGTAGTCTCAGCTACTCGGGAGGCTGAAGCAGGAGAATTGCTTGAATCCAGGAGGCGGAGGTTGCAGTGAGCTGAGATCGCGCCACTGCACTCCAACCTGGCAATAGAGCAAGACTCCGTCTGAAAAAAGAAAGAAAGATACTGTCAAACTGTCATCTAAAGTGGCTATACTATATTGCATTCCTGTCGACAATGGATGGGAGTTCCTGTTGACTCATATCCTCCCCAGCATTTGGTGTTGTCAGTATTTTGAATGTCGCCATTCTAATTGGTGTGTAGTAGTATCTCATTGTTATCTCAATTTGCATTTCTCCAATGACATATGATGTGGAGCATCTTCTCATATGCTTATCATTCTGCATATCTTCTGGGGTGAGATGTTTGTTCAGATTTTTTACTCATTTTGTTGTTTGTTTTCTTCTTGTTGAATTTTGAGGATTCTTTACGTATTCTGGATACTAGTCTTCTATTGGATATGTGTTATACAAAGATTTTCTCCCAATCTTTGGTTTGTCTTTTTATTGTCTTAACAGTGTCTTACACAGAATGGAAGTTTTAATTTTAATGAAGTCCTGCTTATCCATTTTTCTTGATGAATCATGCATTTTGATGTTGTACCTAAGGTCATAACCAAAATCAAGGTCAACTAGACATTTTCCTATGTTGTCTTCTAGAAGTTTTATAGTTTTGCACTTTACATTTAGGTCTATGATCCATTTTGACTTAATTTTTGTGACAGGTGTAAAGTCTGTGTATAGATTTATATTTTTGCATGTTGGATGACCAGTTATTCTACCACCATTTGTTGAGAAGACTACCTTTTCTTTTGAATTGCCCTTGCTTCTGTGTCAGAGATCAGTTCACTACGTACATGTGGGTCTATTTTTTGGCCCGCTGGTATGTTCCATTGATCTATGTTTTTATTCTTTCACCAATACCACACTGTCTTGATCACTATAACTTTATCATAGATTTTGAAGCTATACAGTGTAAGACTTTCAAACTTGTTCTTCTTTAACATTTGTTGGCTAATCTGGATCTTTTGCCTTTTTATATAAACTTTGGAATCAGTTTGTCAATACCCACTAGATAACTTGCTGGGATTTCTATTGGGATTGCTTTTAATGTATAGATGAAATTTGAAAGAACTGACATCTTCACAATATTGAGTCTTTCTATCCATATACTTAGAACAACTCTCCATTTATTTAGATCTTCACTGAATGCCTTCATCACAGTTTGAGTTTTCCTCCTATAGATCTGATAAAATCAGAACAATGATGTGGAGCTATCACTGTCTTTGTTGAAGGAAACAACAAAACATATGTGCTCATTGGGAGAAATATTAGCAAATTATCACACTGATTTGTTTTCTCTTAAATGTCAATTAATAGATGAAATTGCAATGTGAAAATAATCATTGTTAACTTGTGTGAAGAAAATATGAGGGAAGATGGCTGACTAGACACAGCCAGGAGGAACAGCTCCCACCAAGGGACCAGGACATTGAGAAGACTGGTGTGCTCCTGGAAGATCTTCAGAGGGAAGGCTTTGAGAGCAGACAGAGGGAAGACACAGATGTTGGGCTGAAGGGGGAGGAAGCCGGGAACCCTGCAAGGGGCAATCGTGCACCAGGACTCATTCCAGGTCCCCAAAATCTCCTGGAGGAGAGGTGAGTTGAACAGGCAAGGGGCAACCTCCTCTTGTCACAGGTCCCTGAATTCCTGACAGGAGGAGACCCTACAACCACCAGGGACACTTGAGTTGTCAGGAAGACCTGCTTATAAAGTGTTAATGGTAGAACTCCAGACTGTGCAAAGCCCAGAAGGTTTTGTGTGCGAGCATCTGTAGTGGAGAATGGTCAGGGACACCCATTGCCCTAGGCTAGACTTGTTCTCATAGGAGACTTCAGCCCTAGGGCAACTGTCAGACCTGAACTCTGCAGGGCAGTCTTGCCCCTGAGACAGGGCCAGTCTGACCTGAGCATCCTTCAGTCTGCTCACCCCTCCTGGGGCCCCAGCCTGGCCACACCTGCTTGCAGTGCAGCTTCACAGCGGGGTGCAGTGGAGGCTACCTCCTGAGGACCTGCATCATAGTTCCTGTGCTGGCTGACTGTGCCTGACCAGCAGAGATCTGCTGCAGAGTGGCCCCCATGTACACACATCAGCCTAACTGTGCCCTGCCCCCACTGCAGTCTCCCCGTGCCACTTTGCCTGCATGCACTAGCCCACGGCCATCCCCCACATCGTTTTGCCAGTGCATGTGTGTGTGTGTGGACCTTGCCTCCCCTTTCCTGCCACAGTGTGTGTGCCATGCTACTGCTGCCATCCTGAGTGCACTTCACCCTCTCGACCCCCCACCATACTGCCATTACTGTTGGAGCATTGATGAGTGGGCATGAAGCCCGCCAGCCCTGCCCCTGCCAACGCCCTGCCCCTGCACCGACACTACCACCAGTGTGACAATAGGCACCGAGAACAGAGGACCCACCCCTGTTCTGAGCGGCTACGACCACCCACGTGAATGTGCAAGGAGAACTCACACAGTCCTGTGCTCACCAGTGCTTCACTCCCATGCTAACACCGCCACCGGCACAAATGCACACAAAGACACAGGGGTGCGGGAGGGGGCAAGCATCCCCCACCCCCAACCCCTGCACCGTGATGCCACAGTTGCTGCTATGAATGCCCACAATGAGGCCAGCATGCTGGCAGCCACTAGCTCCCTGCCACAGCCAGTGAATGTGCACCACACCTCGCTGCCACTGCTGCTGCTGCTGCTGAAGGTGTGAACCAGGATGGATCTCACTGGCACTGCCCTATGAAGCACTTTGACTGGCACCACCCATCAGAGTGTTGTGACCAGTGGTCTTGGATCATCTTGGTCCTTCCAGCACAGCAGGTTCCTAACCTTTAGGGGCCAGAGACAAAGCCTGGGCCAGAAACCAGTCCCCCAGGGTTAGAGCATGCAGTTCGAGAGTCCTGAGCTGAATCTGAGCCTCCTAAAATATTCCAGAAATGAAACCAGTCAGTTGAACCCACCTTGTACCAAAACCAAACCCTCAAGGCCATCAAATAGAATAAAATAAAATAAAGCTCAGCCACAGGACATTAACTTAAAAGATTAAAGAAACATCAGCCCACAGAGATGAGAAAGAATCAGCACAAGAATCCTGACAGCTCAAAAGTCAGAGGGCCTTCTTCCCTCCAAATGACCACATCACCTCTCCAGCAAAGATGAGATGGTTGAAGTGACAGAAATGTAATTCAGAATATGGATATGAATGAAGATCATTAAGATTCAACAGAATGTTGAAACCCTATCTACGGAAGCTAAGAGGCACAATAAAATGATACAGGAGCTGACAGATAAAATAGCCATAGAGAAAAGAATGTAACCCAACCGATAGAGCTGAAAAACACGCTACAAGAATGTCATAATGCAATGGCAAGTATTAACAGCAGGATAGACCAAGCTGAGGAAAGAATCTCAGAGCTCGAAGACTGGCTTTCTGAAATAAGACAGCCAGACAAGAAGAAAGAAGAAAGAGTGAAAGTAAGAAATCTCTGAGAAACATAGAATTATGTAAAGAGACCGAATCTATGACTCATTGGTGTCTCTGAAAGAGATGAGGAGAATGGAAACTACTTGAAAACATATTTTAGGATTTCATCCATGAGACCTTTCCCAACCTAGTTAAAGAGACCAACATTCAGATTCTGAAAATGCAGAGAACCCTGCAAAATCCTTCACAAGAAAATCATCCCCAAGAGACATGATTATCAGATTCTCCAAGCTTGAAATGAAGCAAAAAAATCTTAAAGGCAGAGAAAAAGTAATGAGAGATAACCTACAAAGGTACAAAGGGAAGTCCATTAGACTAACAGCAGACCTATTAGCAGAAACCTCACAAGCCAGAAGAGGTTGGGAGCCAATATTCAACATTCTTAGATAAATGGAATTCCCACCAAGATTTCAAATCTAACCAACCTGAGCTTCATAAGTGAAGGAGAAATAAGATCCTTTTCAGACAAAGAAGTGCTGAGAAGATTTTTTTTTAACCACCAGACATGCCTTATAAGGCTCCTAAAGGAAGTACTAAATATGGAAAGAAAAGCCTGTTACCAGCCACTAAAAAAAAAAATACACTGAAATACACAGCCCAGTGACACTATAAGGCAACCACATAAGCAAGTCTTTAAAATAACCAGCTAACATTATGATGACAAGATTACATTCACACGTATCAGTATTAATCTTGAATGGAAATGGACTTAATTCCCCAATTTAAAGGCACAGAGTGGCAAGCTGACTGAAAAAGCAATACCCAATGGTATGCTGTCTTTAAAAACCTTATCTCACATGCAATGACATCCATAAATTCAAAACAAAGAGATGGAGGAAAATCTACCAAGCAAATGGAAAACAGAAAAAAAAGCAACTTTAAACCAACAAAGATTAAGAAAGACAAAGAAGGGCATTACGTAATGGTAAAAGGCTCAATTCAACAAGACATTACTATCCTAAATATATATGCTCCCAACACAGGAGCAGCCAGATCCATAAAGCAAGTTCTTGGAGACCTTCAAAGAGACTTAGACTGTCATACAATATTAGTGGGAGACTTCAACACCCTACTGACTATATTAGACAGATCATTGAGGCAGAAAATTAACAAAGATATTCAGGACCTGAACTCAACACTGGACCAATGGACCTGATAGACATCTACAGAACACTCCACCCCAAAACAATAAAATATACATTCTTCTCATTGCCACATGGCACATACTCTGAAATCAACCACACATTGGACATAAAACAATACTCAGCAAATGCAAAAAGAACTGAAATTATACCAACCACACTCTCATACCACAGTGCAGTAAAAACAGAATTCAAGTCTAAGAAAATTGCTCAACACCATACAATTACATGGAACTTAAACAACCTGCTCCAGAATGAGTTTCAGGTAAATAATGAAATTAAGGCAGAAATCAAGAAGTTTTTTGAAACTACTGAAAACAAAGTTACAACATACCAGAATCTCTAGGACACAGCTAAGGCAGTGTTAAGAGGGAAATTTATAGCACTAAAAATCCACATCAAAAAGTTAGAAAGATCTTAAATTAACGACCTAACATCATGACTAAAATAACTAGAGAAGCAAGAGCAAACTAACCCCAAAGCTAGGAGAAGACAAGAAATAACCAAAATCAGAGCTGAACTGAAGGAATTGAGACACGAAAAACTATTCAAAAGATCAACAAAGCCAGAGCTAATTTTTTGAAAAAGTTAATAAGATAGATAGACCACTAGCCAGAATAATAAAGAAGAAAGAGAGAAGATCCAATTAACACAATCAGAAATGACAAAGAGGATATTAGCACTTACCCCACAGAAATAAAAATAATCATCAGAGAATATTATGAACCCCTCTACACACACAAACTACAAAACCTAGAAGAAATGGATAAATTTCTGGATACATACACCCTCCCAAGACTGAACCAGGAAGACATTGAATCCCTCCACAAACCAATAACAAACTCCAAACTTGAATTGGTAATAAATAGCCTACCAATAAAAAAAAATAAAAATAAAAAAGCCCAGGACCAGATGGATTCACAACTGAATTCTGCCAGCTGTACAAAGAAGAGCTGGTACCATTCCTAGTGAAACTATTTCAACAAATGGAAGAGGAGAGACTCCTCCTCAGCTCATTCTATGAGGCCATTATCATCCTGATATCAAAACCTCTCAGAGACACAAAAATAAAAGAAAACTTCAGGCCAATATCCTTGATGAACATGGAAGCAAAACTTCTCAACAAAATTCTAGCAAACTGAATCCAGCAGCACATCAAAAATTTAATCCACCACTATCAAATAGGCTTTATTCCTGGAATGCAAAGTTGGTTCAACATTTGCAAATCAATTAATGTGATTCGTCACATAGACAAAACTAAAGACAAAAACCACGATTATCTCAATAGACAAAGAAAGACTTTTGATAAAATTTAACATCCCTTTATTTTAAAAACTCTCAATGAACTAGATTAAAGACTTAAATGTAAAACCTAAAACTATAAAAATCCTGGAAGACAACCTAGGGAATATCATCCTGGACATAGGAATGGGCAAAGATTTCATGACAAAGATGCCAGAAGCAATTGCAATGAAAGCAGATTTGACAAATGGTATCTAGTTAAACTAAAGAGCTTCTGCACAACAAAAGAAACTATCAACAGGGTAAACAGACAACCCACAGAATGGGAGAAAATATTTGCAAATTATGTATCTGACAAAGGTCAAATATCCAGCATCAATAAGAAACTTAAGTAAATTTATAAGAGCAAAACAAACAATCCCATTAAAAAGTAGGCAAAGGACATAAGCAGATGCTTTTCTAAAGAAGACATACATGTGGCCAACAAACATATGAAAAAAAATCCCATTATCACTGATCATTAGAGAAATGCAAATAAAAACCACAATGAGATACCATCTCACACCAGTCAGAATGGCTATAATTAAATGTCAAAAAATTACAGATGCTAGTGAGGTTGCAGGGGAAAAAAAAACGCTTATGCACTGTTGGTGGGAGTTCAAATTAGTTCAACCATTGTGGGAAGCAGTGTGATGATTCCCCACAGAACTAAAAATAGAACTACCATTTCACCCAACAATCTCATTATTGGGTACATACCCAAAGGAATATATGTCATTCTATCATAAAGACACATGCATGCATATATTCAGAGCAACACAATTCACAATCGCAAAGATCTGGAGTCAATCTAAGTGACCATCAATGTTAGACTGGATAGAGAAAATGTGGTACATATACACCATGGAATACTATGTAGTCATAAAAAAGAATGAGATCATGTCTTTTGCAGGAACATGGAAGGAGCTGGAGGCCATGATGCTTAAACTAATGCAGGAACAGAAAACCAAATACCACATGTTCAAAACCAAATACCACATAATTGGGAGCTAAATGATGAGAACACATGGACACAAATAGGGGAACAACACACACTGAGGCCTACTTGAGGATGAAGGGTGGGAGGAGAGACAGGATCAGGAAAAATAACTATTGGGTACTAGGCTCAGTATCCGGGTGATGAAACAATCTATTTTCCTACATAACAAACCTTCACATGTACCCCTTAATCTAAAATACAAGATTTTTAAAAAAAGAAAATATGAGGAATAGCATACCATTTGGGTTGAGATAAGGAGAAAGAAAACATGCTTCGCTTACAAGATTTTGTTGGAAAACTGCAAAAAAATGTCTTTTACAAAATTGTTAAACATTTTTTTTTTAAATCAACACCACAATCCTTAAGTGCTTTAGTCAAAATACTTGTCAAGTGAGTAAAAAAAACAAATTAGTTGATCTTGCCTCTCCCCAGATTTTAGGTTCTGTCTACACAGGAACTGAGCAATAGATCTTATGTTATGACTTATTTTGGTAAAATAAATGGTCAGCATAGCAAGAAAATGAGTTTAATTGAAGTTTTTCCTGCCAAAGATTGTAGGTTCCCTCGTTTATAGATACTGTATCATGGAATTTACTTTAGGTAGTTTTTTTTTTCCTTCTCTGTCTCTGAAAAGACCTTGCATAGTAGTAGGCTTATTTTGGCTTAGTGATTGTCAGCCCTGACTTGATTACTCATTAAAGTAACCTGGAAAGCTTTAAAAATACTGAGGCCAGGCCCCTCCCCACAGATTATATTGAATTGAACTGTGATGGGGCTAGAGAATTAGGATGTTTTTTGAAGCAGCTGGACTTGTGAGTCACTGGTAGCCACACGAAAATATTATTTATTACATGCAGTTGTTTGATTGAATTAAATTTTTGTCTGAATTTCTGACCAGTTTTGATAAAGTATTTCATCCAGTACCCCATGTGCATACAGACTCACTTGTCTATTATAAGAGGAAAGTATTGTGTGACATGTTTTCATGAGTCCCTCACATTTCTGCACACTTTACGAGCAGACACAGACTGCCCTTTGTTTTGACCATCTTTTCAAGCATGTTGGTATCTCCTTCTGGAACAAAGACTAGGCATAGTTAGGGATCTTTACAAGGGATTTGCATTCTCTGAGCTCAGGGCTCCTATCCCGTAATGCATGTGCATTCATCCATCTGAGTCCATCCATGTCCTTCCCATGGGACTCCAGGGCAAGGACAACTGATACCCTGTTGCTTATGCTGTTTGTTGGTCCATAAATAATAATGTTATTGACTGAGTGTGGTGGCTCATGCCTGTAATCCCAGCACTTTGGGAGGTTCAGGCAGGCAGATCACAAGGTCAGGAGATCGAGACCATCCTGACTAACACGGTGAAACCTTGTCTGTACTAAAAATACAAAAAATTAGCTGGGCGTGGTGGTGGGCGCCTGTAGTCCCAGCTACACGGCAGGCTGAGGCAGGAGAATGGCGTGAACCTGGGAGGCAGAGCTTGCAGTGAGCCGAGATCATGCCACTGCACTCTAGCCTGGGCGACAGAGCGAGACTCCATCTCAAAAAAGTAAATAAATAAAATAAAATAATAAAATAATAACAATAATAATAACGTTCTTTGTCTCTGACCTGGGAGTCTTATTTCTTTTGGCAGCATCCATGAGAGTGGCAGGCCAACTTGTTAGATTGTAAGTAGTATAAAATTTCAGACCCTTTACTGTTCTTGCCAGGAAGATGAGTGTTAAATTGGATTAATACTTTGAAAATAAATGCAGAGAAACAATGTCTGGGAATAACTATTAAAAAGACATAATATATAAGGATCTCTGGGGTGTCCCACTTGGTAGAGCTGTAAGGTAACAGGGTGAATGTATCTTCTGAAAAGCCACAGCTTGCCTGTGATGCCACATTACAGGAAGTCATCGCATTTTGCAGGTATTTTGCATTTACGTTTTCTCACAGCTGAAGGAATAATCGCTGTCTGGAGGTCTTAAAAAATAGATAATTGTCTCTAATACTATATCTTTACTGTTTACATTTCTTGTTATTGAACATCTACATGTCCAGGTGTGGTGGCTCACACCTGTAATCCCAGCAGTTTGAGAGGTCAAGGTGGGAGGATCACTTGAGCCCAAGAGTTCAAGACCAGCCTGGGCAACATAGTGAGACTCCACCTCTACAAAGAAAAAAAAATTAGCCAGGCATGGTGGCATGCACCTGTGGTTCCAGCCACTCAGGAGTCTGAGGTGGGAGGATCACCGGAGCCTGGGAAGTTGAGGCTGCAATGGGTGTGATTGCACCTTTGCACTACAGATTACAGACTGGGACACAGAATGAGACCCCATCTCCGAAAAAAAAAAAAAAAGAAAATCTACAAAAATATGTGTTTCTGTGGACTAGCTAAATATATTAGTGTTATATTATTAGGGAAATTTGATGAGTTAAACCCACTATTTAAATGCCATAACTAAGGCCACATCACGTCTTTACAGTGTAGTTTTAAACTAGACCATCCAGTTTCTAATGAAGAGACAACTCCGTCAGTTCCGACATGAGCCCAAACAAAACTTTATCCCCCCATAAAGTGGATTACAGATATGCACACACATCAGCAAGGGAAGCATGACAACAGTTCATTTAATGCTGTTATATGCAACCCTATATTGTATTCTGAACACAATGAAAATAAGATGTGGGCCAAGCATGGTGGCTTATGCCTGTAATCCCAGCACTTCGGGAGACCAAGATGAGAGAATCACTTGAGCTCAGGAGTTTGAGACCTGCCTGAGCAACATAGCGAGATCTTGTCTCTGAAAGAATATATTCTTTTAAGTGAAAAAAAAAAATAAGATGAGATGTCTGCCCTTCAACATATAATAATAATAATTTTAGAGCATCTATTCTACACCAGACATTGTGACTAAATGCCATACAAGGCACTGTTATAATTTCCAATGTACATATGGTAAGGCTGAAGTTTAGGAAGTTTAGCTTGTTCAACTGAGAACACATGGACACAGGGAGGGGAACATCACACATCAGGGCCTGTAGGGGGATGAGGGACAAGAGGAGGGAGAGCATTAGGACAAACACCTAATGCATGCAGGGCTTATAACCTAGATGATGGGCTGATAAGTTCAGCAAACCACCATGGCACATGTATACCTATGTAACAAACCTGCACATTCTGCACATGTATCCCAGAACTTAAAAATAAAATAAAATAAAAAAGTTTAGCTTGTTCAGCATCCCATAGTAAGACACTGAGATGCAGGACTCAGGCTCTTAACTGAACAACATCCTATTACACAGATGCTACTTGAAGAAACAGATCAGCCCACCTACCTGACTTGACACCTTATAAATGAAATAGCCCTGTGAGCACACCTCAATGCAATCTCAGAAGATCCTCCCAAGCTATTTCACTTATTTACAAGGGAAATTGGAAATTGTTGCTGTAGCTGACAATATATTTATTGAAAACATTAGAGTGGAAGAAGTAAAGTACAAGTGAATTTGACATTTCAGAACATTTTGGCTTTTTGTCAAAGGTATTTGAAATTGCAAATGAGGCTTTGGCAGTTACTGAAAAGATGTATCAACTGAGTTCAGGGGATGAGTTTTGGGGTCAATCTTGAATTCTCTTCCTAGGGAAGATCTGTGTTGGTGAAGCATAGAGTTTGCAAAGGCATTCCTCTGAATTTGTGCTATTTATACAGAAGAGCTCTCCTTTCCTGTGGATTTCATTTACACGATTGGAAAAATTACCTCTTTATTCGAAATAATCTTTGTGAAATTATATTTTCCAATATATAATAAAAGAGGTGAATCTGGGAAAAGTGTGTAGTAAAAAATTTGACTTGGACATGCCATTAGGTTAAAAGATTGAATTAGGATTTATTTTAAAGATTCAGCATGGCAAAGAGGAAAGTGGCCAACTTTAGGATCTATAAATCCGATGTTGAATACTGGCCTGGCCTCGTCCTCATGCAGTGACCTTGAAGGTTTCTTATGAAAAGAGAACTCTTGTTAGTGCCTGGTATTTGGCTTTTACTCACAAGCTGATCACTGTTGCTCTATTTGTCACTGAGATTTTCATGGTGATAGTGAGGTAATGATGGTGATAATGAGGTTAAATTTTTTAAGTATCTCAGAAATGGGAGAAAATATTACAAGCATTGAATTATAAATGTGTGCCTATTGAGCTTATGCAAGAATAAGGCAGAACTTTCCCTCAAGGTGCATAGGTATTCTTGAAGAAATAATACAGACAGAATTACAAACATCGACTATATGATAAACTTTTGAAGTGCACCTTGCGAATAGATCCAAAGGAGGGTTGGGTTTTTGCTAGAAGGATTCATACTCATTTGAACAACTCAATGGAGTATAAATAATTGAAATAAAATACCTTAACATGTTTATTCAATTACCGAAGCCAGTCTTATAAATTATAACACAGAAGAATAGACATATTTTTATTTGGGTATATTGTTTCTTGCCTTTAGGACATTATAATGAGGTATCACATTTAAACATAAGGCTGACATAAAATGTCAAAACAGATATATGAGGGATATGACTAAAAGTTGTTCTTTCCAAATATAGGTGCACAACTCAAAAATATCTAACTTATAAGAACTTTCAATCTGTATGAGATTAACCAGTTAACTTGTTATCATACCTAATGAGTACACTCCTGGTGTAGTTAACTTTTAAAACAGCTGAACTTTATAATACATGATTATGAGTAGACAATATTTCAGAGATCCTAAAAAGCTTGTTTAAAATGTCTCTTTTGATTAGAATGAAAGATAAACAGTGACAGATGATGCCTATTGTCTCCATGGTAATTACACTAATTAAAAGTAACATTGGGCCAGGCACCATGGCTCACGCCTGTAATCCCAGCACTTTGGGAGGCCGAGGCAGCTGGATCACGAGGTCAGGAGATAGAGACCATCCTGGCTAACACAGTGATGAAACCCCGTCTCTACTAAAAATACAAAAAATCAGCTGGGCGTGGTGGTGGCGGGCACCTGCAGTCCCAGCTACTCGGGAGGCTGAAGCAGGAGAATGGCGTGAACTCAGGAGGCAGAGCTTGCAGTGAGCTAAGATCGCGCCAATGCACTCTAGCCTGGGCGACAGAGCAAAACTGTGTCTCGGAAAAAAAAAAAAGAGTTAATGTTTAGCTTTTAACTTTCACTATATATATATATATATATATATATTTTTTTTTTTTTTAAACGGAGTCTTGCTCTGTCACCAGGCTGAAGTGCAGTGGTGTGATCTCGACTCAGGACAAACTCCACCTCCTGGGTTCAAGCGATCCTCCTGCCTCAGCCTCCTGAGTAGCTGGGACTACAGGCACACACCACCACACTGAGCTAATTTTTGTATTTTTAGTGGCGACGGGGTTTCACCATGTTGGCCAGGAGGGTCTCAATCTCTTGACCTCATGATCCGCCCACCTCAGCCTCCCACAGTGCTGGGATTACAGGCATGAGCCATTACGCCAGTCCCCACAATAAGATTTTTGAGCTCACAACAATATAATAGAGCTGGAAGATGAGCTCTGTTGAGGGAGAAAAGGGTACACCAAATTCCCGATATGGCTTGCATATTAAAAGCCAACTCAGGCTGGCTCAAAGGTGAGAGTCTTGCTCTGAGCCAGAAGGTGGAAGGTGTGAGACAGACATAGAAATGAAGGTGTGTCCTCTCTGCAGAGGAAGGATAGGGCAGTATTAGAGGAGACATGGCTATGCTGTGTAGCTGCCTGGACTTTGAGAAAGACCTCATGCCACAGGGCTGAGGAACATTCCTGTGGATCCCTAGTACACACGGGATCAAAGGGATACCTTAATCTATAGTTTCCTAAAAACAAAGAGTTAAGTTGCTTTTAAAAATTAAAAAATATATATACATTATTTTTATTATTTTAAAAGTATGGAAATTTTTTAGTCACTGGGGAAAGGAGGGGAAAGCATTTATTTTTACATAGTTACTTAATTACCTCCAAAACACAAATTTTGGAAATCATATTTGCTGGTGCAAGTATTTTAATGAACAAGAATCCATATATTGAGGTTATGATTAGAGAGCTCAATGTATGCATTTGCCATCTTGCTTAAGCTCGGCAGAGCATGAAAACCTAAGTTTATTCCCAAAGTATATAACTTCAAATAAAAAAAAAACTTCAAGTTCCAGCCACACACTCTCTCTCTCGCTCCGTACCTCCCTCTTCATCGTCTCTCTATATATCTTACATACTTTAAAGCCCCAGCCAGGTGCAGTGGCTCACACTTGTAATCCCAGCACTTTGGGAGGCTGAGGCAGGTGGATCACCTGAGGTCAGGAGTTCAAGACCAGCCTGGCCAAGATGGCAAAACCCCATCTCTACTAAAAATACAAAAATTAGCTGGGCATGGTGGCACGCCTGTAATCCCAGCTATTTGGGAGGCTGAAGTAGGAGAATTGTTAGAACCCGGGAGGTGGAGGTTGCAGTGAGCCGAGATCACGCCACTGCACTCAGCCTGGGGACAGAGCGAGACTCTGTCTTAAATAAATAAATGAATAAATACAATAAAATAAAGTTCCACTTCACTTCTCAAATGGGACTTCTGATTAACATTTTGGTTTGTAAACCAGGGAATAACTCCTACATTTTATTCATTCAGGGAGAACAGACTATATGCTGGGTCATATGTTATGTTCATATTTTCTCTGACTCTCATTCATGAAGATGTCTGCCTTTCATTAATTTGTTTTCTTGTCACTCTGTGAAAACATAACTTCAAGACTCACAGACACTGAAAAATACTATTTTTCAACCACTAATTTCTAACGTTGGTGAAGGCAAGCTTCATTTCCCCCAGGAAGCTTTCACTTTGAAGATACAAACTACCTGAGTGGAACAGGAGTTTTATCTTCACTTTGGAGCTCTAGAGGACCATAGATAGAATCTAGTCCAACATTACAGATAAAGAAACTGAGGCCTAGAGGAGACAGGTGACTTGTAGAAAGGTCCTACAGGGAGTAGAAGAACCCGAACCCACATGCAGTCCACCTAACTCTGAGACCGGGTCACACTGACAATGCCATGTCCACCTTCATTACAGCACAAAATTCAGGGAATGGGGAGCATCTATAGAGCTCTTGGGAAATAAAACACCAAAGCTTACAGATCCACTGATGAACCCAGTGCTGCATTTATAGACCCACGTTAAGGGTCAAGCACACACGTCAGCTAGTGAAGAAAAGAAATTCTGACCTGGACAGAGTACATTAGCATCCTTATAGTTTCATTTGCTAAATAAGTCTCTTCTAAGCTCAAAACTGAAGAACCTCCAGGA
Organism: Homo sapiens; assembly: GCF_000001405.40. Classification (NCBI taxonomy): domain Eukaryota; kingdom Metazoa; phylum Chordata; class Mammalia; order Primates; family Hominidae; genus Homo; species Homo sapiens. Next base: position 41,805,124 of record NC_000009.12, on the reverse strand, counting down.
ATTATGAGAGGTTTTGAAGAGAAATTGTAATTACTTGGGCCTTGATGAAAAGGATGAAAAAAGGTCTTTAATAGTTTTGTGAAAGAACAAGAGGATTTTGTTCATGGCCATAAAAACTAAACTCAGCAAAGGAGAAAACATAAGGCAATGGAGAAAAAACAGCCTTCTCAACAAACGGTACTGAAACAACGGGACATCCACATGAAAAAATGAGTCTAGACAAAGACCTTATAAGCTTTGCAAAAACTAACTCAGAGTAGATCATAGACCTAAATGTAACATGCAAAACTGTAAAATCCTAGAGGATAACATCAGAGAAAACCTGGATGACCCTGGATACGGTGATGACTTTGCAGATGATCCAGGAATTGCACTCCTTGCTATTTACCCAAAGGAGTTGAAAACTTATGTGCACACAAATACATTCACACAGACATTTATAGCAGCTTTACTCACATTTGCCAAAATATGGAAGAAACCAAGATGTCCTTCATTAACTGGCTGAATAAAAAAACTGTGGTACATTCAGGCAACACCAATGAAATAAATATTTTGTAAGCTAGAATTTATTAAAGTTAAAAACTGGCTGTGCTTGGTGGCTCATGCCTGTAATCCCAGAATTTTGGGAGGCCAAGGTGGGTGGATCACCTGAGGTCAGGAGTTCAAGACAAGCCTGGCCAACATGGTGAAACCCTGTCTCTATTAAATATACAAAAATTAGCTAGGTGTGGTGGCCGGCACCTGTAGTCCCAGCTACTCAAGAAGCCGAGGCAGGAGAATTGCTTGAATCCGGGAGGTGGAGGTTGAGTGAGCTGAGACACCACCACTGCCCTCTGGCCTTGGCGACAAAGCAAGACTCCATCTAAAAAAAAAAAAAAAACCATAGATACTATGAGAATGAGAAGACAAGTCACAAACTGGGACAAAGTATATTCAAAAGTCATGTCTGATAGAGGACTGTTATCTGAGTTATATAAAGGACACTTAAAGCTCAACAATAAGAAAACTAACAACCCGATTTTTAAAAGGGCAGAAGACCTGAAAAGATGCCTCATCCAAGAAGATATACAGATGGCAAATGAGTATATGAAAAGATGTACAACATCATATGTCACTGGAAATTGCAAATCAAAACAACAGTGAGACACCACTACACACCTATTAGAATGGCTTAAATCCAAAACACTGACAACACTAAAAACTGGCAAGGATGTGAAGCAACAGGAATTTTCATTCATTTCTGGGCAATGCAAAATAGTACAGCCACTTTAGAAGAGAGTTTGGCAGTTTTAAAAAAACTAGGCCAGGCGCGGTGGCTCACGCCTGTAATCCCAGCACTTTGGGAGGCGGAGGCGGGCAGATCACGAGGTCAGGAGATCGAGACCATCCTGGCTAACACGGTGAAACACCATCTCTACTAAAAATACAAAAAAAATAGCTGGGTGTGGTGGTGGGTGCCTGTAGTCCCAGCTGCTGGGGAGGCTGAGGCAGAATGGCGTGAACCCGGGAAGGCGGAGCTTGCAGTGAGCCGAGATCGCACCACTGCACTCCAGCCTGGGCGACAGAGTGAGACTCCGTCTCAAAAAAAAAAACAAAAAAAAACTGAACATATTCTTACCAGATGATTTAGCAATTGCATTCCTTGATATTTCCCCAAAGGAGGTGAATACTTGGGTCCACACAAAAACCTGCACACAGATGTTTACAGCAGTTTTATTCATAATTGCCAAAATGTGGAAGCAATCAAGACAACCTTCAGTAGCTGAATGGATAAATAATCTGTGGTACATCCAGACAATGGAATATTATTCAACCTAAAAAGATGAGACCTATCAAGCCATGAAAAGACATCAAGAAACCCTAAGTGGACATTACTAAGTAAAAGAAACCCAATCTGAAAAGGCTAACTACTTTTGATTCTAAGTGTATGGCATTCTGGAAAAGGCAAAACTTTGGAGACAGTAAAAAGATCAGCATTTGCCACTTGTTAGGGAGGAGGGAGAGATGAATAGACAAAGCACAGAGGCTTCTGGGGCACTGGAACTATTCTGTATAATACTATAACGGTGGATACATGTCACTACACCTTTGTCAAAACCTATATTAGGTACAACGCCAAGATTAAAATCTGTTGCAAACTATAGACTTTGGATGATAATGATGTATCCATGTAAGTTGGTTGTGACAAGTGTACCACTCTGGTGAGGGGTGCTGATTGATCACGGGGGGAGGCAGTGCGTGTGTGGAGGCATAGGGTATATGAGAATTCTCTGTACTTTCCACTCTGTTTTGCTGTGAAACTAAAACTATTCTGTAGAATAAAGTGTATTGTTTTTCTTAAAAAGGTAAACTTAGCTTAAACCTAATATGAGACTTAATCATTATCAAAAAAAGGGAAAATGCTTCCAATTGAGAATTCCTGGAATTTACTGGTGTTTAGTAAAATTAAAGGCCAATGATGAAGAAAGTTAAGGTCTGCCACAGGCTGGATATCTTGCAATGACTTTCTTTATAGCTAGTGTATTTTGAAAAGTAAAAGAACTTTATGGGTAGTGAAAACTTAATGAAAATTGCAACTGTCTCATTAGATGGTATCACAGGCATTTAGGTATATTCAAAGGTCTATGGTTGGGCCGGGTGAGGTGGCTCATGCCTGTAATCCCAGCACTTTGGGAGGCCCAGGTGGGCGGATCACGAGGTGAGGAGATCGAGACCATCCTAGCTAACATAGTGAAACCCCCGTCTCTGCTAAAAATATACAAAAATTAGTGAGCAGAGATCCCGCCACTGCACTCCAGCCTGGGCGATAGAGCGAGACTCCGTCTTAAAATAAATAAATAAATAGATAAACAAAGGTCTATGGTTTACTAAAAGAATGATATTCCAATTCAATTATATTTAACGTTTTGGTGAAACATATTTTTAAAAACATGAACCAATAAAACCAAACAGTTTTACTTTAAAAAGTACAAGTTAACTAAGCATGCTAACACATTTCTCAAGAGATGGATGAAACCCCACACCTAGCGGGGTCTAGCCAAAAAAAAAAAAAAAAAAAAAAGAAGTGCCCATTTTTAGGAATAAAAAGTATTTACCCCAGTCTTTTTTTTTTGTTTTGATAAGGAGTCTGGCTCTGTCGTCCAGGCTGGAGTGCAGTGGCGGGATCTCAGCTCACTGCAAGCTCTGCCTCCTGGGCTCACGCCGTTCTCCTGCCTCAGCCTCCCTACCCCAGTCTTTACTATTTAATACAAGATGTCTAGATTTAAAATGAATTACAAGCTACACAAAAAGGCAAGAAACAACCCATTTCCAAGTGGCCGAGCAATCATCAAAACCACACTCAACACTCAGCTCTGACACAAGTGTTTGTTAGAATTTTCTGATAGAAAATTTAAAAACAACTGTAATTAATATGGTAAAAGCGCTAATGAATAAACTGGCACCATGCAAAATCAGATGAGTAATTTCAGCAGAGATATGGAAACTATAATATGAATAAAATGGAAATGCTAGAAATAAAACTTTGGTAACAGAGATAAAGAATTCCTTTGATAGACTCGTCAATAGACTTCATGTAGCCAAGGAAAGACTCTTGCGCTTAAGAAGGGAATCAATAGAACTCGCCCAAATTGAAATACAGAGGAAAACAAGAATGGGGAAAAAATAGAACAGAGCATTCAAGAACTAGGGATATCTATTCCATATTATTAAACAATCTAGTACAGATATAATTGGAATCTGAGAGACATATGTGAAGAAGTAATGTCCAAGAATATTCCAGAAGTTAACAACAGACTGGAAACCACAAATCCAAGAAAATTGGAGAACATCAAACAGGGAAAATAAAACATAACAACTTGGGTATATAATTGTCAAGCTATTAAAAACAAAAGGCTTCTTCTCCAGATTTCTATACGTTTTTAAGGAATTAAAGGAAAGGCCTTCCGAAGAAACCATAAAAGCCATTACTTTCTTTTGCAAAGGACAAAACTTAAACAAAGAACTAACTTAAACATGAAGAGGAATTGACTGGCTCATATAAATGAAAAGTAAGATATATTTTCTAATCCAGAATATTTCTGGATTCAGGAATTAAATAGTATCATCAGGATTGTGTGATTCTGTTGCTGACATCTGCCTTTCACCCTGCTGGGGCTCAGAAACCCATACACCAAAATACAGTGCTTTGACATGATGAACTCCAGAAGAAGCTTCAAGGTCTCTCTTTTTTTTTTTTTTTTTTTTTTGAGACGGAGTCTCGCTCTGTCACCCAGGCTGGAGTGCAGTGGCACGATCTCCTCTTACTACAAGCTCCACCTCCCAGGTTCACGCCATTCTCCTGCCTCAGCCTCCTGAGTAGCTGGGACTACAGGCGCCCGTCACCACACCCTGCTAATTTTTTGTATTTTTAGTAGAGACGGGGTTTCACTGTGTTAGCCAGGATGGTCTCGATCTCCTGACCTTGTGATCCGCCCGCCTCAGCCTCCCAAACTGCTGGGATTACAGGTGTGAGCCACCACGCTCAGCCACTTCAAGGTCTCTTTGACCTTCCCTCCTCTCCTTTCTCTCCCAAAGCACAAGATAAAGTTGTTCTCTGAAGTTTCTTTATAGGCCTAAAGTATGGAACTAACATAGAAGAAAACAATTACCTCTGGTATTCTCCCTGAGTTTTCCTTAACTGAAATCGTATTGAAGGAAGAAAGACTGAAGTCTGCCAACATATCTGGACAGACTTTTGTCACAAACCATTGTCTGCTCTGCGGGCCCGACACACTTGGTCCCAGGTCATTGTATGTTCTTCAAACCCATTGAATCTCCCCCAAAATTATTTACTACCCCTCTAAAATCATTCACACTTCCCTACTTCTCTTTCCCTTAATAAGAGTGAATAATCACCTGTACCCTAATTTGTGGTGGAGCAATCATTCTGTGATTCTCTCATATACCCTAGTAAATGTATATGCCATTTATCTCACTAATCTGCCTTTTGTGAGTTGATTTTTCAGTCAATCTACTGAAGGCAAAAAGATAAGCTTTCCCTTGGCCCCTAACTCTATTGGTCAATAGAGTGTGATACTGAAGGATATGATACAGAATCAAAAATCAATGGTTAGATCATGTCATAGATCCTCCACTTTGATCAATATAGCTTTAAATTCTCTGGGAGTGATTCTTAACTAATGAGGGTCATCAGAGTCACATGGGAACAATTTCTGAAGACAGATTCCAAGATCATATGAATACAAGAATAGGGCTTGAAGATGCACATTCCCAAAATCTCTTCATGGAATTCTGATGACTTCCCTTTTTGTAAACTAGGTTTTTTGAACCCTGTCTACCTCTTAATGTCTATCCAAGAGAAGACAAGATAAAGACCTTTGAAATAATGCTTAAGATTTGCATAATCAGCCAGGTGCAGTGGCTCATGCCTGTAATCCCAGCACTTTGGGAGGCCTAGGTGGGAGGATCTCAAGGTCGGGAGATTGAGACCATCCTGGCCAACACAGTGAAACCCTGTCTCTACTGAAAATACAAAAACAAAAAAATTAGCCGGGTGTGGTGGCTGGCACCTGTGGTCCCAGCTACTCGGGAGGCTGAGGCAGGAGCATGGCATGAACCTGGGAGGCAGAGCTTGCAGTGAGCCAAGATCGCGCCACTGCACTCCAGCCTGGGAGACACAGCGAGAGTCCGCCTCAAAAAAAAAAAAAAAAAAAAAGATTTGCATAATGTTAATCATTGTCTATCTATGCAGATTCTATTAACAGTTTCCGGAAAAGCAACCTGTTCTGGATGTTATTACATGTTTAAATTAAAGGAGCTCTCTTCTTTTAAAAGAAACAGAACCAAGAACCAGTGACTTTCAGAGAATTATTAACTCTCCAACAATAGCCCCTGCCAAAAGTAATGTGACATGAGAGTCTAGAAATTATTTTCTACACTGAAATAAAATTTGCATTATACTGGCAATAAACTATTTCTAGATGCATGAAAGCATCTGCATAGTCAAAAGGCTTAGGGAAGTCTCTCCTGGAGAAAAGCATCCCCAGATGAACGTACTTCCTCTGTAATGGGTGATGGGCAGAACAGAAACACCTGAGCACGGGACTGGAGGTGAAAAGTCATCTGTGGGACTGATTAGATTTGGAATCTTGGAAGTTACAAGTCATTTATGAAGTCTCAGATTACCATATGTAAAATGAAGGGTTTTTAATGAATGGCTGCCATCTAGAGTTTCCATTCACAAGTGTTCTTAAATGTGCTGATTCTAATTGGGGATAGAAAGATAAGCCCTTGACTTCCTCCCCGAGCCCCTGATTTTTGCTAGCCTGTTGCTTTTCTCTGTACTAATTTCCTCTTCCACAGTTTTTATAACAACAGTGTTAAAAAGGCTAATTGGCTGGAGAAGTATGGCAGATAGCGTGAATTCCAATGGAAGAGCCAATAAGAAGACACTTTACAGAGGAGTTGACTGATGAGCACAGGGACCTTGGGAGCTCTAAGCATGCCAAAAGTTTAGGTTGTAAGAAGGAAGGTTTAGCAAACAGAAGATTTCAAGGGCTTTGTGGTCTGTGTTAAGGGTTTTGGGGTTTATCCTATGGAGCCACAGGGATGAAATGGAAACCATTACACTCCCTCTGCCTCTCTTGGTTCATGTGTCCAAAAATGACCAACTCAAGCTCCAGTGCCTCTTGCCTGATGCCTTCCTTCATCACTTGCTGGATACACTGTCCTTAAACAGTGACTTTGTCACGCTTTCATTTTTAAAAAACATATTCCTAATGTAGAGAGTCTGGAGAGGAGCAATGGTAAAGGCAAGAAAATGAGTTTGCAAATTGTTGTAAATGATTCATAAAATAGATATTGATGTTGTTAATTAAGGCAGTAGCCTGGGATAAAGAGTCGTCCATGAGTTTAAGAGATGTTAAGAAGGTAGAGTAAGCAGTACTTTCTTTTTTTTTTTTTTTTTTTTTTGAGACGGAGTCTTGCTCTGTCACCCAGGCTGGAGTGCAGTGGCACGATCTCAGCTCACTACAACCTCTGCCTCCTGGGTTCAAGCAATTCTCCTGCCTCAGCCTCCCGAGCAGCTAGGACTACAGTCGCACACCACCACGCCCGGCTAACTTTTGTATTTTTAGTAGAGACGGGGTTTCACCATATTGCCCATGCTGGTCTCGAACTCCTGACCTCATGATCCACCCGCCTCGGCCTCCCAAAGTGGTGGGATTACAGGCGTGAGCCACTGCGCCCAGCCAGTATTTTCTTATTAACTGAATATCGAGGTAGAGGATGAGTGGCAGGAGAGATAGTGAAAAAAAGCTCAGGGTAACTCCAGGTCTGACTTACATAACTGAAGGGACATAATGCCATTTATTAAAACAGGGATGTCTGCAAATTATTTGATTGAGGAAACAGAGAAAATGAGTTCAGTTTTGCATATTTGTTTTTGAGACGTTTGTCTTTGGTGCTTAACTATTTGTATAGCATTTGCCCAGGAGATAGAACTGGCCAGAGATTTGGGGTTATCGCCAACTGAGACCAATAAGTAGTTTAGATCCTCACTATTCAAAGTGTGGTGTATGGCCCAGGAGCATGGACATCATTTGAAAGCTTGTTTGAAATGCGCGATTTCATCCTTCATCCCAGACCTATTGAATAAGAATATGCATTTTAAGATTCTCAGATAATTTATATGTACATTAAAATTGGAAACCACTGGTTTACATTACTCAGAATAATACATTGTGAAAAATAAGCTCAAGGATGGAACATGAGAGACATCACATTCAAGAAGCAGGCAGGAAGAATGGTTAGCAATGGAGACCAAGGAGGCACATTCAGAGACCTAAGAGGGTGTGGAAAAACGGTATCATGGAAGCCAGGGAAAGACAGGGTTACAAGATGAAAGGCTTAACACCTGAAAATTCCAGAGTCAGATGAGCTTGGATCTGACTACTGAGGAATTGACGGCTTCAATGTTTATAAAAGTGCGTAGACCCAAGGAAGTGGGTGGAGACCTGACAAGGAAGTGATGGAAGACTTTTTTTTTGGAGAAGTTTGGCCTTGAAGAGGTAATGGCCATGGCTGAGGGAGAGAGTGGGTGGATAGAAAGCAAGGTCTGAAATGTAGAATTGGTTTTTCTCTTCACAGGAAAAAATGTTGATCATGTTTATAAATTGAAAAGATTAAAAATATATGAAAGGGAAGACTGATGTTAATAATTGGACAGCATCTTGATTATGACTGAGTAAACAATGTGAGGATGGACTGCCTTTGAGCAGAAGGGTTTTTCCCTCCAAGCCTTCTCAGGTTAGAAGACAAGAACGTGAGCGTGATTGCATGCAAATATGGGTAATATCTTGATGTGGTTGGTTGTTTTAGAGCATGGCAATGGAGAGACTTTCTGGCTGATAATCAAATTTTCTTTGTGAATGAAAGGCAAAATCTTCTGAGGGGTGGTGAAGATTTGGTACAGCCATAGGAGAAATGGAAGAGGATGCTGAAAGTTCTGCAAAGCTGCTCCCGTGGCTGTAAATCATGAGCACCAACCTCACTTGGTGGGTGAATTCTTGTGGCAACACTCTATAGCCCAGGGACAGGAACGGGAAAAGTCATGGTTGTTTTGATCCAGTTTGAAAGTTGGAGTGTTATGGGTTGAAGCATGTGGAGAGTGCTGATGAACACGATCAGAACCAAAGAGAACAAATTGAAGCTTTGAGGGGGAAACTTGAAAGGGAGTGGAGGGACTGGCAGGATAAGTGAGATGAAAGTGGACACAGTTTAGAGTTTAGAATTTAGAAGGGAATTAGTTCTCAGTACTGGTACCACCTAGTGTGGGGTGGGTAAAGAGACCAGTGAGGGAAACTGAATATAATAGGGTTTCAAGTTACAATCCTGTCAGAATCAGTTTAGAAGTCATCTTCCAGACTCCAGTAGCCAAGAGACTTCACATCCGAGGCAGGAAAATCTCTGAAAGTATGAGTTCCAGTTTTCTTGTTTCTTATCACCTGCCTTTGAGTGAGTCATGTCACTCAAAGGCAGGTGACGAGGACTTGGAGACACTTGGAGTTCAATGGGCCTGACCCACTGAGTTGCAGATAAAAATTCACTTCTTTATTTAATTCTTAACCAATTAAATATGCAGTGAGTATGTAGGGTACTCAAAAATGTATTTCAACAGTCATCAGAGCTGCTATAAAGACCACTGAAATATGTCTTAATTATCACAGTTTGTCTAAGAAGACAAGGCTAACACATTTGAAATACGTACAAGAGACTACATAATTACAGGTAATTGCCAAATTATAAATATTGACTATGGGACAGGAGCAGTGGCTCACACCTGTAATTCCAGCACTTTGGGAGGCTGAGACGTGCAGATCATGAGGTCAGGAGATTGAGACCATGCTGGCTAACATGGTGAAACCCCGTCTCTACTAAAAATACCAAAAAAAGTTAGCCAGGTGTGGTGGCGTGCACCTGCAGTCCCAGCTACTTGGGAGACTAAGGCAGGAGAATGGCATGAACCTGGGAGGCAGAGCTTGCAGTGAGCTGAGATCATGCCACTGCACTCCAGCCTGGTGACAGAGTGAGACTCCATATCAAAAAAAATAAAAAATAAATAAATAAATAAATATTGACTCTGCAAGTTATAGGAGGTTATAGGAGTTCATGTGACTAAGTAAATCAAGGGGAGGAGTGTAATCAAGGCATCTGTCCCCCTGATAGGTAGACTTTGAATGGGTAGAGGAAATAAGAATGGGCAGGCATCTAAGACAGGCCAAATGCCCCAAGGCATAAATGAACATGGTATGTTTGTGTGGAAGAAAAGGGATGGGCCAAATAGATCTGAGGTGCTGAGTTGAAGTGTGTCAAATGATGCTTCTGTAAGGTGTGATAAGGTCAGATTATAGAAGGCTGTGCTAACCTAATGGAGAGAAAAGCTCACAGATAATAAAATGAGGGAGTCACTAGGTCTAAGCAGAGATAAAGAAATACAAACTTTCACAGATTATAAGCAATAGAAGATATTCTTTAAAAAATTAAATGCATACAAATGAAAATATCTGCATAAGAAGACTAGAGCTATATAAGGAACACAACGAAGTTGGGAAATATTGTGAATAATACTACCATCATGAAGACAACTCTCTATATTAAGTAAGTTATTTCAAAAAATAGGAGGAAATTCAAGAGCAGTAAAAAACAAAAGGAAAAAACTCTATTGTCAAGATCACATATGAGGTAATGTAAATAGTTTAAAAAGTGGGAAAAATTTTATCTATCTAATAACCATAGACATGCAAGTTACAGTAGTTCAAAGCACCATTTTATGTCTAATTACTAATAAAATCTCTCTGAAAAGATAAGCCTTTCCTGGCAGTCCTGTGGAGAACGGGATGCATCATGTGCTACTTGTGACCTTGTAACCTAATGGATGCATTCAGAAAGTAACATACAGATGCTATATAATTTGTAAAAATGTCATCCTCCTTTAACTAATATCTCACTACCAGGAATTTATCCTAAGACAAGATTTTTTTTCTTTTTTTTGAGACAGAGTCTCACTCTGTCACCCAGGCTGGAGTGCAGTGGCGCAATCTCCACTCACCGCAACCTCTGCCTCCTGGGTTCACACGATTCTCCAGCCTCAGCCGCCTGAGTAGCTGTGATTACAGGCGCCCGCCACCACACCCGGCTAATTTTTTGTGTTTTTAGTAGAGACGGGGTTTCACTGTGTTAGCCAGAATGTTCTCGATCAATCTCCTGACCTTGTGACCTCCGCCTCCCAAAGTGCTGGGATTACAGGTGTGAGCCACAGCGCCCGGGCGTTTTCGCTTGTTCAAGTGATTCTCCTGCCTCAGCCTCCTGAGTAGCTGGGATTACAGGCACGTGCCACCATGCCTGGCTAATTTTTGTATTTTAGTAGTAACGGAGTTTCACTATGTTGGTCAGGATTTTCTCGATCTCCTGACCTCGTGATCCGCCCGACTCAGCCTCCCAAAGTGCTGGGATTACAGGCGTGAGCCACCGTGCCCGCCGGCCATTTTTTTAAAATTATGTTTACAAGACGTTCAATGTTACATCGAAAAAGTGAAAACAGTCTAAATATCCAAGAGTAAGAAAATAGTTAAGAAAATTTTAACACCCAACATGAGGCGATAAGCTTCTGTTGTTATTAAATGTAATAAATATGAACATTTGTCAAACATGGACATGACAAATACATAGAAAAAACAAGATATAAATCTATATGTTCAATATTATTGGACATAGGTAGCATACGTCTAAACATAGAGAATCAAGCACTACAATAGGAGTGGGAAATGCAAGCTTCCTTTCTTAATGTCAGATGCCTGAGAAGAGAACACCCCCAGAGGATCACGGTGTCTGAAGAGATTACTCTGGCATTCTACCAGGACCGTCCCTCCATTTTCTTCTCTTCTTTATTTTGGTCTGAAAAGCCCTTTTCCTACCTATTTTATTTTTCTTCTGTATAGCATCAGAAGTATCTTCTTATTTATGTTGAATTTTGCATAGGATTTTATTTTAGGATGTATTTTCAATCTCAGTTTGTTTTCCTAGCTCAACATGTTTTGTTTGTTTTTGAAAATTCATTTTACTTATTTTTGTAACTCTGATTTTGAGTCACTACTGAGGATGCCATAGTATTTTTTTTTTTTTTGAGATGGAGTCTCATTCTGTCACCCAGGCTGCAGTGCAGTGGCACGATCTCGGCTCACTGCAAGCTCCACCTCCCAGGTTCACGCCATTCTCCTGCCTCAGCCTCCCGAGTAGCTGGGACTACAGGCACCCACCACCACGCCTGGCTAATTTTTTGTATTTTTAGTAGAGACGGGGTTTCACCGTGTTAGCCAGGATGGTCTCGATCACCCGACCTCACGATCTGCCGGCCTCGGCCTCCCAAAGTGCTGGGATTACAGGCGTGAGCCCCCTTGCCTGGCCCATAGTATGTTTTATAAGTGTTCTGAAATCAAGTAATAAGAGTTTTTTTTAATGAAGGTGAGATAAGTTTCTGGCAAATATAGAACTTGAGAATTAATGAAGTGTATACTTCTCATTTTCTACTCTAACCTTTTGAAATTAATACAATTTTAACATGAAATATTTCCATGAAATTACAAGAGAACTTTGATGTTTGTTTCTGCATTCTGGGCTCCCAGAAACATGGTGTAGCATGGTCTGACCTGCATATCTTTGGAAATTTATAATAGGTTTCATTGTCTGATCTTAACCAAAACCCAATCCTTAATAAAATAGCCCAGTATATATATGGTTTTTTTCCTCTACTAAATGAATTACAATTCTCTGCTAGCTACCAGCACAGGGAAAATTAAAGAGAAAACCTTTCTTTCCTTACAGTGCATGAATTCTACCAGTGTGGAAGAGTGAGAAGAACCCAAGCTTCAGAGTTTTACAGCCACAGGATCAGATTTTAGTCTATTCCACTACCCAAAACTAGGCAAGTTTTCTGGGGTCATCTAGCCTCTATGACCTCATCGGTAACAACAGGCTTCACTGTGGCTTAAGTGAGATAATGAGTAGAAATGGAATGGTTTGGGCCAGGCACAGTGGTTCACGCCTGTAATCCCAGCACTTTGGGAGGCTGAGGTGGGCAGATCACCTGAGGTCGAGAGTTTGAGGCCAGCCTGACCAACATGGAGAAACCCCATCTCTACTAAAAATAGAAAATTAGCCGGGCATGGTGGCATATGCCTGTAATCCCAGCTACTCAGGAGGCTGAGGCAGGAGAATCGTTTGAACCCAGGAGGCGGAGGTTGTGGTGAGCTGAGATTGTGCCATTCCACTCCAGCCTGTGCAACAGGAGCGAAACTCCATCAAGAAAGAAAGGAAGGAAGGAAGGAAGGAAGGAAGGAAGGAAGGAAGGAAGGAAGGAAAAAAAAAAAAAGAAATGTAATAGTCTGGTAGGGTGATTCCCAAACTGCTGCACATTAGAATGAAGTGGGAAGCTTTTAGAAACACAGCGTCCACATTGCACGCAACATCCATGAAGTCAAAATATTAGGCATGGGAACCAGGCATCAACAGTTTTTAAAGATCCAAGATGATTCCATTGTGCAGCAAAATTTGGAAACCAGTGCCTAGCACAAAGCAGGTACTCAGCAAAAGTCAACTTTCTTTATCTTTCAATGTGTCGTGTATTTGCCAGCTTTCGGGTAGCACTTCCTTATCTTCAATCCTTAAAACTCTGCAGCAGAGTGGCACTGCATAGGTAAATGCTACACTGACATCTTGCTGCATGCCGCACTTTACTGCAGTGGAAAATAATGAGGAGCTAGCCAATACCCATTATTAAAGTGTCACACAAGTGTTTCATCCCATCCAGTCACATTTTTCAGGGGCTTCCAATTCACACTTTCGTAAATGCGGCCGTTTCCTCTTCCTGTGACTTAGATGAGATGGAAACAGACATGCTCTCAAGTATCATATTAGCTTTTTTTCAGAACTTCTTTAGTTTTCTGATGAGGCATCTTTGCCTCCTATAAATGCACTTTAGACCCTGCTATACAGAAAAGTAAATTTTCTTACAACTGGTCTGAAGCATATGTATTATTCTTTTAGATCTGATGTATCAAATGCCCACGGCCCTAGGTATGCCTGTGTTTCTTTAATCTATAATGATCATTTTATACAATGTTCTGGCACCTTGCCCAGCACACTCCTTTACCTATAGCAGGTTTAGCAGGCTGGGTAATTGCCCCTTTTAAAGTTGTCTGCACTCAACACTGCCCTGTCTGGTAAATGCAATTAGAAGCAAATCCTTGGGTGTATCACCCCAGACTTTTTATTAAGCTCATATGGCATTCTCACTGCCACTATTTCTCACCAGGTTGCTCATTAACCACGGGCAGCCAAAGGTCTGGATCATATCAGACGGTGACTTTCCAACCCATGAGACTCCCTTGTTCACCTTAAATATAAACCACATAGAGAAGAAACTGGGGATTTGCATGCCTGAAAGCTGACGGTGGCCATAACAAAAGCAATAAACAGAAATCCTAGAGATAGTGATGACAGAAGAAATGTCAAGGAGTTAGAGGGAGCACTTTGTGTTGGCATTGAAAGCAGCCAGAAGAAGACTCAGAGTGAGACAGAAGTTGACTCATGCAACAAACCTTCACCACTGACAGTCAAAGAAAATGACTGAGGAGCGTCTCAATCATGTTAGAGGTTTATTTTGACAAGGTTAAGAACGCACCCGGGAAAAAGGAACACAAAACCACAAGAACAATCTGTGATCCATGCTTTTTCTGAAGAGGGCCTGCGAATTTTAGTATTTAATGGGAAAGAGCAAGCAGTAGGAGAAAGAGGAAGAAAAGAAAAAAGGGGAAGGGTAGATAAAAGGGGCAGGCAGTTGCATTCTGTTGAGTCTTTGATCAGTGTGCACTGAATCCACATTTCACATGTCAAAGGAAGGGGTAGAGAAATAGTCAATTATGCATTCATCTCACACTCAGTGAATTTGCATTTTTACATAAGATAAAATAAACATAAAGTAGAGGAAGTAATCAGATATGCATTTGTGAACCCAGAAAATCTGAGACAGGTCTCAGTTAATTTAGAAAGTTTATTTTGCCAAGGTTGAGGACGCATCCATGACAGCCTCAGGAGGTCCTGATAGCATGTGCCCAAGGCAGTTGGGGCACAGCTTGATTTTTACATTTAGGGAGACATGAGACATCAATCAATAGATATAAGAAGTACATTGGTTGGGTCTGGAAAGGCAGAACAACTGGAAGCAAAGGCAGGAAGACTCAAAGCTGGGAGGGAGCTTCCAGGTCACAGATAGGTGAGACACAAACAGTTACATTCTTTTCAGTTTCTGATTAGCCTTTCCAAAGGAAGTAATCAGATATGACTCCTTTGGTGCCGGGCGGCGGGTGGGGGGAGCTTTTAGTTCTATCCTTTGTCCTTTGTTCCGGGATCTGTGAAGATAGCTGTTCTCTTGCATTTTCTGGGTGAAATTCAACAGAACTGTTTTAGGGTAAAGATCTTGGGACCCACAAAGAATTTCGTTTTGAGCAAATTGTGAGAGAGGCATGTATCCTTTTAAATCTGTAGCTGTCTTATTTGGGAACAAAATGGGAGGCTGGTTGGCATGACCCAGTTCTCAGCTTGACTGTTCCCTTCAGCTTAGTGAGTTTGGGGTCCAGAGATTTTATGTTCCTTTTACAGCACCCAGGAGGAACTGAGCATAAGCCTATTTCTCACAGCTTTGAGGAGCACTAACTGAAGTGCTCAGTTAGCAGCATTTGAATTAATTATTTCACAGCTCATCCTTAACCAAATTATTTTTAATATGATTCTAAAACTGGAGTTTTACGTTAAGCTTAGTATTTTGAGGTAATCTTAGCAGCAGGTGGACCTTAGCTCACTAAGAGCATGAGAGCTCTTAGTTACCTCACTCATCAGCGGCTTGGCTCCTCTTTCGGAAGGCATAAAGAACCTCATCCATCAGTGCCCACATACTCCTGTAAGGGCAGGCCCCTTTTCTTTGCTTCTGGGAAACATCCATCTGGTCCTGTATTGCTGTCGTTCCTTTTCTGTCTGTTTTCCTATGCAAACCAATCTGTCATTCTATTTTGTTGCCCCATTTCCAAGTCACTTGACCAGATGGATAACCACATAAAAATGGCTAAGTAATTTAAGCTTAAAAATTAGGAGCAGGAAATAATGTAAACTGGAATAGTAAGAAAATGCTGAAGGTGAGACTTGTGGAGGGCTGGCATTGTGGACATCTTTAAGATATAAGGCTTTATTATAACAGTCAAAGCAAAGGGGACACGTAATTAATACAAGACTTTTTATCAAAGAGGAAAAGCTGTCATTTTCTCAGGAATCTAATACTATTCTAAGACTTAGGTTTAAAATGTATCAGGAGTGCCTTCTAAGTGACTGTGGAAAGGGGGAAATAGTAACCATATATTTTGAATGAGTGATTCTAGATCTTGGCTTCTATTTTATGCCTACTCTTCTCCCCTTGTCTCTTGTAAACTCACTTACAACCAGATCATAATAATAAAACTAGAATGCAGAGCGGCCATACAGTACAGTGACTAAGCACGCCAGCTCTGAAGCCAGACCTTTTGGTTGAGATCTCAATACTGTTAATTTCCTCATTTGAAAGACCAGGGTAATATAATCCTTCAAGAGAGGGTTGTTATTAGGGTGGACCTGATAAATAGGGTGGACCATATAATTTGTCATACAGATGGATGCTTTAGAAAGTGCGATGATGTTTACTTGTCAAATTATTATCATGCTATTTTGACTATATTTTCTTATATGCTTTACTTGGAATATTTAAATTAGCCCATATGTAACTAGAGTCTAAAATCCATAGTTCAGGGAAATTGTGGTTGTATTTTGTCCCTTTAAAAAACACAGGGGCATTGGTGCCTAAATCATTGACCCCTGCAAAATGCAACAGGTTGCGTGGAAGTGAAACATAATGCCTCCAACCTGCTAGTTATTTACACATGTTGACCTAAGGAACACACAAGCCAGATATTCTTTAGGTTATCTCTTTTTATTGTTAGACCACTGAATGGCAAAGTACTTGGTATGCATTAGATTTATTTACTGTTAAAAGATTTTCAAGAAACTACAATTTAATAACATGTCCTTGATTTTTTTTCACGAGTTGAAATAATAAATATACAGTATCTATTCATCTATCCTGGAAAGTCCCTGATAAAAGCACTGCGTTTTCTTAATCAGTTTCCTTTTCTGCAGAATAAATTTCTGTTATGCTTCTTAATCAGCAAAATGACAAACAAATTGAGAAATAACCTCAAACTTAACAAAACAGAACAAAGTCTTCCCTGAAGGTCTTGGAGAACCACATGAGATCAGATCACAACCCAAGGTCTGCCCTGAGAAATGGGGAAAGCCAGGGACCTGCCACACCTCCCTTCCTCTTGTCTAACCGGAGAAGAGAAACTAAACTTAATTTTCATGATCTTACTATGTTAGCCTCATATGTAATCATCTTCTCTTTTGTCTAAATGGTTCCCTATTTTCACCTTATACTTAACTATCATATATAGGGCTTATGAATACATTTATCTCAGATCCCATTCAGAAGTTGTAAAGGAATACATTATTAATAAATCAAATATTTCTACATTACATGGAAGAAAGTGTGGAACAGTTAAGAGGATGGTTACTGGTCCCAAAGAGTCCAGAGTTTAAACCCTTACTCTATATTATCTACATGATCTGCGCATGTCGCTTATTTTTAATGAGTTTTAGTTTCCTCATTTGCAAACAGCGTGACACTTGTCCCAAAGGATTGAACTGAGGATTTAGTAAGATAACAGGTGTAGAGGGTGTCTTCACAGTGCTGGGCTCGTGTCAGGCCCTTGATAAATATTAATTCAATTCCCCTTCTCCTGCCCTACTACCATCCTTCGGCTCAGAGCAGCCAAAAGCTGGAAAAATAGGCTCCACCCAGAAACTGTAACAAGATAACGATAAAGCACAGTTGGATGTATCAGGGGTAATCTACTGAGTTATCCCTGTTTTAAACTATTGTGTTTGCTTCTGTGCATAGGAGAATCACCCCATGCTGAAGGGCAAGTGGAACATTTGCACAGTTGCCCTTGGGAACATGAACAACAATAGTTCCCTTAGCCAAGCCTAGGGCAGTGTGGAGATGAGGGGCACATGGGACGCAGGTCCCTCTGCTACAAGCTTGACTGCCATCGGAAGCTGGGAGACACCAAAGGGTGGCCCCAGGGGCTCTCTGTCATCTTATGGTGACTCAAAAAATGCACATTCCTGCATTGATAACAATGGGTATTTTTATTACATGAAAATCTATGTACTTACTATTTGTGTTCTTCCCAACATTCAACTGACTTTTCTACCTGATGCAAAATGCAGGAGGGCTGTTCACGACTTCTTCCTCTCTTCCTCTTCTCCTCCTATTCTTCCTCTTTCTTCTCCTTCCTTCCTCCTTCCCCTCCTACTGATGTTTTTATTTCTATCAACAAAAATGAGAAAAATCACTTTCAGTTACAAAGTAAGTCTGAAACTATATCAAAATAATTTAGATCTTTAGTAGATTGAGAAAAAACACATGAACTTTTTCAACTTGCAGGAATAAAAATGTCAAGATTATTAACTCTGTTCTTTATTTTTAGTGAACTATAAAAAGGTTTATTGATAATTTCTGTTGAGCAAGATGACTTCAGAGTTTATATCATCTAGGCCTTAAGATTTACTAGAATTTTAATGTATCATTCTAAAGATGTGCTCACAGAATACCCCTCAGTGTTGCTTGACCGATAAGGGTACACGCTACAAACACGTGGAGAAAAACGTGCAGAGCTGTTCGTGGAAGAAATTAGTGGCCATTTAAATTCCTCACTTACCAAAAAATTAATAGATTCCTTCATCCTAAAGAGTGCAAGTGTATTTTAGGTCCATGCCATAAATATTTAAAACTATCTCATCTTACTGAAAATTTATATAACACATGACCTTTGCAAAATTGCAACCTTTATTCTTCAAGCAAAAATTGGTTTCTGCTGGTCACCACAATGTGCTTCTTTTGGACACCATGTATAACTGAGATTGAATTGTAACTGTTAGCAGTGGAGAAAGCCTGCGGAAAATCAACTCAATTGAATTTTGTGTTCACAGATGCTTTGAGTTTTACAGAGTCTTATATTCCATTTTCAAGTGCATCATTCAGGACACAGGCCCATTTTCCATATCCTAGATCACCCAACCAGTCCAGGGCTATTTCAGAAACTTTCCTGAGCATATAATATAGACCAACGCTAGGTTGTAAACTAAGTATAAAATTCTAAGCCCCCCAACCAACTGAACAGAAACTTCTTGGCCAAGAGGACCCCAGAGAAAACTGAAAAGCTGTTTCTGGCCCTGAAAGAAAGGGAGGTCAGACACACCTCATCATACCTCCTCTGTTTTGGAGTTTGGACTCAACAAGTAACCAGCAGCGGTGTTAAAATAGAGATCCTAAGACTGACAGAACAGACCCTGTGTGGCCATAAGATAACAAATTATGAACAAGCCCTAAGGCCATGCAAGGCAGGTGTAAGTCAGGCCTGCAGGCCATCAGGCTTGCTAACCAGGGCATTTTATTGTGGCTGACTCTGACAGAGCATTCTTACCTTCCTTTCTGTCAACTCTAAGCTGTAGACAGGGCCTTACTCCTTTAACCAATCACAAACCAGAGAATCCCCAAGTCCACCTACAACCTATAAGACGTCTCCTGAAGATAATCCCCCTTTTTGAACCGAACCAGTGTATACCTTCCATGTGTTGATGTCTTTGCCTGTAACTCCTGCCTCCCTGAAATGTATAAAACCAAACCAATCCGGCCACCTCGGAACCACTTACTCAAGCCTTCTTGGTTGCGTGTTTTCTCCAGGCCTCAGTCACTCATATTGTTTCAGAATAAACCTCTTTAAAATATATTACAGTTTGTTTTATCCATTAACAAAGTCAAGCAATTAGTTCTTAGATCTGCAAATATAACTATTACTGCACTAAAATAGATTAATGAAAGAGGATATACTAGATAAAGGAATATGAATAGCACAAAATGTGGCACATTTGTGGAACACAGAAAAGGGATTCTATGAGTTAGCCAGTTAAAATAACTAAGGCCATGGCCATTTCACATCCCAGGTCCAGAATTTGAAAGATCAAAGTATCTCCATAAAAAAATATATATTTTCCCCTTCATGCTTGAAAATGCAATAGGCAATGTTATAGTAAAGTCAGGAAACATGAGTCTGTCTTATTTCATTTCGGACCCTGAGTTGGCTGTTTCACATCTTTCCACCAATTCACAGGTGTGACTTTAACTGTCACTCATACCCTGTACTTTTTTTTTTTTTTTTTTGAGATGGAGTCTTCCTTTGTTGCCAGGCTGGAGTGCAGTGGCGATCTTGACTCACTGCAACCTCCAACTTCCCAGATTCCAGCGATTCTCCTGCCTCAGCCTCGCAAGTAGCTGGGATTACAGGTTCATGCCACCATGCCCAGCTAATTTTTGTATTTTTAATAGAGACAGGCTTTCAGCGTACTGGCCAGGATGGTCTCGATCTCCTGACCTCGTGATCCGCCCACCTCAGCCTCCCAAAGTGCTGGAAATAAAGGAATGAGCCACTGCAACTGGCCGCCCTATTTACTTTTAAATATATATTTCCAGTCCAGACTTTTCTTCCATGCCCATACTTGAATATTCATGCATCTTCTGAATTGTTTCCACTTGGATTTTTCTCAGACACCTAAAATTCAGCCTGTCATCAATTCTATCCATCATTCTTCCAAATCCTCTTCCTGCCCCTGAGCTCCGCCTCCAAATGCCTAGCAGCATCATTCCCTCCTGACACTTCCTTCTTACCACCCCCCCACCTATGCCCTCCTGCCACAATTAAGCCTCCTACACCAGATGAGCTCTTTTCCTTTAGTGACACCACTGGCTTCCAGGGTCTGGTCAGCTGTCCGGCAGGAAGCAGCATAACCCAGACTGGCCCAGCATGAAATTCGGGTGTGGTGTTTTGTGCAGCAACACTCACAGGAGACGCTGTCCTCTGCCCGTCACAGCAGGGGACATGTCAGCTGTCCCTCCCAGGTGATGCTACATCCAGTCATGGGGGAAGGACTGTCGCCAGCTGCTCCTGCGTAAGTCCCCCTCCCCTTTGTAACTGGTGGTCCTAGGAGCGTGAATATCCTGTTCCCCAACAGCCCTTAACTCAATGGCTTTGGCACCCGAGTTAGTTGCCTGTGGCTGCTGTAACAGATTACCACAAACAACACAGGTGTGTTCTCTCCCAGCTCTGTAGACCGGAAGTCTAAAATGGGTCACACCGGGCTGAGATCGGTGTCGGCAGGGCTGCATTCCTTCTACCAGTGTTCCTGGGTACATGTGTGGCCCTTTCCTCCGTTTCCAAACCCCATCCCTCCAAGCTCCGCGTCCATCACTGCATCCCCTCCTCAGGCTCTGAACCTCCTGCCTCCCTCTTAAAAGGACCCTGAAGATCACCAGGGCCCACCTGGATAATCCAGGGTGGCCTCCCCATCTCCAGGTCCCTCACTTAGCCACATTTGCAAAGCCCCTCTTGCCATACAAGGGGACCTGTGATTACAGGTTCTGGGGCTTAGGATAGGCACTTGCCTTGGGGATGCTATTCAGCCGACTTCAACATCCGCTGCTGATCTTCACCTGAATGTGTTCATTCCAGGGGGAGTGCACAAATGGGGACTTTCAAACCCATCGCCTCTCCCAAGTTGGCTGGATTGTTCTAGGAGGAAGTGCTCCCTCCTTCTAGGGCCGCCATGGACTATACTGTTCATCCAATGCTCTTCATCCTATGTCTCAAATTTGGCCACCAGAGCCCCTTCCACCTGGCCTTTTTGGCCTGTTGAGGCATGCCCGTCTGTCCTCAAGTGCGTCCGCCCTCCTGGCGCGACGCGATCCATACTCTGGCTCATCCTGTGCCCACCTCCACCCAGATCTGGACTTAGGCCCCATCGTGCCGCACAGCTTCGGAAACCACCCGTGTGCCTGTGTGCTTGGGTAGCGCCAATGTTAGCTCCTTTCAGTGGTTAGAGACAGAAAATGGATTTTTTTTGAATTATGAGTTATTGCTGCCGCTTCCGGTCCAAGCACAAGCCCCCAGGAACCCTCTTTGTTTCCCGTTCCACATCCCTATCTCCCGCCTCCCAGCGAGAGAAAGAGTCCTGGTTCCGAGGAGGACCACCAAGCTGCTGGGGGTGACCAGCCCTTAATCCACAGACAGTGGTTTCAGACGACCACAGCAGCGCTCCTGCTGCGACAAAACCAGCCTGCGACGCGGAGCTGCGGGTCCCCACAGCCAGAGGCCCCTTCGAAAGCCACTTCCATTCTTGTTTCCATCTGGTGTTGCTGTCAATTGTTTTAGGTTCATTGATTTCTGTTTGAATTCAATGTTCAATTTTTTTGTGCTTGTCAATTTAATTCTATTTCTGAACGTGTAAACATTTACGTGTTTCAAAAGTCAACACATATGTAAAGGATTCTCTGACTTCTCACTCCACCCAGTCCTCCCACCTGGTGGTTATTTATGTGTGTGTGTAGTTTCTGTATGTAGTTTACATGTGTGTGTAGCTCGTGTGTATGGTTTATATTGTGTGTACAGTTTGTGTGTGTGGTTTATGTGCATGTGCATACTTTGCATATGTAGTTTATATGTGTGTAGTCTGTGTGTTTAGTTTATGTGTGTATAGTTTGCATGTGTAGTTTATATGTGTGTAGTTTATGTGTGTATACTTTGTGTGTGTGGTTTATATGTGTGTGTGTAGTTTGTGTGTGTATGATTTATATGAATGGGTAGTTTGTGTGTGAAGTTTATGTGTGTATAGTTTGTGTGTGTGGTTTATATGGGTGTGTATAGTTTGCATAGTTTGTATGTGTGTGTATAGTTTCTGTGTGCAGTTTATGTGTGTGTAGTTTGTGTGTGTGGTTTATATGTGTGTGTAGTTTGTGTGTGTATCATTTATATGAATGTGTAGTTTCTGAAGTTTATGTATGTGTAGTTTGTGTGTGTGGTTTATATGTGTGTGTAGAGTTTGTGTGTGTAGTTTGTGTGTGTGGTTTATATGTGTGTGTAGAGTTTGTGTGTGTAGTTTGTGTGTGATTTATGTGTGTGTAGTTTATGTATGTGTAGTTTGTGTGAGTGGTTTATATGTGTGTGTATAGTTTCTGTGTGTAGTTTATGTATGTGTAGTTTGTGTGTGTGGTTTATATGTGTATCATTTCTGTGTGTAGTTTACATGTGTGTACTTTGTGTGTGGGATTTATATGTGTGTGTATAGTTTGCATGTGTAGTTTATGTGTGTGTACTTTGTGTGTGTGATTTATATGTGTGTGTATAGTTTGTGTGTGCAGTTTACATGTGTGTACTTTGTGTGTGTGGTTTATATGTGTGTATAGTTTGTGTAGTTTATGAAAGTGTACTTTGTGTGTGTGGTTTATATGTGCGTGTAGTTTGTGTGTGTAGTTTATGTGTTTGTGTATAGTTTGTGTATGTGATTTATATATGTGTGTGTGGTTCGTGTGTACTTTATGTGTGTGTACTTTGTGTGTGTGGTTTATTTGTGTGTGTATAGTTTGTGTGTGCAGTTTACATGTGTATACTTTGTGTGTGATTTATATGTGTGTATAGTTTGTGTGTGTGGTTTATGAATGTGTACTTTGCGTGGTTTATATGTGCATGTAGTTTGTGTGTGTAGTTTATGTGTGTGTGTATAGTTTGTGTATGTGGTTTGTATGTGTGTGTGGTTTGTGTGTAGTTTATGTGTGTGCACTTTGTGTGTGTATAGTTTGTGTGTGCAGTTTACATGTGTGTACTTTGCGTGTGTGGTTTATATGTGTATGTAGTTTGTGTGTGTAGTTTATGTGTTTGTGTATAGTTTGTGTATGTGGTTTATATGTGTGTGTGTAGTTTGTGTATAGTTTATGTGTGTGTACTTTGTGTGTGTGGTTTATATGTATGTGTATGGTTTGTGTGTGTGGTTTATATGTGTGTGTGGTTTGTGTGTATAGTTTGGGTGTACTTTGTGTGTGTTTTTATATGTGTGAACAGTTTGTGTGTGTAGTTTATGTGTGTGTGTTTTGTGTGGTTTATGTGTGTGTGTGGTTTATGTGTGTAGTTTGTGTGTGAATAGTTTGTGTATCATTTATATGTATGTGTAGTTTGTGTGTGAAGTTCATGTGTGTGTAGTTTGTGTGTGTGGTTTATGTGTGTGTACTTTGTGTGTGTGGTTTATATCTGTGTGTAGTTTGTGTGTGTAGTTTACGTATGTGTGTAGTTCACAGGTGTAGGTGTAGTATGTGCCGTGTGTGTGCATGTGGGTGATTTGTGTGTGTATAGTGTGTAGTTTATATGTGCATGTATAGTGCATGTATGATTTGTGTGTATAGGTTGTGTGTGTAGTTTATGTGTGTGTAATTTACATATGCATGTGTAGTGTGTCTGCCTTTGTGATTTCTGTGTGTAGTTTATATATGCCTGTGTAGTGAAGGAATGTGTGATTTTTGTGTGTATAGTTGACGTGTGTGGTGTGTGTGCGTGTATATGATTTGTGTGTGTGTGGTTTAGATGTGCATGTATGGTGTGTGCCATGATTTGTGTGTGTGTATTATGTGTGTGTATGATGTGTGTGATATGTGTGTGTGTGGTGTGTGTGATTTGTGTGTGTGGTCTCCATGTGCATGTGTGGTGTGTCTGATGTGTGTGGTTTGTGTGTGCGGTTTAAGTGTGTGTGTAGTGTGTGTGATTTGTATGTGGCTTACATGTGCGTGTATGGTGCATGTGGTGTGTGATTGTGTGTGGTTTACATGTGCATGTGTGGTGTATCTGATGTGTGTGATTTGTGTGTGTGGTTTACGTGTGTGTGGTGTGTGATTGTGTGTGTGGTTTACATGTACGTGTGTGGTGTGTCTGATGTGTGTGATTTGTGTGTGTGGCTTACGTGTGTGTGTGATTTGTGTGTGTGGATTGCATGTGCATGTGTGGTGTGTGTGTGTGTCCCCTTACACCCCCTTCTCACCCACCTGCAGACGCCCTCGGCGCTGCACCTGCCACACTGAGCAGCCTGTCTGTCCTCCCGTGCTCCGACTCCCTGAGTTCTCCCCAGTCCCCCCAGGCCCCCTAGGCTCCCCAGGTTCCCCACGGCCACATGATGCCCCGCGCTGTGGCTGTTCCCATTTGCACAGCCCTGCCTGGTGAATGAGCACTCAGGTCGTTCCCAGTGTCTCGCTGTGACAAATGAGGCTGTGCTGCATCCCTCAAGCATGCACTGTTCCCTGTTTGCAGAGGTGTCACCTCGGGGGAAATTCCT
Organism: Homo sapiens; assembly: GCF_000001405.40. Classification (NCBI taxonomy): domain Eukaryota; kingdom Metazoa; phylum Chordata; class Mammalia; order Primates; family Hominidae; genus Homo; species Homo sapiens. The sequence goes on along the minus strand of NC_000009.12, from coordinate 41,780,218 downwards.
AGAAATCGAATCGCTGGGTCAAGGGGCAAAGCCAGTGTAATTTTGTTAGCTACTGCCACCTTCCGCTCCCTCGGGTGGACAGTTTCCCTCCTAGTGTCTGAGGGAGCCAGTTTCCCACGGCCTCCTCCACCGCAGTCGCGCTTTTGAATCGCTGCCAGTCTGATATGTGAGAAACTGCATCTCTGCATAGCTTGTACTTGCATTTCTTTACTACGAGCCTCTTTCCCTATATTTCAGAGCCATTTGTAATCTTGTTCTACACATTCTGTCCATGGATTTTACCTACTTCTCTGTAGAGTTTCCGGGGTTTTCCCATTGGCTTGAGTGAGCCACGCACACAGGGAGCCAGAGGCAAAGGGGACGTGAGACCTGCCCACGGGAGGATCAAGGAGGCCCCACAGACGGCCTGGGGAAGCCCACCCAGCTGGGAGACAGTGGGCGCGTCGCCTTGGCTCTGGAAGCAGGCGGAAAAGCAGAAAAAGGTCACCCCAGGAAATTCCAGTCACAAGCCCACCTCAGGGGCAGTGTGGCCAGAACTCACGCTCACTGGATGACTGGAAAAACCCCAGGCCAAAAATTTAGTTTGAGGGAGTCCTGGCAACCCAAGCTTCTGGGAGAAGCAAAGGCAAAACCTTTCCAGAGAAAGTCGTTGGAAACTTGGACCTCAGAGAATCCTCGCAGACGGGGGTCCGGGGAACGCAGCCTTGCCACCTTACAAGTTACCCACACGCAGGAGAAAATCTGCCCTCCCCAGGACAGGAGCCCCCCGCAACGGCGTCTGGGAAACGTTAGGTCCACTCTGCCAGCCACAAGGCCCCTGGAAGCAGCGTGGCCTGGGTGCAAAGCAGCCGACACCTCACCCGCGCCCCTGGGCCTCCTGAGGAAGAAAGCCCCAGGTCCCAGAGTGCCTGTGCGGCCCCTCATCTCCCTGCATGACAGCCCCTTTGGCTGTGACCTGGGGGAAAGAAATTGAATCCCATCATTTGGGACTTTCACTTAAAACTCAAAGTTCTGAGCTTTGGCTTTTAAATGGTGAGGGCAAGAAAATGCATTTTCACTTTAAAGTCTAGCAACTGTAATTGGCAAGGGCGTTTGACCTACAGACTTCTTCGATCAAGTAATACAGGAATGGAAGAGCCCCCCACGTTTGGGCCACTGTGTGTCACAGTCTTGCCGTCACCACGGCGGAGCTGCAATGCCGCGTGACTGTGCAGTGGACACCGCGTGGGGCCGCCGTGTGTCACAGTCTTGCCGTCACCACGGCGGAGCTGCAATGCCACGTGACTGTGCAGTGGACACCGCGTGGGGCCGCCGTGTGTCACAGGTCTTGCCATTGCCACGGCAGTGCTGCAATGCCATGTGACTGTGCAGTGGACACCGCGTGGGGCCGCCGTGTGTCACAGTCTTGCCAACGCCACGGCACAGCTGCAATGTCACGTGACCATGCAGCTGGACACCGCATGACCGTGCAGCTGGATACCACGTGGACGGCGGGTGGGAGGCATGAGTTCCAGCTTCGGCACAAAGGAGCTTTGCGTCAGTTTCATTAATCCTGGTGTAACCGCCCAGTGTGTTCACCTCGCCGGCTGCCTAGACACAGCCGATTTATCAAGACAGGGGAATTGCAAAGGAGAAGGAGTTACTCACGCAGAGCCAGCTGTGCGGGAGACCAGAGTTTTATTATTACTCAAAAGGGTCTCCCCGAGCATTTGGGGATCAGAGTTTTTAAAGATAATTTGGCAGGTAGGGGCTCAGAAAGTGGGGAATGCTGGTTGGTCCGTTTGGAGATGGATTCATAGGGGGTCAAAGTGAGTTTTTCTTGCTGTCTTCTGTTCCTGGGTGGGATGGCGGAACTGGTTGAGCCAGATGACTGGTCTAGGTGGTGTCAGCTGATCCATGAGTGCGGGGTCTGCAGAATATCCCCAGCACTGATCTCAGGTTTTACAATAGTGAGGTGATCCCCAGAAGCAATTTGGGGAGGTTCAGACTCTCACAGCCGGAGGCCACAAGACCCCTAAACCATAATTTCTAATCTTGCAGCTAATTTGTTAGTCCTACAAAGGCAGACTGGTCCTCAGGCAAGAAGGGGGTCTATTCGGGAAAGGGCTGTTACCAATTTTGTTTCAGAGTCAAACCATGAACTGAATTCCTTCCCAAAGTTAGTTCGGCCTACGCCCAGGGATGAATAAGGACAGCTTAAAGGTTAGAAGGAATATGGAGTCAGTTAGGTCTGATTTCTTTCACTGTCATCATTTCCTCAGTTATAATTTTTGCAAAGGCAGTTTCATGGGGGGTAAACCCAAACGGCCCCCTGCAGTCCTGGGAGTGGCTTCATGAAGGGGACCCCGACAGTTCTCCTCTCCCTAGGGGCGGCCCCCCAGCTCACCACAAGTGTGACCACGAGGCCCTTGGGTAGGGCAACAAAAGGCCAGGGAAGGTGGGGGTGTCCTCCCCAACTCCCGAGCCTCCTTCCACGTGGAGAAAACTGATTTCTCCAACCCCTGCCTCTCTCCCACCATTTGTCACCCACCCCCACGCAGGGAGGGATTGGCAAATCCAGGCGGGGTCTGCAGGGCAGGCTGAGCTCACTCTCCGCTGCCACCTGCAGGGGTGGCCTGCTCTGCTGAACAGGTGGGGGCTCCCTGGAGGCTGGCCTGGGCTGCGCCTTTGGGCAGGTGGCCCCTCCACTCTGGGGTTCAGGGAAGGCCCCCTTGGCCTTCACTCTGAGCCACGTCCTCCGACCAGCCTCCATTGGGAATAACGGGCAGCCTGGCATTACAGCCTCTGTGGGTCCCTCCTCTGGGCTAAAGTATTACGAATGATGTTTCATAACTGCGTTGGTAGAAAGATGACTGTAGCCCAGGCTGCACTGTGTTTATTCTGATTTTAGAAGGCATTAAACCACTTTCCTGATGCCTAAAAGTCTCCTGGGCCCTGGCACTAAGCCTGCTACACCCTGTGAAAGGAAAATCCATCTCAGGCCCCAAAATTACCAAGCCAAGGGAAGAGTCAAGCTGGGTACTGCTCAGGCAAACCTGCCTCCCAGTCCACTCCTGAATAAGATGGCTACAGAGACTAAAAAGCCACCACCTCCCTCAAAATTTGCCCAGAAGGAAATTCCTCGTAGACAAATGACAGACAGGACCCAAAGCCATCCCTCTGCTCCCCTGAGACAAATCCATATCTGATGGCTTCCTCTGCCCTATTGTTGATATAAAAATACAGATTCCCTGAGCCAGACTAAATTGTGTTTCAGTGGGAGGCCGATCAAGGTCTCGAAAGAATGCAACAGTTTGTCTCTTACCTACTTATGACCTGGAAGTCCCCCACCCCCGCAAGTTGTCAAGCTGCCCCGCCTTACCTGACCAAACAAACGTACATCTTACACATATTGATTGATGTCTCATGTCCCCCTAAAATGTATAAAAGAAAGCATGGTGGCTCATGCCTGTAATCCCAGCACTTTGGGAGACCGAGGTGGGTGGATGACGAGGTCAGGAGCTCGAGACCAGCCTGGCCAAGATGGTGAAACCCCGTCTCTACTAAAAATACAAAAACTTAGCCATGCATGGTACCATGCGCCTATAATCCTAGGTACTGGGGAGGCTGGGGCAGAGAATTGCTTGAACCCGGGAGATGGAGGTTGCAGTGAGCCGAGATCACACCACTGCACTCCAGCCTGAGCAACAGAATGAGACTCTATCTCAATAAAATAAAATAAAATAAAAATAAAAGCAAACTGTACCCTGACCACATTGGGCACATGTCGTCAAAACCTCCTGAGGCTGTGTCACACGCCCTTACTTCACCTTGGCAAAATAAGTGTTTTAAATTTATCGAGACCTGTCTCAGATACCCTTTGGTTTACAACCTGATGGAGGGGTTGGCATTGATAGAAGGGTTTTGTTTTTCCAGCACCTGCCTTCATGCCTTACTTCTCAGTGGGCTCAGGACTCAGAATGGAAAAGAGTCCCAGGAGACCCCAGTAACTCTTCAACTCTTTTACTCTCACTGTTTTCTCTCCTTTACAGCAGACACCACTATCTGCAAAGGGTCCTGTTTGCTGCCCCTGCCTGCCAGGAAGCACAGCCTAGATGGCAGTGTCCATGACTGTCCTGAGTAACCACTGGGTCCCCAGCATCTCAGCTTCACAGCTGTTCTGTAAAGACCTTCAGACGGAGGGACGAGGCGGGTGGGTGGGTGGATGGATGGATGGATGCATGGATGGGTGGGTGGGTGGATTGATGGATGGATGCATGGATGGGTGGATGGGTGGATAGGTGAGTGGGTGGGTGGATGGATGAGTGGGTGCATGGGCAGGTATGTGGATAGGTGGAAGTATGGGTAGATGGATGGGTGGATGGATGGGTCAATAGGTGGATGGGTGGGTGGGTGAATGGATGGATGGATGGATGGATGCATGGATGGATGGATGAGTGGATGGATGCATGAATGGATGGATGGATGGTGGATGGATGGGTGAGTAGGTGGATGGAGAGATGGGGGAATGGATGGATAGATGAACAAATAAGTGATGGATGGGTGGGTGTATGGATGGATGGGTGGGTGTATATATGGATGGGCGGGTGGATGGGTGGGTGGGTGGATGGGTGGGTGGGTGGATGGATGGATGTGTAGATGGGTGGATGGATAAGTGGATGGATGGGTGAATGGGTGGATAAGTAGATGAATGGGTGGGTGGAGAAATACATGAGTATGTGGATGAATAGGTTACAGAGTAAAATGCCACCACCAGAGCAGTGCAACAGCGTGCTTTGCACTCAGCTCTGCCATGGAAAAAGTGGTTCCTTCCCAGGCTCTCACCAGGCTCACATGGGCTCCAGACCCCTGCACCCCCAACCAGACTGGGGACACAGGGACTGTCTGCTCAGCTCTGCATCCATGCACCTGGTCAACACCAAGTGAGTCACAGGGAACCAGGTGGCCTGAGAGAAGGACCCATGACAGATGGCCTCAGCCATGTCACTAGGAGGCTTGGGTCCCAGTCCTGTGGCCCCACCAGCCAAGAGCTTGTGGACATTCAGAATCAGGCTTGCTGGTTTAAGCCCGGGCATGCAGCACCAAGACTGTCTGCCCATGGGCTCTCTGGGTCAGGCCCTGCCTGACTCAGTCCCTGCATCACCAGTGCCAGGCCAGGCACAGACAGGCTCAGTGGGGTGGGCTAAGTAGTGCTGGGGACCCAAACCAGGCATCAGAGGGATTGAGATGCCCCCAGGCTGACTCCCACTCAAGCGGGTCCCCCCGCCTCCCCCCGAGCCCATCCCCTCTGTCCACCTGCTGCCACTCTGACAGCTACAACCCACCAAGGCTTGGGGCTGCCTGGACTCTGCCTATAACTTCACAGGCTCACTCCCATGCTGTCCTTCACACCTGGAGAAGTGCCAAGGTTACCAGTGCCACAGAACAAACAGCTGCATGCACTCTGCACCCTGCTCAGCCATTGAGACAGCAGATCCTGTAGCTTTGGGCAGTTCCCACATCCTTCCAGTCCTGATCTTTCCCCTGGAAGCCAAGGAGCATTCAGTGCCTTCTCTACGTGCTCTTGGCCCCTGTCCACAACAAAGGCCACAGGTCCCTTGTTGTGGAACTATGAGTGAACCCAGCGTTCTCCCCAGGGACCCCAGCACAAAACGGGCTCTCAACACACATGAGTGAATAAAACTGTCCCAGAAAGCGGGAGACTTTACACAGTGGCTACAATGTCCCTAGTACACTGCCACAGTCCAGAAGGGAGAGAAGGGGCTGTGCACACCAGGAAGCCAGAAGCCCACATGCACCTGCCCAGGGTCTGTGCATGGAGCTCCGGCAGGTCCAATCTCTTGGCCTTCAGAATAATGATGTAAATACAGGGACAAAGATGGAGCAGGTGCCACTCAATGTGCAAACCCTCCCCCTTCTTCTGGTGAGGCCAGAAGTACCTAGGTAGGAGCAGCCCCTACCTCCGACCACCTCCCTCCCTGCAGTGGGAATAGCAGCCCAATCCCCAGGCTGCAGGGATCCACAGGCCATGCAAGTGTGGCTCTACCCCCAGCATGCCCTGGTGCGAAGCTGTGCCCAGAGAGATGTTATCTGCACCCCAGACTGCCTGTGGTGCTGCAGAGTGGTGCTGAGGAGAGAGCAGGGCACACCTGGAGTCTGTATCACCTGCCTTCCCTAGGGAGTCTTGGGCCCTCTCCACATTCAAGGCAAGGGGAGCAGAGGATCTCCACGAAGACCCCCTGAGCACATCCCTTCTCTTTTTGCTGATAGACAACCCAAGGCTTAAGGGGCTTTGGAACCAAGACATGGTCACTGACGTTAGAGGAATGGCTCGCTCTCCCTCCTGCATCCCTACCTGGTAAGGGGGGGCAATTGACCCTTTCCAAAGCACCCTGGTTGCTGTAGGAAGGAGAATGGAGACATCAGGCTGAGCCCACTGGCCTCCTTCAGCGCTCGGGCTCTCCCCTGCAGACAGCCTTCCTCAGCAGCCGCACAGCTCAGGGCTTCTCCTCCCTGGGTGCCAGTAAGCCCAGGTAAGCCTCTGGCTGCCCAGCAATTCCAATACCCAGAGGGAGGAGCCAACAGGGCAGGCCACGTTCTCACCAAGCCATCTGCAGAGGGGTCAGGTCCACCCTGAGTCCTCCCTTCTCAGTAACAAGCTGCTGCTGTGTTTTCCATTGTCCCACAGCTGATTTGTCAGTCAGTGCAATCACAGCGAGGACAAACACTAATGCCCCTCCTGAGACCTCTCTTCCAGCTGATGGTGTGGACCTTGACTCCACAGCAGGTGTCTGCAGGCCCTCCAGCTGGCCCTCGGTAGCCTGGAGTGGCTCGTCCTGGACAGACTCACCGCTATGACGCAGGGGGAACTGCCAGGAGTCCCTGAGCGAGGTGATCTGAGAAATGCCATGGCAGTGTTCTAAGCCAGCAGCCTGGCTTACCCACAACCTCTCCGCTGTGTGACCTTGAGCAAGTGCCTTAACCTCTCTGAGCCTCAGCTTGCCCCTCTGTTAAAGAATGATCATATATGACACCTAGCAAGGTTATGTGGAGTATCAGCAACAAGGAATCCACTGCAGCCAGTGTTGCAGGTGCAACTGGCTGGGGCTGGTGTCACGGGTGGTAAAAGAATTTACCGAGACAGTCATGGGTAAAGAAAGTCTGAAGACACCTTGCAAGAGAACAGCAGGCAGCATGGCAGAGAGAAGGCCACCTCCCCAGGGGCAGAGGCCAGGGGGAAGTTTGATAGGGTCACACTGGAGAGGCGACATGCAGACAGGGTCATGCTGGAGAGGCCACATGCAAACAGAGTCACGCTGGAGAGGCCACATGCAGACAGGGTCATGCTGGAGAGGCTACATGTGGAAACGGTCACACTGGAGAGGCGGCATGCAAACAGGGTCATGCTGGAGAGGCCACATGCAGACAGGGTCACGCTGGAGAGGCAACAGGCAGACAGGGTCACGCTGGAGAGGCCCCATGCAGACAGGGTCACGCTGGAGAGGCCCCATGCAGACAGGGTCATGCTGCTGGAGCTAACGTGCAGAGCTAGGTATTTGGTAACAGGAGATTGTGCAAGTGGGCTGCTTGTGGTTATCCATTTCTTAGAACAATGGCTCTCCCCCACCCTAGTTCATGTTCTTGCCAGCTAGGGCCTGTGGTGCCATGGAGTTGTGCAGAGGAGGGAACCCCTTCCTCATTTCTATCAGCTGATCGGGACTCCACAGTTTGGTTTCGCTGCATATGACAATCCCAGCAAAAGAAGCATAAACAAGAAAGAAGCTGATTTCTTTCTGAAGGGAGAATCTGGGGATGACTGATTGAGGGTGAGGTGGCAGCTCCTCGATGTCCTCAGGGACCCAGATCCTGGCTGTTCTGCTCCTCATCCTCCACGCATGGTGTCTAGCCTCAAAGCCACTCCATGGTCCAAGGTGGCTGCTGGTGCTCCAGCCATCAAGACCACAGGACAGGTGGAAGGAAGCTGGAAAAGTACAGGGCAGAAAAGAGCCCCTCCCAGAAGTCCCAGCTGAGTCAGCTTGTTTTTAGCCATCTTCCTGGAAGTCTTCTACAGCACTTCTGCCTTTAACCCACTGGCCACGACTTAGCAGCTCAGCTCCACTTAGCGTCAGGGAGGAAGCTGGGAGATGCAGGTTTTCATTCCGGCCAGCTACATGCCCCGCCACGCATCAGGGTTCTGCTTCCACGGAGGAAGGGAAGAGGACCATGTCTGTACAAGAGGAGCTAGACCCACGATAAACATGAGCCACGCTAATGTTGTCAGCATCCCCAGAACAGCCAGCAACACAGCCTTACATCACACCCAACCTCCCACCAGCCTCCAGCCCTGGGCAGCGTCCTCACTGCACCGCAGCCTAGAGAGGGAGCCAGGGTGCAAAAGGGACAGAAAGGGAGAGAACCGGAGGCCAGGCTGACCCGAGCAGCCAGGGACAGAGGACAGACCGGGGAGGCAGATGGGAGTTCAGGGCAAGGAAAGTCTTGGGGGCTGCCTGGGGCGGGGGGAGGGAGATGTGGGGGGCAGAGGTAGGGGTGAGCTGCATCTGGGAGGGAACATGCACCCTGTTCCTAAGGAGACCCTGAGAGGCTTAGGGGAGACGGTAGCATGCAACAGCACCTGCTGCTCCCCTCTGCAGGAGGCCGACTCCACGGAGGACCATGCTCTGGCAGAGGAACCCAAATACGCATTTCTCCCACACCTCAGCCTCTCCTGGCCCCAAGGCAGGTACAGGCTCAGAGCTGGGGAACCGGCTGGAGACTTTCCTCTTTTTGCTGACTCTGCCCTGGCATATTCTGAGATACAGGGGTCAAGACTTCAACATATGAATTTGGGGGTCACAGTTCAACCCAGCAAGCTATACAGATCTCAAGGGTGTCACTCAGGGAGTTGACAAAGGCAGACTCCACCAAGATAAGAACCTGACCACCCCCGAGATATGTGCTCATCAGTCCCCACTGCACCCCCTCCAGAGGCGACTTTTCATTGCAGATCAGCATGACCTGTTCTAGAGCTTCCTACAGGCAGAGTCAGGCCGCACTGGCCTGCCCCAGCTCTCAGAGGCCCGCCATCACTGTGCACCCACACACCACCAGCTGTAACCCATGCACAGGACCTCAAGGTGGGCCGGCTCAGCTGCCAACAGGAGCCAGTGGTGCTGAGGTATCCAACAGGGCAGCACATGGTCCTCCCAGGAGCCGTGGCCCAGCACCTCCTGGCCGGAACAGCCATCCTATTCAAATAAACGAGTAACAAAAATGGGCATGCTCTCCACTTCCAAAAGCAATGCTGGCCAGGCACAGTGGCTCACGCCTGAAATCCCAATGCCAGAGGCGTTGGAACCAGAGCAACTCCATCTTGAACAGGAGCTGGGTAAAATGAGGCTGAGACCTGCCGGGCTGCATTCCCAGGAGTTTAGGCATTCTAAGTCACAGGATGAGATAGGAGGTCGGCACAAGATACAGGTCATGAAGACCTTGCTGATAAAGCAGGTTGCAGTAAAGAAGCCGGCCAAAGCCCACCAAAACCAAGGCGGCCACGAGAGTGACCTCTGATTGTCCTCACGGATCATTATATGCCAATTAGAATGCATTTGCTGCTAAAAGACACCCCCACCAGCACCATGACAGTTTACAGATGCCATGGCAATGTCTGGAGGTTACCTTATAAGGTCTCAAAAGGGAGGGGAGGAGACCTCAGTTCCTCTTCATCCCTTTACTTTCCTGATAAACTTGCTCTCACTTTACTCTGTGAACTCGCTCCAAATTCTTTCTCGCGTGAGATCAAAGAGACCTCTCTTGGGGTCTGGATCAGAGCTCCCCCTTTTCCAGTAACACCAGCACTTTGTGGGAAAGACAGAGGCGGGAGGATTGAGTGAGGCCAGGAGTTTAAGATCAGCCTGGCCAACATAAGGAGACCTAAGTGCCTAACTTAAAAAAAAAAAAAAGGCCAGGCATGGTGGCTTACGCCTATAGTCCCAATACTTTGGGAGACCGAGGTGGGCAGATCACTTGAGCCCAGCAGTTCGAGACCAGCCTGGACAACATTGTGAAACCTTGTCTCTACAAAAAAAAAAAAAAATGAAGAAATTCCCAGGCACAATAGTGTGCACCTGTAGTCCCAGCTATTCAGAAGGCTGAGATGGGAGAATCGCTTGAGCCCAGGAGGTAGAAATTGCAGTGAGCTGAGATTGCGCCACTGCACTCCAGCCTGGGTGACAGAGGGAGACCCTCTCTCAAAAAAATAAAAAAAGAAACCCAGGCAGGCATGGTGGCACACACCTGTAGTCCCCAACTGCTCCAGAGGCAGAGCAGAATCGCTCGAGTGCAGGCTGTAGGTCAAGGCTCTAGTGAGTTACGATTGTGCAACCGCACTCCAGCCTGGGTCACAGAGCAAGCTGCAGTCTTAAAAAATAAAAATAAAAAATAAAAGCAGTGCTATTTTCCTACAAATGAAGAAATCTCATCAGACAAATACTGCCACAAACCAGATGAAAATCATGATCTAATATTCCAACAAGAACTTCAGCTCCGAAGGGATACTACAGCACAGAATAAGAACAGAGGAGAATAAGCACAGAATAAGAACACAGGGAAGAGGTGGCCAAACGGCAGCGGAGTCTGTGGTGGGAAATGACAGAATTCAGGAAGGAAACTGAAGAAAAAGAGAAAACCATTTCAGAAATGAAGAAATGAAGTTACAGGTAATACGAGAGCACAGACACCACGGAAATCACATAAAAAAAGGAAAAAGTGAGCAAATAGAAAGAAAGAGGAAAGAGATTAAAAAGGATTAGAGAGAAAGTGACTATAAAAGACCAGTAAAGGGCCGGGCGCGGTTGCTCCCGCCTGTAATCCCAGCTCTTTGGGAGGCAAGACAGTTGGATCACAAGGTCAGGAGTTCAAGACCAGCCTTGCCAAGATGGTGAAACCCCGTCTCTACTAAAAATACAAAAATTAGCCGGGCATGGTGATGTGTGCCTGTAATCCCAGCTACTCGGTAGGCTGAGGCAGGACTATCCCTTGAACCCAGGAGGCAGAGGTTGCAGTGAGCTGAGATTGTGCTATTACACTCCAGCCTGGCAACAGAGCGAGACTCTGTCTCAAAAAAAAAAAAAAAAAAGAAAAAAAAAAAAAGAAAAAACAGTAAAGGGGCTCCAGTGTACATATATGATAGGCAAAACTCTAACAGATCGGAACAAGTATTGACTGCTTGATTTATGTGAGAGGTGATCTCATATAAGCTAGCGTTGCCCAGGCTGGGCTTGAACTTCTGGCCTCCTGAGTAGCTGGGACCACAGGTGTGCACCACAGCACCTGCTGAACAAGGATTGAAACTATCATTCAAGACCTCTTTATTGAAATGCAGGCAGACTTGCGCCTGCCTGTGAAAGTGCATGCTGTATACTTGTGTGTGTTGGCCCAGAACAGTCAACACAAAACATGCCTTTGTAAAATCACTGGACTTTAAAGATAAAGAAATAATCCTTTAGGCAGCCAGACAGAAAGACCAAGTATCTTATAAAGCAAAGAAAACCAACTTGACATCAGACATCTCCAAAGTGACATTCAATACCAGAAGAAAAAAGAAGCAATGCCTCCTTATCTAGAATTTGTGGGTAGAATTCTGTCCCCCAAAAAGGTATGTTACACTTTGGGAAACTGAGGTAAGTGGATCACTTGAGATCAGGAGTTTGAGACCAGCCTGGCCAACATGGTGAAACCCTAGCTCTAATAAAAATACAAAAATTAGCCGGGCATGGTGGGGTGGGTGGGGGCGCCTGTAATTGTAGCTACTCGGAGGGCTGAGGCAAGAGAATTTCTTGAACCCAGGAGGTGGAGGTTGCAGTGAGCCGAGATCGCGCCACTGCACTCCAGCCTGCGCGACAGAGCAAGACTCTGTCTCAAAAAAATAATAAAAATTTTAAAAGATATGTTAAAGCCTCAACCCCTGGTACCTATGAATGCAACCTTTTTGGAAATAGGGCCTTTGCAGATATAATCAAGTGAAGACGCAGTCACACCTGATTGGAGTGGGCCCTGATTCAATACAACTTACCTCCTTATAAGAAGACAAAAAAGGCTGGGTGTGGTGGCTCATGCCTGTAATCCCAGCACTTTGGGAGGCCAAGGTGGGTGGAGCACTTGAGGTCAGGAGTTCGAGACCAGCCTGGCCAACATGGTGAAATCCCGTCTCTACTAAAAACACAAAAATTAGCCAGTTGTGGTGGCGGGCACTTGTAATCCCAGCTCTTTGGGAGGCTGAGGCAGGAGAATGGCATGAACCAGGGAGGCAGAGCTTGCAGTGAGTAGAGATCATGCCACTGCACTCCAGCCTGGGCGACGGGGCAAGACTCTGTCTCAAAAAAAATAAAAAATAAAAAATAGAAGATGATTCGGCTCATGATTCTGGAGGCTGGGAAGTCCAAGTTTCAGGGGCCGCATCTGGTGAGGGCCTTCCTGCTGTGTCATCACATGGCAGAAGGCATCACATGGCAAGAGAGTGTGAGAGAGTGAGAGAACACATACCCAGCCTCGAGGCCTTTTGTTACCTGCATGGATCATCCATGGATCATCCTAAACACCTCCCCTTAGGCCCTACCTCCCAACACTGTTGCATTGAGGACTGAGTTTCCAACACGTGTTTTTAGAGGGACACATTCAAATCACAGCTTCCCCCCTCCACCACCCATTTTAATCCTGGGCTTTGCCTGGCTCCAATTCCTCTCTTATGTAAAGCAATGGATCAGACACACAGCCTTGGGGGATCTGTGAGAACTGAAGGGACTGAGGCCTCTTTCACACAGAACCCCAAAACCCTCCCATGCCTCCAGGACCCCCAGCAGGGAAGAACCCCACCTAACTCAGGGCCCAATCAGAGGCAGGGCCAAGGGTTATCCCTGTCCTCAGACTGGTTTTCCCAGGCTAGGGTCTGAGAACCCCGAGCAGCCAGTCCTTCTTCCCATGGGATGCGACTGGGCAGGGCCAGTGAAGGAACCCAGAGGCATGTTAGTCAAAGCGGGTTTCAGGCTCTGGGTGAGGGGTCCTGCATGGTGAGAAGCTGGGCCCACCTCCCACAGAGCCCACAGAACAGACTCAAACTCAGACACCAACAAGAAGATGCCAAGGCTGGGGAGGGCAGGCCCAGCCCGCAGAGTTCCTGCAAGGACTCTTCCCTGGCTGTGGTCGGAGCAGCTACTCAGGAAATCCCTGGCAGCAGAGTGGGCACCCCCTCCGGGCACCAGGAGGAGAGGTGTGCAGAGGGGATTCCGGGTCAGCCATTGGGATTTGAGACTTGCCTGGACACCCACTTCCACTTCTCCCCCACCAGGCGTTTCTCCCATCAGGGAAGAGGAATGCTCAGATGGGCCCAGAGGCCATGCAGAAAGAAGGAGGCCTCCCCCAGGGCTGAGAAGGCAGTGATGGGAGGCCGGCCCCAGGCTTGGGGTGTGGGTGGTTTCAATTGGAAAACTTTTATAATAAAAAATTGGAAGAAAGAATGTAATTCCCTCTACAAAAATATGTCCTCGTGATGCCACGTACCCACCTACACCCACCTGACCCCAGGCACCTCCTTCCACAGCCAGCCACTGCAAAGGAGGCCAGGGAATGTGTCTTCCTGATGCCCACAAAGGAGACACAGAGCTGGAGGGCATGGGGACCCAAGGTTCCAGGCTTCAGAAGGGAAAGCATCCACAGCGATCCCACAGTAAGGACAGCCTCTGATGGCAGCCCCCACTGGCCAAACTACATCCCCCTGGGCAGAGTGCACCGGGCCTGGCTTCCCTCCATGCTGGTTCCAACTCACAGCTGGGGTGAGGCCAGGGCGAGGCCAGGTCCCCCCTTCACGGGGAAAGCTCCCTGGGTGCTTCCCTGGTCAGGGCTGTGCATTCTTGTCACCAGTCCCTCCCTGACCCCAGTGACTCTGGCTGGGCCTCCACCCCTGCCCAGACCCACCCCACTACAGAAGACCCTGACCTACCATTCACTCTTTTTTAAATATTTTATTTTTTCAGAGACAGGGTCTCACTGTGTTTCCCAGGCTAGAATATAGCGGCTGTTCACAGGCATGATCATAGCTCACTGCAGCCTGGAATCTCTGGCCTAAAGCAATCCTCCTGACTCAGCCTCCTGCGTAGCTACAGAGCCACAGGCCACGCCCAGCTCTCAGCATTCCCTCTTTTACTTTATTTATTTATTTATTTATTTATTTTGAGGTGGAGTTTCACTCTTGTCACCCAGGCTGGAGTGCAATGGTGGGATCTCAGCTCACTGCAACCTTTGCCTCCCGGATTCAAGTGATTCTCCTGCCTCAGCCTCCCCAGTAGCTGGGATTACAGGCACCCGCCACCACGTCCAGCTATTTTTTTATTTTTATTTTTTTTTTTAGTAGAGATGGGGTTTTGCCATTTAGGCCAGGCTGGTCTTGAACTCCTGACCTCAAGTGATCTGCCCACCTCAGCCTCCCAAAGTGCTGGGATTACAGGCATGAGCCACCATGCCTGGCTGGCTTTCCCTCTTGAGCACATGCATGTAGGCAGGAATCCCAGCCCCCTTTGCAGATGAGCAAACTGAGACACAGAGAGGTTCAGCCACCTGCGAAGGTTGCACAGCCAGGATCCACCGCCTTCTCGCAGCACCCACCCTCTTCCCAAGGAGTGCCCAGTTCAGCAAGGCAGATGACACCAATCCCAACTGGGCAGCCAGGTTTTATGAGGCCAGGACAAACAGCACTGATTTGAAGCCTTGTAGAGGGGTTCAAATCACAGGCCCTGCCACAGGCTGGCCTCAGGGTCCTGGGGGAGCTGTGGGCATGCTTCTGAGCCGTAGCTCCTCTATCCACCCAAGGGAGCTGGTAGCACTGGCCTTAAGAGTGTGCTGTGAGCCCGGGGGGTTGCAGCTGGGCATTGAATGATTCCTACCACCCCACAAATACCACTCTGCCCCTCCAACGGGGGCAACCCCTCATGGCCTGTCTCGGCAGCGTGGAAGTTACACTCTATTGCATCACCCCCAGGAAGATGGAGAGAGGCCCCCAGGACCTCATGAGGGTGGTTTTCTGCGTAATGAGATGCTTTGGATATTCCTAGAGGTCCGAGCCTAGGCCTCTGTCAGCACATCAGTGAATGCAGCCCTGCTGGACAAGCTCAGGAGGACTCCAGGATCCCGAGTGACACATTCCAAATCCACACAGGCAGACCGGGGCCTGCAATTACAGATGGGAGGTCCCAAGGTCCAGGCAGGGGCTCCCACATGTTCCCAGGAAAGCACCAGGCAGGGAGGGTGGTGGGCAGCAGTTCTGGGCTTTGCTCCTCGCCAGGCCCCATTTCTTCATCTGTAAAATGGGGAGAAAATATTTTCCCTTCCTAACTGCATTGGAAAGACGAGATAAGCAGCCGACTGGGGAAGGTGGAACTTCCCACTCAAGCAATATTGGGCGAAATAAGTGGGTTCAGAGACTGAGCGGTGGTGCTGGCCCCAGACACTGGTGTGGATGCAACACGTCGCAGGACTCAGCCCGTCGAACCCCTGCCTGCCGCTGCACTGATGCCCCCTTCCCCCTCACAGAGCCCTGATGCCCGGCCATCCTGATGGCGGGAGCTCCCCTAGGCCTCTACAGCCGTGGTCCAAACGAACCCTGCACTCCACACCGGGGCTCCTCACCACTGGGGCACCCTGGGCTGCCCTCGGGGCTGGCACTCGGTGGTGGGGGCCGTCCGACACCTGGTAGGATGCTGAGCCGCACCCCCGGCCTCCACCCACTAGACGTTGGTAGCATTCATTGTGACAACCAATTTATACCTAAACATTGCCAATACTGCCCCCAGTGGAGAACCAATGACTGGTAGTCTAGACTGTCCATGTCACCTTCTCTTAGTCCTTCCCCGGACTGGGACGTCTCACAACCAAGTCCTTGTCCCACCCCACTCTCTACATCCCGGCATCCAGCACCGCCCCCTGCTGAGGGCTCGGCCAATGTTTCCTGAATGAATGAGTGGCCCCTGGATGTGAGCATGGGTCACACACCTCACGGTGATTGGGTGGGGGTTTCTCATGAGTAGAGGGACCCCCACATGCCAGGGCTGCGCTGAGCAGGGACGTCAGTGACTCCCTCTGTGAAGGCGGCCACTTGAGACAGGATTCTAGGAGCCTCTGTCACACCCGGCAGTGCACAGGATGATTCAGAGAGAGGCTGTCCCAAGGCCTCCCGGCTCACTGGTCGCAGTCTTCCAGGTCCTCCCGCCACCCTCCACACAGCACCACTGCCACCCTCATCCCTGCTGGGCAGGAGAGGCGGTCGGGAGGGCAGACACAGGGCAGTGGGCGAGTCTGATCCGGGTTTTGTGAGGCCTCCCTATAAAGAAAGAATACAAACTTACAAAAACAAAATTAGGTATGACAGTGAATATTTCTTTAGGATGAGGAAAAAAAAAAGCAAACATACAAAATCCAGAAAACCAACATCGTGTTTTTACGAAGGGCCTGCTCCATCTCCATAACACTTCTTCTTGAACTTTTTGGCTGCGTACTTTTTATCTATCTCATTGTTTGAGAATTTTACATCACCTATGATAGAAGGAATAGAAACATAATTGCTCTTCCTCCAGCATGGTTGATTGAAATTTGTTTTTTCTTATTTATAATTAGAACACATAGAACAGATGACTTAACACATGTGCACACAGCTTTGCAGTACAGCTAGAGGTCTGTGTACGTTAAACAACAAGTTCTGATCAATTCTATTTACAAGATTCCTGTTTGCAAAAGGAAGCAGGCCAGGCATAGTGGCTCCCACCTGTAATGCCAGTACTTTGGGAGCCCAAGGTGGGCGGATCACTTGAGCCCAGGAGTTTAAGACCAGCCTGGCCAACATGGTGAGATCCTGTGTCTACAAAAAAAAAAAAAAAAAAAAGCTGGATGTGTAGTTCCAGCTACTTAGGAGGCTGAGGCGGAAGGATTGCTTGAGCCTGGGAGGTTGAGGCCGCAGTGAGCTGTGACTGCCCTACTGCACTGCAGCCTGGGCGACAGAGCAAGTCCCTATATCAAAAAAAAAAGAGGAAGCAGCAATGCTGGGTGCACATTTATAATTGTATACGATGCATTTATCAACAGACCATTTCTGCTCTGGCGAGGCCCTGATGAGAGCTGAATACTCTGCTTACAAAGGCACACGCCCGAGGACCGTCAGAGAGTCCACCGGGCGCTTGGGCTCTGTGTGTTTCAGACCAGCCTGGCCAACATGGTGAAATCCGCATCCATGTGCGGTGCAGAGCATGGCAGGGTGCATTCTCCTCCTCACCGTCTCTCCCAAGCACCTTCAGGTCGTGATGCCGAAGAACCCATCTATGCCCAGGTCTTAATCCATAAAGGTGCCTAACAGAGGTCAACGCTATTGAAAGGAAAGTCTAACATCGCTCTTGAAACATTCGCTAGAAATGAGAGACGTGGCAGGCCCCGCAGGGCGGCAGGGGGAAGCCGCAGGCAGACCAGGAGGCAGAAAGGAGCTAGGGAAAGGCCAAGCCACAGCCTGTGTTGGCTTCCCTGTGAAAGCCGGGCAGAGCAGGGGAGACAGCTTGGGACGGGCTGATTTGTCTGATTCTGGGTTCCGGGGCTGTCCCTTGTGGTCTGGTTCTGGGCCTGGGTTGACACTGGGCAGGGAAATATTGGCTGGGGGTACGGAAGATGAAGAAAGTGGTTTGGAGCAGGGACTCTGGGCAGCAGGGGAGGTGCTAACAGCCCTGGTCAGGAGGTTGGCCCTGTCATCATGACCGCAAGTACTCAAACGCAGGATCTAAGGAGGCACAGATCAAGGACGAAGCCAGCAGGAAGGTCAGTGGGGATGAGGGGGACTTGGGGTCTTTCTTCCTCTGCCTCCTTCCCCTTCCCACACCGGAGGGTAAATTGTGTTCTTCTGTGAAAGTCACAAGAACCCTCAGACACCCAGAGAGTTCACACACAAACACAGGAAAAGACACAAGTCGTATGACCATCTCAACAGATGCAGCCTAGTGTTTGATGACACTCACTGTCTGTTCTTAAGGAAAAGCTCAGCCCTCTGGGAAGAAAAGACCCATTGTTAAGCTGATGAAGGCCATCTATGGAAAAAGTCAGAGCTGCCAACAGAGCTAACAGGAAAATGTTGAAAGCTTTCTTTACAAGATTGGCAAGGGGGCAAAGAATCCTATTAGTGCCACTGCTATTCAATATCAGCCTGGATGTGGCAGACTGCACAGTGAGTCGGGTAAAGTTTGTGAAGAAGAAAACAAAACTGTCTTTATTCACAGATGATATGGTTGTGTATGCAGAAGAGCCTACATAATCCACAGGGAAATTCTGAGGATTCAGAGGAGTTTAGCAAAGTTGTTGGGTTCAAAATCTATAGGCAAGATTCCATTTTCTTACTATATATTAGCAACAATGTTGGAAAAATAAAATTTATAAAAAGACATAATAGCACAAAATATCAAGAATCTAAGAATAATGTGCAAGGTCACTATACAGAAATGTTATTAGTAGGCATTAAAGATGGTCTAAACAAATGGAGATACCATGTTCATGGATTAGAAGACTCAAAATGAATTCTTCCCAAATTAATTAATTTTTTCCAAATTGATTTGTAGAACTAAAGAAATTGCTATCCAAATCCTAACCAGGTTTTTGTGGAACTTAAAATACTTACTCTAAAATTTGTGTTGTTTTCGTTTTTGATTTTTTTTTTCTTTTTCTTCTTCTTCTTATATTGAGATGGGGTTTCTCTATGTTTTCCATGCTGGTCTCAAACTCCTGGGCTCAAGCCATCCACCCGCCTCAGCCTCTCAAAGTGCTTGGATTACAGGCATGAAGCACTTTATCCAGACTAAAATTTGTATGGAAATACAAATTCAATTTGACAAATATTTGGCCAGGCATGGTGGCTCATGTCTATAATCCCAGCATGTTGGGAGGCTGAGGCGGGTGGATCACTTGAGGTCAGGAGTTTGTGACCAGCCTGGCCAACATGGTGATACCCCGTCACTACTAAAAATACAAAAATTAGCCAGAAATCACTTGAACCCAGGAGGCGAAGGCTGCAGTGAGCCAAGATTGTGCCACTGTACTCCAGCCTGGTCAAGAGAGCGAGACTCCATCTCAAAAAGAAAAAATAATAAATAAAAAATATTTATTGAGCCCCTTAGTCCAGGGACTGCTTCTGGTACTTGGGATGCCTCTAAGAACCCCACCCACAAAGACCCTTCTTCGTAGACCTTAGCAGGAGAGACACACAGTAAAGAGTAAACACAATACATAAGCAAAGTACCCAGTATGGCAGGAGGTCATAACTGTTTTGCAAAAAACCAAGACTACAGAGGGGAGGGTCACCAGGACATCTAGGGGCAGAGGTGGGGTGAGAATCCAACCTTCCACACGGGCCATCTCTGCGACCCATCTCTGTGACCCCAACAAGAGGCCCCTCGCCGGCCATCCTGTTCCAGCTTCTGATGTCCTGATGTAGAAGCGGCTTCTCTGCAGCTCTGAGGTGAGAGGCCAAGCCCTCTGTGACCCCAAAAGGCCAGGGCTCCCCAAGTGTTATCCACAAACACACCTGTGGGGACTGCAGGCTCCTGCAAGGCGCCCTTGCACAGGTCTCTTGCAGAGCTTCTCCACCCACTCTCTGGGCCCTGACACAGTGGGAGGGTGTCTGTCCTTACCCCAGCCGGATGTCCCACCACACTCCTGCCTGGGGACTTCTGGCATGCAGGAGAGGCTGGACACGCAGATGCAGAGAGGCTTGCCCCAACGCCGTTGCCCGTTTTACCTTGAAGTTCGTGGTTCTTTAATTCTTGCTCCAAACTGTGAATCAACCTTTAAAATATATGATATTGAAGTTCTCCTTCAGCCTCCAGTCTTTCATCAGAGTTAAATCCAGAGATTTCACGAGCAGTAGATAAATTTGCAGTAGAGAAAAGTGCTCCAAAGGTGGGCACGCCTGGCTCCCATTTGGAGGTGTTTATAAATGCTTTTATGTAGACCCCTCCTAGATGACGAGGAATGGCCTCAGAGCAACCCTGGGAAGGATGAGGAGGGGTCTGCGGACTCCAGACGAAATTGCACAGCCGCCTACCGTGTGAGTGGAAACCCATGCTGCTTCTGCCTGGCCTCTAGGATCCGCGTTCAGGGGAAGCCGTGTCCCTGCGGTCATGAGACGTGATTGTTCAGACCAATGGATGAGGCTGAGCAGAATCATTTCATTTCCCCCGCACTTGCCAAAGGCAGGGACTTTCCTGTTTGTCCCTGCCTGATATGCAGGAAGGGCTCAGAACTACTTAAGAACAAATCAATGAACCTATGGCTTTATGGCAAATACCACAGAAACAACCTTAGAAATGGGCTGAGGAGGCTGTCTGGCCTCTAACAAATGACCTCATCTCTCTGAACCTTAATTTCCTCATCAGTAAAGTGGCAGTGCAGCCCCTCCCTCACAGGACGCTCCCTGGCAGAGTGCAGCCCTGCCGTGCAGCAGCCGGTATGACCTCTTCCTTGTGATCAGGAGGGCCCTGCTGAACTGTTTCCGCCCCGCAGGTGCCTACGAAGCCCGGGAAATGATGTGGCCTTCCTGGAGCCATGCAATGGCTTTGTTGTCACCAGGAAAAGGGCCTGTGGCACCCGCCTGGCCACTCATGTCCTAAATGAGACAGGCCCTCTTCATCGGCCTCAGTGGCTCATTGAGATGAGGACTTGGGAATTTTGCTGTTTAACAGAGCAACTGAGCACCCAGGTGGCTGCCCCAGCAGACCCTGGAGACGTTTCAGGAGACCTGGCAGGGACCCAAGCCTCTGCCACTGCACCAGGCCCTGGCCAGAGGGCTGGGCTCAGAGCCCTTTATTTTTTTATTTTTATTTTTTATTTTTTAGAGACACAGTATTGCCCTGTCTCCCAGGCTGGAGCACAGCAGTTGAAACCATACCTCACTGCAGCCTCGATCTCCCAGGCTTAAATGATTCTCCTGCCTCAGCCTCCAAGTAGCTGGGACCACAGGCATATGCCACCATGCCAGCCTTATTGTTAAATGTTTTGGGTAGATCCCATCTCCCTATGTTGCTCAGGCTGGTCTTGAACTCCTGGGCTCAAGCGTTCCTCACATCTCAGCCTCTTGAGTAGCTGAGACCACAAGTGTGTGCCACCGCACCTGGCCCCAGAGCCCCTTTTAAACTGCAACTCACAGTCTCCAAGTTAGACTCACACAGAGAAGATCTAAATATGTGTCTCCTTGAGGGAGGCTGAGGAGTGGAGGAGGATGAACTCTTACAAAACATCAACCTTTTTAAAAATGTGTTTTCAGTAATTGCTGTTCTGCGCCAAGTTTTATCCTAGTGGGAGTTTCATGTCAGAATTACTAAGTAGGAGTTCATAACAGAGAAGTTAATCGCCCTTGTGTAGGGGCGAGGCACCGAGCGATGATCTCTGTGCCCAGGTAGGTGCTTCCTGGATCCGCACAAGCACAGGAGATGGCAGGTGGGGAGTGGGTGGGGGGTTATGAAGGGCAGCCGAGGAGGGGCAGGGGGCAGGGGGAAGCAGGATCTCTGACGGTAGAAGGGAGTGGTCACTACGTCCCCAACACACCCCCTTCATGTCCCCGCTATAGCCACACACCACGGGGGAAAGGCTCCAGGCCAGCCCCCATCCCCTCAGGACCATGATGCGGGCATCTGCAGAAACGGGTGGGGGCTGTCTGGCCTGAGAGGCCTAGAGCCAGGAACAGGTGGTTTAGAGCTGCCCTCCTCCTCCAACTTCAGCCCCAACCCCCTTCCTCAGCAGCAGATCCCACCTGAGTCTCTCCTAGGCCTGTTCTGGATCCGAAGTGGGTATGAGACATTCACCATCTATTCCTTTGCTCCACCGTCACCAGAGGCTTTGTGGTACCTTATTTTTGAGAAGAGGCAACATATTCTAGGACTAGGCTGGGAACAAGGGAGAAGTTCATCATGCATCCCTCCATTTATCCATCCATCCATCCATCCATCCATCCATCATCCATTCTCCCACCTACCCACTAATTCCCCATCCAGCTACCCACTCATCCATCCATCCATTTGTCCATTCACCTACCAATCCATTTATCTATCCATCCATCCCCATCCATCCATCCATCAATCATTATCGATCCATCTATCCACTCATCCATCTATCCACCTACCAATCCATTCATTATCCATTCATTCCTGTCCATCCATCCATGTATCTACCTACCAATCCATTCATTATCCATCCACCTACCAATCCATTCATTATCCATCTACCCCATCCATCCATTCACCTACCAATTCTTACATTATCCATCCATCCCCATCCATCCATCCATCCACCCACTCATCCACCTATCAATTCATTTATTATCAATCCCTCCCCATCCATCCACCCACCCACTCATCCATTCATCATCCATCTATCCCCATCTACCCATCCACCTACCCATCCATCCATCCACCCATCCATCCATCCACCCACCCACCCACCTTTCAATTCATTCATTATCAATCCATCCCCATCCATCTACCCATCCACCCACTCATCCATTCATCATCTATTCCCATCCATCCATCCACTTACCCATCCATCCATTCACCCCATCTACCCATCCATCTATCCACCCCATCTACCCATCCATCCATCCACCCATCCACCTACCAATGCATTCATTATCCATCCATCCACCCACTCATCCACCCATCCATCCATCCACCCACCCATCCACTTACCAATTCATTCATTATCCATCCATCCCCATCCATCTATCCCCCCACTCATCCATCCATCCATTCATCATCCATCTATCTCCATCCATCCATCTGTCCCCACCCATCCACCTACCCATCTACCCACTCATCATCCATCTGCCTACCCATCCAGCCACCCATCCATTCTTCATCTGGATGGACAAATCTTCATTGAGCACCAATTCTGTGCTGGGCAACAGGAGACAGAGATGCAGGAAACACAATCTCTGCTCTCAGAGAACATGCTTTCCAGGGACAAGAAGACATGGACAGATGGACAGAAGCACCAGGTGAAGATGCTAGGACATGGCTGATCTGTGGTCCATATCCTGTTGGGGAAAACTGGGGGCCTGGGGACGTTGGTCTAATGAAGAGAAGACTTGGAGGAACTGGCATATGCTGCTGAGAATGTTTGGTGCCCACCATAATACCTGGGAGGGGGGAGGGAGGACAGAGGGGTGACCACAGTGAAAATGTGGAGGGATCAGTGGAGTGTAAGCCCAGCCATTGAAGGAATGTTTAGGTGAGGCACTGCAGAAGTCAGCTGGACACAATCAGGAGTGTAAGTGTTAAAGAAAGAGAAGAGAAACACAAAACGCAGCTTTGGGGCTGACATATCTCTGGCCGGAGGGGAGGTTATCTCGGGGCTGGCATGCCTCTGGTGAGGGAGGGGTTTGGAATGTTTCTGGTCTGAGATGTTATTTGTGGTTTTTGGTCATGCTGACCAGTGCTTGTCCAAGATGGCAATACTCCCGCTGCTGGTTGGCCACTCGGAATTGTCTTCGTGGAGAGAGAAGACTTTATGGTTATGGGCCACAATATCTAGGGTGTGGCCATGGGAGAGGAGGGCTGGGGTAGTTTTGAGGTCAAGACCATGAAAGGAGAGCAGGCCAGGGTTTTGCAGGGATCACCCCCTGGAAACGGAAATCACCAAAAGTTATAAGAAGAGGAGGAGTGCTGGAGAGCGATGCGGTCCTTGAGGGGCGAGCGGGTGTCCATCTCCAGTTACAGCACAGTCAAGGGGATGCTCAAAGTGTTGACAAAAAACAGTCAAACTCTGTAAAATATTTGAAGAGAGTTATTCTGAACCAAACCTGAGTGATCATGGCCCATGATGCAGCCCCCGGGAGGTCCTGAGAACATATGTCCAAGGTGGTCAGGGTGCAACTTCATTTTACACATTTTAGGGAGACATGAGACCTCAATCTAATACATTTAAGAAATAAATTGGTTCAGAAAAGCAAGAGAACTAGAAGGCGGGGGGTGGGTGAGGGGGGACTTCCAGGCTATAGGCAGATTTAAAAATTTTCTGGGTGACAATTTGTTGAGTTGATTTAAAGACCTGGGATCAATAGAAAGAAAATGTTTGGGTTAAGATAAAGGATTGTGGAAACCAAAGTTCTTATTTGCAGAGGAAGCCTTCAGGTGGCAGGCTTCAGAGAGAATAGACTGTAAAATATTTCTTATCAGACTAAAATGTGTTGATGTTAATGCTGGAGCGATAATCATGCAAGTCCGATCCCCACTTCCCATCATGGCCTGAACCAGTATTTCAGATTACATTATAAGAGTGCCCTGGCAGAGGAGGAGGTCCATTCAGATGGCTGGGGGGCCCTCAGAATTTTATTTTTGGTTTACAAAAAGTTTAGGATATGGGGGACGTTGCTCATGGCTGGTCAGGAGCTCGAGAGTGGAAGGGTTTGAGGGAACTGGGGATGGGGGGAAGGGGTCTGAGAAGGGGTTATACAGAGCTGTCTGGGGCAAGGGGTGGCCTGGGGGGACTCGAACTTTCCATACAGAGGGAGAAGCAGCATAATGAGCTTCATCCTGGGGTCTACAGTGGCAGACAGTGGGGAAAGCAGTGACAGGGAGTTTGCCAGCAGAGGAGGCAGCTTAGGGTGGTCTTACTCAAAGACCCTCCCTGAATGCTGGGAGCTGGGAAGGGGCTGGTTTTGCCCAAGCACATGGGGTCTCACTTGTCTTCAGGCAATGGTGGCTGCCTGAGGATAGCGGAGGCTCATTGCCCTAGGCCAAGTGGGAAAACTGCCTCACCCAGAAGGTCACACCCTCCCCCACAACCCAGTGCCTGATTGATGAGGGGAGGGAGAGGAGACACAAAATGGTCCTGGCCTCAAGGCAGGGACAGCCGTGATGTGCAGTGCTCCTGAACTCCCCTTCATCCAACCAGGCTGAAGCAGTCACAGCCTTGCTCAGCTCTCTGCACCGGCTCTCTACCCCCACTCTCCTTTCCTAGGAGCACCCCCTCCATAATCACCTCCACAGGAATTCCATCTCAGCTCTGCTTCCAGGAAACCTGACCCAAGACAGAGGTTGTTGCAAGGGCAGAGGCCACAGGCATCCACGCCAGCCTCTGTGTGTTCAGTCTGTGAGCGGCCCAGCGCTCCCCATGCACTCCTCCTTAAAGCCTACTCAACCCTGGGGTCTGCAGGCAAGTTCCTCGCGGGTGCCTTCCCTTGTCCTGGCTGCCGCTCTGCTTCCTTTGCAAGCTCCTTCTCGCACCCTTGCGCTGGCTCCCTCCAGAGGGCTCCATCCCCTGTCCACTGTGCCTTCGTGGGTGGTGCCCAGATCTCTGTCTCCTCTGCCCTGGACCCCTCTGCCCCTGACTGGCAGATCTATAGAGTTCAATGCCCCTAGAGGGCTCCACGTCCATCCCACAGGGACCCGGACTCTCATCTTCCTCCTGAGTGTGCTCTCCCCGGAGACCTGGCATTGGAATTCGCCCTGCCACCTTCTGGTCTCCCCAAGTGGAAACCTGGGCGTCAGTCTGGACGCTTGTCACCAAATTCTGTCCCTTCCACCTTCACATGGCCTCTCCATTTTCACCGCCTCGGTGTCTATCTCGTCCCGATCACCGTCGCCTCTCCTCTGGCGGAGAGCACCAGCATTCCCACTGGTCTCTGCTTTTCCTCAAACGCATCTCTGTGTAAATCTCCCCTCAGGATCACTCTGTGGCCCCCACTGCTCTGGGTGGAACCTTCTTTCCAGTGGTGTTTCAGTCCCCTGGGTCTGCCTCACTCCTCACCACCGTCTTGTGCTTCTGCACTGAGCTCCAGCCAGACCACCGGCCTGCAGCCACCTGGCGCTACCTGTTCCCGTGTGCTTCCTGCCTTTGCCTGGAGAGAATAACAATCTATAGTCCAAACTCAAGGACAAAAACAAACTGCTTTTTGGCTGTGGTGGCATGAAACCCCAATAAGTCAATGACAATGCTGCATGCTTCTGAAAGCTGGCCAGTCAGGGACAGCCCCACACTACAGAACAGGCCCAGGCAGCAAGAACCTTGTGCCCCTGAAGTCAGGCTGAACACTCTCACTTCTGAAAGCTGGACAATCCTCAATGCCAGGCTTCCCAAGAGACTTAATTTGTTTTGCTCTGAGAGATGGTCCTATAAGCACAGTTCCCCTTTGCTCTAGTAAGCAAGATACTCAGCTTCAGCACTGACCAGCCTCACAATCCGTCCTCACCAAGTGGAGGGCCCTCCCTCCGGGTTCCTCCACGGCCGTATCTGTCTCTGTTCATACACCTTCCCCTCAGCACTTAGAGACATGGGCTGGCATGGGGGGTGCTGGCGGCAGGGGTGAGAAATAAACTTTCAGCCCTAGATGAGGAGCCCAAGAGGAGAGCATGCCGTCACCTGGAGTCTCTGGTATGTGCCTGGCACCTGTACTGATTGCATTAACCACTGTGATTTTTTAAAAGATGTACTATTTTGAAATGTATAATACATATGGAGAAGTGTATGAAATATGTACAATTTAAAGATAAGGAAAAATGCATGCCTGTGTGCCCACCACCTAGTGAAGAAATACAACCTGGACACCACTTTGGAAGCCTGTCTGTGTTCACCCGTCGCATTCTCCCTCCTCCCCCAGCCCAGGTATCCTCCATCCTTTAGCCATCCCCTGACTTTCTTTAGTTTCATTGCCTGAAGTCTGAGCTACTAGGGAGGCTGAGGCAGGATAATTTCTTGAACCCAGGAGCAGAGGTTGCAGTGAGCCGAGATTGCCCCATTGCACTCCACCCTGGGTGACAGTGCGAGACTCCCTCAAAAAAAAAAAGTTTGTGGGACCAATTCCAATCGAGTCAAGGGGTCTCAATTGGCCAAGGCAGTCTCAAACTTCTGACCCAAAGTGATCTGCCTGGTTCGGCCTCCCAAAGTGCTGGGATTGTAGGCGTGAGCCACCATGCCCGGCCTCCCCTCCTTTTCATTCAGGGATTTTAAATGTTTTATTTGCTCCATCTGTTATGTATGATTGCCTTGACGATTTCAGCTTGAATTAAAATTACATATTTTTGCCTGTGTTTATTAATATTTAAACATATTAAAATAATACATGTTCATAATGAAAATGAAACATTACAAACAAATACACAGGAAAGGCAGTATTCCCCTTCCAGTTCCACTCTTGAAATAACCAGTTAACAAGATGATGAACATCTTTCCATGATGTTCTCCAAGATTCATATAATTATTTGCAATCATACAATGGCATATACAGCTCAGGTGCGGTGGCTCATGCAAGTAATCCCAGTACTTTGGGAGACTGAACTGGGTGGATCATTTGAGGTCAGGAGTTCAAGACTAGCCTGGCCAACATAGTGAATCCCCATCACTACAAAAAACACAAAAATTATCTGGGCGTGGTGGCAGACGCTTGTATTCCCAGCTACTTGGGAGGTGGAGGCATGAGAATCACTTGAACCTGGGAGATGAAGGTTACAAGGAGCCGAAATCGCATTACTTCACTCCCACCTGGGCGACAGAGTGAGATTCCATCTCAATAAATAAATAAATAAACAGAAAGAAAGAAAGAAAAAAAGATGAAAGAAACAAAGAAAAAAGGAAGAAAGAGAGAAAAAAAGACAGAGAAAGGAAGCAAGAAAGCAAGCAAGCAAGCAAGCAACCAAGCAAGCAAGCAACCAAGAAAGAAAGAAAGAAAGAAAAAAAAATAGAAAGAAAAAGAAGTCATGTGCTCAGGTTGCTAGGATCGATGGTAAGAACAAATCCTCTAGCGGTGAAAATGTAAGAAGGAAAAAGAAATTTCTGTTAGTCTTGTTTGTTGCACCCCAAGCTCTAAAAATACAGCCACATGTGTGATAAGTACTTAGTTAAGATGAAAAAGGCATTAAATTTGTGCATGGAAATCATAGACAGAAATGTGTTCTGATTGACAGCAATTGGGTCAATGATAGCATTGGATAGCCTTGGATAGCCAAGGTTCAGGCATCCACTGCGGGTCTTAGAACACATCTCCTGCAGATAAGGGAGGGCTACTATATAACGTTTCTTTCTTTTTTTCTTCAATTATAAAGCATTCTCCTTTTTCATATAACAATTTGCCATTGATATCACTTTAGGTATAAAGATATTAGGATATCTTTATAGTAGATAAAAAGCTAACTCATTATTTGTAAGAGTTAAAGTATCTTCCATTATATCAGCATATAAAATGCTAAAGTACTTTTGCCACCAAAAATAGTGCTTCTGTAAATATTCTTTTACTTATACCTTTATTAATTTTTACTTCTGCTGAAACAAATAGCGTGAGGAAACAAATGTATGTGTATAAAATGTAATATATGTATATATATTTAATATGTGTATATACACATACATACAATAACATACCCAAATTTTTGGTTGTTTTTTGAGGTGGAGTTTTGCTCCGTCACCCAGGTTGGAATGCAGTGGTGTGATTTCAGCTCACTGCAACCTCCACATCTTGGATTCAAGTGATTCTCCTGCCTCAGCCTCCTGAGTAGCTGGGAATACAGGCATCTGCCACCAAGTCCAGCTATCTTTGTCTTTTTGGTGGAGATGGGTTTTCACCATGTTGGCCAGGCTGCTCTCGAACTCCTGACCTCAAGTGGTCCACTGACCTTGCCCTCCCAAGGTGCTGGAATTACACTTGTGAGCCACCGCGCCTGGCCTAACATATACAATTTAATGTATATACAAATATAGGTTGGGTGCAGTGGCTCACTCCTGTAATCCTAGCACTTTGGGGAGCTGAGGTAGGGGATTCTTTGAACCCAGGAGTTTGAAACCAGCATGGGCATCATGGTGAAACCCTGTCTGTACAAAAAACACACAAATTAGTTGGGTGTGGTGGCACGTGCCTGTGCTCTCAGCTACTCAGGAGACTGAGGTGGGAGGATAGCTGGAGCCCAGGTGTTCGAGGCTGCAGTGAGTTGTGATCATGCCACTGCACTCCAGCATGGGTGACAGAGTGAGACCCTGTCTTAGACAAAAACAAATCAGACCAAATATAATGTTTATGCACTACACACTTGATTTCTTTCCAAAGGGTTATATAACACTAATTTCACCAGCAATATATGCGACTACTCATTTCCTACATACTCACTATCACTTGGGTGCAGTCAAGGAAACTTAGTAGGCCTGAATTGCCCAAACCTGGCATACTCCAAAGAATGGTGTGACTCTAGCCCGGCTCCTGGGAAATAACCTCTAAGTCCTTGGAATCTCCTGCCTATGTGGGAGTTAACAATGTGATTTATTGTGGGGACCTTGGACCATGCAGTGTCAGCTTGACCTTGGGAAGGGTGGAGACAGGAAACTAAGGTCATCCAAATGGGTGCTCTTGTCCATGAGACCAACCTCCAGTAAAACCCTCAACCCCAAGACTCAGGTAAGCTTCTTGTTGGGGAGTATTTTCTCTACTTTCTGCCACATATCGTTGGGTGAATTAAGCACTGTTCACATGATACCACTGGCAGAGGACAACTGGAAGCTTGTGCTTGGTTTCTCCTGGACTCTGCCCTATGCACCTTTTTCTGCTGCTGATTTTAATCTGTATCCTTTTGTTGTAATAAACTATAACTATGAGTATAACAGCTTGACTCAGTTTTGTGAGTCCTTCTAATCAATCACTGAACTTTTGGGACCCCAAAACACAATGTTGTTTCTTAATTGAATTTTCCATGTTATGTAAGAAACCTATGTGCATAATTGAAAATCCCACACTAAGAAAGAGCTCTCCATGCAGTCTACTCCCCACCCTGTTTCTCCAATAGTCCCAAGTCTACTTTCTGAATAATCAAATATTTAAATTTTCTAAACTATTTATAATCCATATATCTGAGTGCTTATCTCTGTTATATAATAGGTAGATCCTCCTCCTTCTGTTTTGTTTGTTTGTTTTTCTGAGACAGAGTCTTGCTATGTCACTCAGGCTGGAGTGCAGTGGCACAATCTTGGCTCACTGCAAGCTCCACCTCCCGGGTTCACTCCATTCTGCTGCCTCAGCCTCCCCAGCAGCTGGGACTACAGGCACCCACCGCCAGGCCTGGCTAATTTTTTTTTTTTTTTTTTTAGTAGAGACGGGGTTTCACCGTGTTAGCCAGGATGGTCTTGATCTCCTGACCTCGTGATCCGCCTGCCTCGGCCTCCCAAAGTGCTGGGATTACAGACATGAGCCACCGTGCCCGGCCCCTCCTTCTTAATGTATCAACTTGATATATTACCTGATGGCTTCGTGTTCTGATAGCTGATGACTTGGCTGACACTCACCCCTTACCACAGTGCCTGAACCACTTTCCTTATATGGTGCTCTCACTATTTTCTTTTTCTTTTCTTTTCTTCTTCTTTTTTTTTTTTTTTTTTTTTGAGACAGAGTCTTGCTCTGCCACCCAGGCTAGAGTGCAGTGGTGCAATCTCAGCTCACTGCAACCTCCACCTCCCAGGTTCAAGTGATTCTGCTGCCTCAGCCTCATGAGTAGCTGGGATTACAGGCATGAGCCACCATGCCCAGCTAATTTTTGTATTTTTAGTAGCAGCGGGGTTTCGCCATCTTGGCCAGGCTGGTCTCAAACTCCTGATCTTGTGATCCACCCACCTTGGCCTCCAAAAGTGTTGGGATTACAGGTGTGAGCCACCGACCCGGCCACTCTCACTATTTTCAATGGCTCTGTTGGTTACTATTCACAACATTCAACAATTAGACTTATACCTCATTTATTTATTTATTTTTAATTTTTTCTGTTTTTAGGTTTAAGGGATACATGTGCAGGCTTGTTACACGGGTAAATTGCATGCCACTGGAGTTTGGTGTACAAATGATGTTGTCACCCAGGTAGTAACCAGAGTACCCAATAGTTTTTTGACCCATAGCCTCATGCCATCCTCCCCACTCAAGCAGACCCTGGTGTCTATTGATCCCATCTGTGTGTCCATGTGTACTCAATGTTTAGCTCCCACTTATAAGTGAGACCATGGGTATTTGGTTACCTGATGCTGCATTAATTTGTTTAGGATAATGGACTCCAGCTGCATCCATGTTGCTTCAAGGGACATGGTTTCTTTCTCTACGGCTATGTAGTATTCCATGGTGTATAATTACCACATTTTCGTTATCCAATCCACTGCTGATGGGCATCATATATGCCACTTCAAACTATACTACTAGGCTACAGTAACCAAAATAGCATAGTAGTGGTACAAATACAGCACATAGACCAATGGAATAGGTTAGAAAACCCAGAAATAAATTCACACACCTATAACCATGTGATCTTTGACATAGTCAACAAAAGTGAGCAATGAAGAAAGGACTCCCTATTCAACAAATGATTCTGGGATAACTGGCTACCCACATGCAGAAGACTGAGTGTGGGCCCCCTACCTTTCACCATATACAAAAATTAACTCCAAATGGATTAAGGATTTAAATATAAGACCTCAAACTATAAAAATCCTGGAAGACAACCTAGGAAACACTCTTCTCAACATCGGCCTTGGCAAATAATTTTTAGCTAAGATTCCAAAAAAGCAATTGCAGCAAAAACAAAAGTAGACAAGTGGTACCTAATTAAGCCAGAAGCTGGGAGGCCAGGTTGGGCAGATCACAAGGTCAGGAGTTTGAGACCAGCCTGACCAACATGGTGAAACCCTGTCTCTAATAAAAATACAAAAATTAGGTGGTGGTGGCACACACCTGTAATCCCAGCTATTCAGGAGGCTGAGGCAGGAGAATTGCTTGAACCTAGGAGGCAGAGGTTGCAGTGAGCTGAGATCGCACCACTGCACTCCAGCCTGGGTGACAGAGCAAGACTGCCTCAAAAAAAAAAAAAATTAAAGTAAAATAAAAGCATAAACACAACAAGACAAACTATCAACAGAGTAAACAAACTACAGAATGGGAGAAGATACTCACAAACGATGTATCCAGCAAAGGCCTAATAATATCCAGAATCTATAGACAACATAAACAAATGGATCCCTTACTCTGTAGCAAGTTCTGTATGCATAAGCCTCTCTTTGTTCTTATTTTGGTGGCCTCTGTTTATTTACACAAAGAGAAATAACTGCTATTCCCATAAATCATGGCTTTCAAAATGGTCACAGTTCACTGGGCATGCTTGCTCATGCCTGTAATTCTACCACTTTGAGAGACCGAGGCGGGCAGATCACGAGGTCAGGAGATCGAGGCCATCCTGGCCAACCCAGTGAAACCCCATCTCTACCAAAAATACAAAAAAAAAAAAAAGCCGTGATTGGTGGCATGCGCCTATAATCCCAGCTACTCAGGAGGCTGAGGCAGGAGAATCACCTGAATCCAGGAGGCAGAGGTTGCAGTGAGCCGAGATCATGCCACTGCACTCCAGCCTGGATGACAGAGTAAGACGGTCTCAAAAAACCCAAACTGGTCAGGCTCGGTGGCTCACGCCTGTAATCCCAGCACTTTTGGAGGCTGAGGCAGGTGGATCACAAGGTCAAGAATTCAACACCAGCCTGGCCAAGATGGCTTATCCCCAACTCTACTAAAAAATACAAAAATTATCCAGGCACGGTGGCAGGTACCTGTGATCCTAGCTACTTGGGAGGCTGAGGCAGGAGAATCGCTTCAACCCAGGAGGCAGAGGTTGCAGTGAGCTGAGATCTCACCACTGCACTCCAGCCTGGGCAATAGAGTGAGAATCTGTCTCAAAAAAAAAAAAAATGGGGAAACTCCATCTCTACTAAAAATACAAAATTAGCCAGGCATGGTGGCACATGCCTGTAATCCCAGCTACTTGGGAGGCTGAGGCAAGAGAATTGCTTGAACCTGGGAGGCAGAGGTTTTGGGGAGGTGGAGGTTGAGGTGAGCCAAGATCGTGGCATTGCACTGCAGCCTGGGCAACAAGAGTAAAACTCTCTCTAACAAACAAACAAACAAACAAACAAACAAACAAAACAAAACAAAGAAAAATACACACAACTTATTTCCTGGTTTGTGATAATCTGTGAAATATATTTTGAAATGAATTGGAATTCAATACAGTACTATTCACACCCCAAATACTCCTAATATTTCCTTTCCCAGATGATGACCTGGTACTCTTCCTAGGGCTTGACTTCTCCCTACAGGTCCCCAGTACAAGTATTTGTGATTCTGAGTCAATTCATTGTCTACATGTGTGACAATGCAATGCTCTTGTTGTAGAGTACCAAGATGAGGCAGGTCCAAACTGCACATTTGTAGAGAACATAGTATATGTGCAATTGAACATGTATGTGGTTGTGATACTGAAAACAATACGAACTTATGCCAGGTGCAATGGCTGATGCCTGTAATCTTAGCAATTTGGGAGGCCGAGGCATGGAGATCACCTGAGGTCAGGAGTTTGAGAGCAGCCTGGCCAACCTGCTGAAACCCCGTCTCTACTAAAAGTACAAAAAATTAGCTGGGCATGGTGGCAGGCACCTGTAATTCCACCTACTCGGGAGGCTGAGGCGGGAGAATCGCTTGAACCCAGGAGATGGAGGTTGCAATGAGCCAAGATCACACCACTGCATTCCAGCCTGGGTGACAAGAGTAAAACTGCGTCAAGAAAAAAAAAAAAAAATTGGCCTTGGGCGTTTCTTTAGGTTGGCTCCTGTGTTCTATTTATAGCATGCCTTTATCAGGGGGTTGGGGTGTGGGACTAATTACCAACTTTCTGGCACATAAAGTGTTTTGATTCATCTGGTATTTTCCCTGACCCAGACGTGGAATAAACCATTTATTTAAAGATCCTTGGCTTCTTTCATTGAAAAGTATTATTTACAAAGCACCAAAATCTTGGGCTGGGTGAGGTGGCTCAGGTCTGTAATCTCAACACTTTGGGAGGCTGAGGCAGGAGGATCCCTTGAGGCCAAGAGTTTGAGACAAGCTTGGGCAATGCAGTGAGACCCCCATCTCTATTTTTAAAAACCAAACACAAACAAAATCGCCAAGATCGGGGTGACACGTGTGCTCATTGCTATGGGTGTGTCATTGCTTCTAGGCCCTCTTAGTGGGCAGAACTAGGAAATATATTGTACGTATACTAACACACATGCCACATGCCTAATTTGTATATTTATTTAGCCTTACTGGAAGCATTCTTTTTTTTTTTGAGACAGGGTCTCACTCTGTCACCTAGGCTGGAGAGCAGTGGCATAATCTCAGCTCAATGCAACCTCCACCTCCCAGGTTCAAGTGATTCTCCTGCCTCAACCTCCTGAGTAGTTGGCACTACAGGTGCGTGCCACCATGCCTGGTTAATTTTTGTATTTTTAGTAGAGACGGGGTTTCACCATGTTGGCCAGGCTTGTCTGGAACTCCTGACCTCAGTGGATCTGCCCGCCTTGGCCTCCCAAAGTGCTGGAATTACAGGCATGAGCCTCTGTGCCTGGCCAAGCATTTTTGATGGGAGTGATATTGCCCCTAAGAGGGTGAACATTGGTTATTGAAGGTAAAATGAATTATAGTTGTTGCAATGGTTTGTGGCCTTCCACAATTTTTTTTTTTTTTTTCGGAGAGGGAGCCTCACTCTGTCACCCAAGCTGGAGTGCA
This sequence comes from Homo sapiens, assembly GCF_000001405.40. Lineage (NCBI taxonomy): Eukaryota > Metazoa > Chordata > Mammalia > Primates > Hominidae > Homo > Homo sapiens. The sequence goes on along the minus strand of NC_000009.12, from coordinate 41,745,612 downwards.
GTGGTGCAATCTCTGCTCACTGCAACCTCTGCCTCCTGGGTTCAAGCGATTCTCCTGCCTCAGTCTCCCAAGTAGCTGGGATTACTGGCACACACTACCACGGTCAGCTAATTTTTGTATTTTTTGTAGAGACGGAGTTTCACCATGTTGGCCAGGCTGGTCTAGAACTACTGATCTCAAGTGATCTGCCTGCCTCGGCCTCCCAAAATGCTGGAATTACAAGTATAAGCCACCATCCCTGGCCTATTGCACAAAATTTTACACCTTGGTATTTAATTTCTCTCAAATATGATGGGCAGCATTAATCATTTTATGGAAGATAAAAAAATCCAAGCAAGATCAGGCCATGCACGGTGGCTCACACCTGTAATCTCAGCACTTTGAGAGGCCAAGGAAGGTGGATCACTGAAATTCAGGAGTTCAAACCAGCCTGGCCAACATAGTAAAACCCTGTGTCAACTAAAAATACAAAACAATTACCCAGAAGTGGTGGCACCTGCCTGTAATCCCAGCTACATGGGAGGCTGAAGCACGAAAATCGCTTGAACCCAGGAGGCAGAGGTTGCAGTGAGTGGATCGTGCCACCGCCCTTCATCCTGCGTGACAGAGCGAGCCTCCACCTCAAAAAAAAAAAAAAAATCTTTGCAAGATCAGTGCTACAAAATGATGGCAAATTGATGGCTATACCTGGAAGACTTTTTCTTGATTGAATGCTCTATCCCAAAGTTATATGAGAGGTGGTCTGTGTGTGTCTGTCTATTGGCTGCCTTGTGGATAGTATTTATGATTGATCCTCAGTGCTTTGGGAATTATGTAAAATAGTTTATATTATGAAAGTAATTCAACCTAGCATTAATTGTGTTAAGTGTTGAAAATGAAAAGTGTTGACTACATCGGAATGAATGAATATCTGGCCAACTGGTTTTGTTTTTTTGTTTGTTTGTTTTTGTTTTTAGAGATGGAGACTCACTCTGTTGCCCAGGCTGGAATGCAGACATGATCTTGGCTCACTGCAACCTCCACCTCCTGGGTTCTAGCAAGTCTCCTGTCTCAGCCTCCCGTGTAGCAGGGACTACAGGTACTTGCCCCCACACCCAGGTAATTTTTTGTATTTTAGTAAAGACGGGGTTTCACCCTGTTGCCCAGGCTGGTCTTGAAATCCTGAGTTCAGGCAATCCACCCACCTCAGCCTCCCAAAGTGCTAGGATTACAGGTGTGAGCCACCGCGCCCAGCCTAGCTTACAGTTTTATTGAAAACCCCATTTAACTCAAAACAGCTTTTTTCTTATAAATAATAGTTTTTGTTTGTTTTTTGTTTGTTTTTACAAACGGCTATGAAATCAAGATTTGTGGATCATCAATAAAAGAAACATCCTGATAAAGTCGAGAAACAGAATATTTAAAAAGTTTAAAATAGAATTTTGAACTGTAACACTGTTACTTCTTATTTAAGAAGGACAAGCCGTGGGGTGAGGTGGCTCACACCTGTAATCCCAACACTTTGGGAGGCCGAGGTGGGTGTATCACATGAGCCCAGGAGTTGGAGACCAGCCTGGGTAATATGGTGAAATCTTGTCTCCACTAAAAACACAAAAACTAGCCTGGCATGCTGTGTGCACCTGTAATTCCAGGTACTCAGGAGGCTGAGGCAGGAGACTCGCTTCAACCTGAGAGGTGGAGGATGCAGTGAGCCGAGATTGCAGCACCATGCTCCAGCCTGGACTATAGAGCAACACTCGGTATAAAAAAAAAAAAAAAAGGATAAGCAAACAAATTATGGTGAAATAATTGCCTTATAAAATTGCAGAAATAGGCCAGGCGTGGTGACTCATGCCTGTAATCCCAGCAATTTGGGAGGCCGAGGCAGGCGCATCACCTGAGGTCGGGAGTTTGAGACCGGTCTGGCCAACATGGTGAAACCCCGTCTCTACTAAAAATACAAAGTTAGCCGGGCGTGGTGGCACACGCCTGTAATCCCAGCTACTCGGGAGGCTGAGGCAGAAGAATCACTTGAGTCCCGGAGACGGAGCTTGCAGTGAGGTGAGATCATGCCACTGCACTCCAGCCTGGCTAACACAGCGAGACTCTGTCTCAAAAAAAAAAAAAAAAAGAAAAAAAGAAAAGATTACAGAAATCATTGTAAAACCCCATAGTGCTTTGTACTTGCTGAAACTGTCACAAGACTCACATGAGAGACGGTAACTTCAATAGTGATGTAACACATTACCACTATTTCACAATCACTCCTATTGAGCAATAATTCAATTCAAAGATGCATTAATGAGATGTCAGGTAATACCAAAGAGTAGCTGATTAATCAAGTAAGTTTCCTATTCAGATCAATGAAATCAGTTACTGAGAGTAAGGCCTGACAATAGGACATGTTTGTTATTTCAATAATGACTGCAAACTAAAAGAAGAGATATTGTTTGTAAAATCTTTAGACGCTGACCATACCAGAGTATCTATTCTTGCTGCTATAAAAACTTGGTTTGGGGCTGGGTGCAGTGGCTCACGCCTGAAATCTCAGCACTATCATTTTCTCATATGAATCGGAAAATGCTGACTTCTACATCCTAAATCTAAACTAATTTCCCACTCACTTGCTAAGCTTCAGTCACACCACGCTGCTTTCTGTTTCCGGAACGCTCCAAGCGCTCTCTGATTTTTCAGGGTCTTCAGTGTAACTGTGCCTCTGCTTGGAATACCCTTCCACACTGCTGGCTCCTCACCACCAAAGCTCGAGGGTTATCTCAGACACCCGTCCTATCAATGCTACGGGAAGTATCCCTCAAGTTACTGCCTATACCACCTATTGATATATTTCATAGTATTTATCACAATATAAAATTACTTCATCTTCCCCTTTTAATTTAAAATCTTTTTTTTTCTCCAGACTAGAATGTAAACCTCATGTGGGCAGCAGACATGTCTGCTTACTTATTTTTTGAGACGGAGTCTCGCTCTGTCACCCAGGCTGGAGTGCAACGGCGCGATCCCGGCTCACTGCAACCTCCACCTCCCGGGTTCAAGCGATTCTGCTGCCCCAGCCTTCCAAGAAGCTGAGATTACAGGCGCCCACCAGGCCCGGCTAATTTTTGTATTTTTAGTAGGGGAGCAGTCGGGCTCTGGACTACATTTCCCGGAGGATTCTGCGGGCCAATACCATGTCTCGCGAGATTTTGGCTTCCTCTTAGCCAGGTGGCAGAATCTTTCGCTGTGCCCAATTAGCTGCTGCCACGCCTTGGAGTCCGGAGTAACTTGGCCAGGCCGGCCCCGAGCGGAACTAGAGAAAGCTGAGGATGAGGAATCCGGCTCTGGTCCTTTTGTGTGTGGAGGGCTGAGGAGAGGAGTTTGCGTGTGTGATTGCGATGGTTGCCGTGGGTCTTCGTGGTCTGTGACTGTGGCTGTGTGGTGCTGACTCTGGGTGATCAGGTGGGCGCTTGTGACTGTGCGCGCTCGGAGTGGATGTGTGTGTCCTGGACGAGCCGCGTTGTGTGTGCGGATGTGGACAACTGGTGACTGTGTAGTGGGGGCTGCGTGTCCCAGGGTGGGTGTGTGACTTTGCGTGTGTGTGCAGTACTGTGTGTGCATGAGTTGCAGGTCTGTGGCTGTGCAGGTGCAACTTGTGTGGCCCCGTGGTCTGTGTGAGAGAGGAGAGTGTGATTGGCTGTGAGGCAGAGGGTAAGTGGATATAGGGAGGCATGTGTGCGATTGGAAATTTGTGTGTCCCCTTGAGAGAAAAAACCCTTTAGGGAGTTAGAGCGGGTCCTTGGTAAAACTCCTTTCAACAGAGAAACAGCCTGAAAAATCAGGCTGCAGGCACAGAGAAGGAAAACTAGCAAAGGGGGTTGTCCTAAAGACATTCCTCAGCTGCATTGATAAGGGACCGAGGCCCAACATAGAAATGCCTTTGTCCTTTGTGTGACCAGCGGGCTTCCAGGAAATAGTCGCTTTTTTGTGGGCATGTATATGGTGGGCTCTGTTAGATTTTGAAGGGAAGGTGAAGGTTAAAGAAAGAGAGAGAGTTGGCGGCTCTATGGAGGGGACCAACTAAATGCCAGAGCCCACTGCCGCTTACAGGCTGGAGTAATTATAGGCCTGGGCAGGAGGGATCTGGGCAGTATAGCTTGTTGCCTGGGAGAATGTTGATAAGGATGTTTCTTGGGCCTTTCCCCAGCAGGATGTGATAAGGAAGTCAGGCGGTTGGGGAGGATGTTTCTCGCAGCCCAAACCCCAGTGGACTGTTTCCCTCTGACCAGAGTCTGTGAAATGGTGGGGGCTTACAAATCGGTGCAGCTTGGACTAACAGGCTCTGGTGACCACTTTCCTTTTCTGGACATGCTTTGGACTGTGAGCCGAGCCTCTATGAATCATCACTTCAGCCCCTGATTGGTCCTGGGCCAAACTTTCACTTCAGCCCCTGATTGGTCTTGGGCCAAAATTTCACTTCAGCCTCTGGTTGGTCCCAAGCTAAGGTCCCGGGCCAAGGGAAGTTGTGCTTTCTCCGAGACAGCTCACAGACTAGTGAGCACATTCTTCCCCTTCCCAGTTCACAAAACCCCCAGATTCAGCCTCCTAGTTGGCAACCCTCTTTCGGGTCCCCTCTCCGCTGGGGAGAGCTTTCTTCTTTTGCATATTAAACTTCTGTTCCAACCTCATCCTTTGTGTCCACGTTCCTTAACATTCTTGGCTGTGAGGGAAAGAAGGCAAAGACAAGAGCCTTTATCCTAACAACTCAATTGCTGGAGAGAAGATTCATGCATATTCTATGTGGCATCACATGCCATAGCCCTGGGATTGAAAGCCATGCAATTTAAGGGATGGTGTTAATCTCAGTCCAAATAGGTAATAAGATCTTGCACTTTGCTATATTTTAGGGGTAGGAATGAGATTGGGGGTTTGATCAATAATTTGTACCCATAGGACCAGTGATTTGCCCAGTCATCTGTGAGTAAATGCTTGGGCCAGTTTCCATGTCTGTATTGAATTAAAAACTCATACGGTTCTGTGATTTTTGTCAAATACAGATTTGGTCTTTGTCCCTATTTCCTGGTATACAACTCCTAAAATCCTTGGAATGTCCTAAGGGCTTGCTTTTTTTTTTTTTTTTTTTTTTTTTTTGAAACAGAGTCTTGCTCTGTAACCCAGGCTGCAGTGCAGTGGCGCAATCTCCACTCACTGCAACCTCTGCCTCCTGGGTTCAAGCAATTCTTCTGCCTCAGCCTCCCAAGTAGACTACAGGCATGTGCCACCATGGCCGGCTAATTTTTGTCTTTGTTTTCTTTTTTAGTAGAGATGGGGTTTCACCATATTGGCCAGTCTGGTCTCGAACTCCTGACCTCAAGTGATCTGCCTGCCTCGGGCTCCCAAAGTGTTGGGATTACAGGCATGAGCCACTGCACCCAGACTTTGGCTTTTTATATGTTAGGGATTGACCGATAGCTTCAGGATGTGGGCTGGTCATCAGAAAGACCAAGGCAGGATTAGAGGGCTGGGACTTTCAGCCCCTACCCTCCCACCCCTGGGGAGTGGAGGGGACTGAGGATTAAGCTGATGACAAGTGGCTAATGGTTTAATCAATCATGCCTATGTAATGAGGCCACCTTACAAACCCAAAAGGAGTGGATTCGGAGAGCTTCCAGAGAGCTGAACACATGGAGGTTCCTGGAGGGTCGTGCCCAGGGAGGGGATGGAATCTCTGTGCCCCTTCCCCCATACCTCACGCTAGGCATCTCTTCATCTATATCCTTTGGAATATCCTTGTAATCAAACAGTAAATGTGTTTCCCTGAGGTTTGTGAGCCATTTTATTCTAGCAAATTAATCAAACCCAAAGAGGGGGTCGTAGGAACCCCAAATTAAATCTGTCAGTCAGAAGTTCCAGAGGCTGGGACTTGTGACTGGTGTCTGAAAGGGGGGCAGTTTTGGGGGCTGAGCTCTCAATCGGTGGGGTGACACTATCTCATGGTAGATAGTGTCAGAATCGAATTGGTGGATACCCAGCTGGTGTCTGCTGCAGAACTGATTCCTTGCTTGCTGATAGGAAGAAATCTCATATTTTGAGGCCACAGAAGTCTTCTGGGTAGACTGTTGTGGTTTTGGTGTGAAGCAGAGGAAGAACACAGGTTGAGTTTTTTCCAAATGGGTTCACATTGGGGGTCCTCAACCTCAAATCCATCAACTCCATCACTGAATTTTTATTTATGTATTTATTTTTATTTTTGAGGTAGAGTCTCACTCTCTCTCCCAGGCTGGAGTGCAGTGGTACCATCTCAGCTCATTGCAGCCTTCATCTCCGATGCTCAAGTGATCCTTCTACCTCAGCCTGCCAAATAAGCTGAAACCAGAGGCACACACTAGCACTGTGGCATAATTAAAAATAATTTTCAGTAGATAAGAAGACTCACTATGTTATCTGGGCTGGTCTTGAACTCCTGAGTTCAAGTGATCCTCCCACCTCTGCCTCCAAAGTTCTATGATTACAGGCATGAGCTGTCTCACCTATCACTGATTTTCTTTTTCTTTTTTTCTTTTTCTTTCTTTCTTTCTTTCTTTCTTTTTTTTTTTTTTTTTTTTTTTTGACAGAGTCTCACTCTGCCTTGCCCAGGCTGAACTGCAGTGGTGCAATCTCGGCTCACTGCAGCCTCTGCCTCCCGGGTTCAAGTGATTCTCCTGTCTCAGCCTCCTGAATAGTTGGGATTAGAGGTGCCCACCACCACACCTGAGCAATTTTTGTATTTTTAGTAGAGACAGGGTTTCACCATATTGGCCAGGCTGGTCACGAACTCCTGATCTCAGGCGATCCACATGCCTTGGCCTCCAAAAGTGCAGTGGCAGGATCAGGGCATACTGCAGCCTTGACCTCCGGGGCTGAAGGGATCCTCCCTCCTCAGCCTCCCAAGTAGCTGGATTATAGGCATATGGCACCATGCCAGGCTAATATTTGTAATTTTTGCACAGATGGGGTTTTGCCATGTTGCCCAGTCTGGTCTTGAACTCCTGAGCTCCAACTATCTTCCCAGCTGAGCCTCCCAAAGTGCTGGGATTACAGGGAAGAGCCACTGCACCCGGCCTATCACTGCATTTTTAAAGGGAAGGAGGACTATAGTGAGATTCACTAAGGCTTACAGAAAAGGTAGAACCCTAGATAGATTTAAACACAGAGATTATAATATCCTTGAGATGATAATATCCAAATTTAGCTTTCATAGATAGGGAAATTTGAAGTACTTCAGACTACAAGGTGGCATTTTGTGCAACTAGTTAAAACTATGTTTGAAAGAGAGCAATTGCATTTTCATTACTGAATAATATTAAGCAACAATGAAAATAAATAGAAATAACCAAGAAATTGTTATATTTAAATCCTCCCTCCTTTTTTGGAAAGAGAAGTATTGATATTTTTAGATTCTAATCAAAACTTCTCCTTTAAAAAAATTGATGATTCTGTGGAGATAGGGAGGGAATAACCTGTGTTTGTTGAACACCTAATATTCCACTTACCCAAATGTCATTTATTCTATATTCTAGTTTTTTTGTTGAGACAGGGTCTTTCTTGCTCTGTTACCCATCCTAGAGTGCAGTGGGGTTGTCACAGCTCACAGATGTATACCACCATGCCTGGCTTATTATTTTATTTTATTTCATTTTATTTTATTTATTTTATTTTATTTTATTTTATTTTGTTTATTTTATTTTATTTTATTTTATTTATTTTATTATTTTATTTTATTTTATTTTATTTTATTTTATTTTATTTTATTTTATTTTATTTTATTTTTGCAGAGACTATGTCTCCCTATATTTCCCAGGCTTGACTTGAACTTCTGGGCTCAAGCGATCCTCCTGCCTTGGCATCCCAAAATGCTGGGATTATAGGCATAAGCCACTGTACTCAGGCAATATTAAAGTCTTGATATTAGAAGTGTCTCAGTGTACTGGAAAGCTTTGTCTAAATTTTGAAAAAATATTAAAAAACACATTGGTTTTATTTGGCCAATACTGATTTCTTTGCTCCATCATTATTTATTGGCATTATTAGCCTGTTGACTTTCAATTTCTTTACATCCCTTTCACTCCATTTCTTTTATTTTGTCCCCCAAATAGAAATTCTTTTTTTTTTTTTTAGATGGATTCTCGCTCTTGGCTCTTGTGACCCAGGCTGGAGTGCAGTGGTGCAGTCTCATCACTGTAATCTTCATCTTCCAGGTTCAGGCAATTCTCCTGCCTCAGCCTCCACAGTAGCCTAGATTACAGGCATGCGCCACTACACCCCGCTAATTTTTTGTATTCTTTCTTTTTTTTTTCTTTGAGATGCAGTTTCGCTCTTGTTGCCCAGGCTGGAGTACAATGGCATGAACTCTGCTCACTGCAAATTCTACCTCCCAGGTTCAAGCGATTCTCCTGCTTCAACCTCCCAAGTAGCTGGGATTAGAGAGTGATCCACCACACCCGACTAATTTTTGTATTTTTAGTAGAGACAGGGATTTGCCATGTTGGACAGGCTGGTCTGGAACACCTGATCTCAAGTCATCTGACTGTCTTGGCCTCCCAAAGTGCTGGGATTACAGGCATGAGCCACTGTGCCCGGCTTTTTTGTATTTTTATATTTATTTATATTTTGATAGAGAGTCTCACTCTGTTGCCCAGGCTGGAGTGCAGTGACACAGTCTTGGCTCACTGCAACCTCTGCCTCCCAGACTGAAGTGATTCTCCTGCCTCTGCCTCCCGAGTAGCTGGTATTACAGGCACCTGCCACCACGCCTGGCTACCTTTTGTATTTTAGTTAGAGACAGGGTTTCACCATGTTGGCCAGGCTGGTCTTGAACTCCTGACCTCAGGTGATCTGCCCACCTTGGCCTCCCAAAGTGGCCTTGCTTGACGCCAGGAGTTTGAGGCCAGCCTGGCCAACATGGTGAAACCTGCTCTCTACCAAAAATACCAAAAAAAATTAGCCGGGTATGGTGGTGTGTGCCTGTATTCCAAGCTACTTTGATGGCTGAGTCACAAAAATCACTTGAACCCAGGAGGCAGAGGTTGCAGTGAGCTGTGATCACCTCACTGCTCTGTAGCCTGGGTAACAGATTGAGACTTGTCTCAAAAAAAAAAAAAAATTCTTGGCAGGACATGGTGGCTCACACCTGTAATCCCAGCACTTTGGGAGGCCAAGGTGGGTTGATCCCCTGAGGTCAGGAGTTTGAGACCAGCCTGACTAACATGGAGAAACTCCATCTCTCCTAAAAATACAAAATTAGCTGGGCGTGGTGGTGCGTGCCTTTAATCCCAGCTACTCGGGAGTATGAGGCAGGAGAATCACATGAACCCAGGAGGCAGAGGTTGCAGTGAGCCGAGATCACACCACTGCACTCCAGCCTGGGCAACAAGAGTGAAACTCCATCTCAAAAAAAGAAAAAAAATCTTTACTTTGGATGAATACTTAGAAATGGAATTTCCAGGTCGGCCTTTAGATATTATTAATGGATTTAATATGAAAAACCTTTACTTGAGGATGTATAAAGCTTTAAAAGACAGGGTCCCTGCTCTTAAGCTATAAATAAAGCAGCATTTGTAAGGTAATATTCAGAAAACATCAGATAATATCCTATAAAGTCCTCCTGTTCATGCTGATGACATTAAATGGCCAGTTAAGGACGACACTTCATTCTTTCCCCTGCAACCACGGTCCTGACATGTCTAAATGATACTGGCCCTATGAGAACACTGTGGATGTGAAATCATTTCCTCAAGTTATCTTTTTGGCCTGCTGGTTTTAATCTAATAATGGGATATCCAAAGTGAATCTAACGGAGTGACATGATTGTGCATTTGTTGGGGTGAATCAGAGACAGCTAGAGCAAGGGCAGACACGTGCTAAATTCATCTGTCTTAAGAGCTGAAGCAAGCAGCAGTGTTGCTAGCAGAGCTACTGCACATCTGTACACGTGGCTCCAATGGCTCTGACCTGTTTTTTTCCTAGTATGAACCTAATACACGAGACAAGTTAAAAAATCAGACTTGGCCAGGCATGGTGGCTCATGCCTGTAATCCTAGTACTTTGGGAGCCAATGTGGGCGGATCACTTGAGGCCACGATTTCGAGACCAGCCTCGGCAACACAGTGAAACCCCATCTCTACTAAAAATACAAAAATTAGGTGGGTGTGGTGGCAGGCACCTGTAATCCCAGCTATGGGAAGCTGAGGTTGCAGTGAGCCAAAATCAGGCCACTGCACTTCAGCCTGGTTGACAGAGCAAGGCTGTCTCAAGAAAAAAAAAAAAAGGGAAAGGAAAGGAAGGAAAATCACAGCTTGTTAGCCACTTGCAGCTAAACACATATGCACAAAAATTATTCAGTAAAAGCAAAACAGTTTTGGTGTAACTTGAGATTTTGTTTTATATCCAAAGGAAGACTATATCTTTCATCTTTGAACTAGTCTTTGGAAAATGCCTTCTATATAACAAATGTTATAGTTTTCTTCTAATTGGGTCTTGAGGTCTCTCAGGAGAATGGCTATAAACTCTACCTCACTCTAATGGGGCTCTAGGGGAGGGGCCTGTGGGTCTTTAGAGTAGCCTTTCACCAGAAATTTCTTTTTGCTGGACCACAGCCTAATGCTCAAGTATCTGACCCATGACCAGGTGTCTCACAGGAAACTTGTTTATACTAGCAGATGGCCTTGTAACTTTTGTCTGACCTGTGTGCAGTTTATTCCTACCATGATACCCACTCTTTTTTTTTTTTTTTTTTGAGACGCAGTCTTGATCTGTTACCAGGCTGGAGTGCAGTGGCACGACCTTGGCTCACTGCAATCTCCACCATCTGGGTTCAAGCAATTCCCCTGCCTCAGCCTCCCAAGCAGCTGGGACTACAGGCGTGCACCACCATGCCCAGCTAATTTTTGTATTTTTAATAGAGTCAGAGTTTCACCATGTAGTCCAGGATGGTTTTGATCCCTTGACCTCATGATCTGTCCTACTCAGCCTCCCAAAGTTCTGGGATTACAGGCATGAGCCACCACACCTGGCCTTTTTTTTTTTTTTTTTTTTTGAGACAGGATCTTGCTCTGGTGCCTAGGCTGGAGTGCAGTGGCAGGATCAGAGCTCACCACAGCCTTAACCTCCTAGGCTCAAGCAATCCTCCCACCTCAGCCTCCCAAGTAGCTGGGACTAGAGGCATGTCCCACTACATCTGGCTAATTTGTATATGACATATGTTTTTGTAGAGGTAGGGTTTTGCCATGTTGCCCAGGTTGATCTTGAACTCCTGAGCTGAAGCAATTCACCTGCCTTGGCCTCCCAAAGTGCTTTGATTACAGGTGTGGGTTACCACACCCAGCCAATGTACATTTAATTATCAAAGTACTATCTATACTATTTTATGGAAGTACTAATTATCAAAGTGCAATAGAGGTTTTGTTGTTGTTGTTTTTCTTTTGAGACAGAGTTTCACTCTTATTGCCCAGGCTGGAGTGCAGTGGTACAATCTCGGCTCACTGCAACCTCCACCTCCCAGGTTCAAGTGATTCTCCTGTCTCAGCCTCCCAAGTAGCTGGGATTACAGACATGTGCCACCACACCCAGCTAATTTTATATTTTTAGTAGAGACTAAAATGGTCTCTCCATGTTGGTCAGTCTGGTCTCGAACTCCTGACCTCAGGCGATCCATCTGCCTTGGCCTACCAAAGTGCTGGGTTTGCAGGTGTGAGCCACTGTGCCCGGCCAATAGAGGTTTTCAAACTTTTTGTAGATATTTTTGAAAGATACAGTCTTCCTTTAAGAAAAGAGACAAGGCTGGGTGTGGTGGCTCATCCCTGTAATCCCAGCACTTTGGGAGGCCAAACAGGTGGATTGCTTGAGCTCAGGAGTTTGAGAGTAGCCTGCCCAAATGGCAAAACCTCGTTTCTACTAAAAATACAAAACAAATTAGCTGGGTATGGTGGCGCATGCCTATAGTCAAAGCTAATACAGAGGCTGAGGTGGGAGGAACACCTGAGCCTGGGAGGTTGAGGCTGCAGTGAGCTGTGATTTTGCCACTGCACTCCAGCCTGGGCAACAGAACGAGACCCTGTCTCAAAGTGAAAACAAAAACAAAAACAAAAAAATGAAACAAGAGAAAAAAAAAACAAGAAAGAAAATGGTAAGGGGGAAGTGCCTATTTATTAAGCTTTTGTTGTAAATAGTAACTTGCATATCAGATGTTTACTGTAATATTCTTGAAGCCTTGCCAGGCCTACAGCTTGCTGTGTGCTTTTCAACTCTATTTCATTTATTTGGGAAATCATATATCAATGTATTTATTCATTCCCAGCTCTAACCATGGAATACTGGGAATGTCCCTTTCTATGAAGGAGGTTTGCTGGCCACAACAGGAATATTCATGAACATGGAGGTACTTTGTTGAAGTTACACTAATTTTTTTACTCTTCCCCACTCTCAGCCTAGCTGGTCTGCTCACTGTATTCTCTCCATCCTTCAGCACCCTTCCATCTCTTCCTTCATCTTAAAAATCTTTCCTTTAATTTCAACAGTGCTGCCTGGGTTTGTCATTTCAGGGGTTGGGCATGTTCCAGGATCTGTCTATAGACTTCTCTCAGGAGGAATGGGAGTGCCTGGACGCTGCTCAGAAGGACTGATACAGAGATGTAATGATGGAGAACTATAGCAGCCTGGTCTCACTAGGTAAGGATGTCTATCCCCAACTAACTCATGAATTTTGGGTGTAGCTTTCACTTGTCTGGGTGACTTTTCACCTGCTGCTTAGGGAATTGTTTTGTGTTTTGTAGATTAATAGATGGGCAGCTCTTTGGGGTCCCTCCATCTTCTCCATGCTTCAGACCTTTACACCTTCCTCTAGTCCTTCGTGACTACTAAGGGACTAACTTTGAATTCAGGAACAGCACGAGTATGTCTTACTTTTCTTTCTTTCTCTCTTTTTCTTTCTTTCTTTCCTTCCTTCCTTCCTTCCTTCCTTTCTTTCTTTCTTTCTTTCTTTCTTTCTTTCTTTCTTTCTTTCTTTCTTTCTTTTTCTTTCTTTCTTTTTTGAGATGAATTCTCACTCTATCACCCAGGCTGGAGTGCAATGGCACGATCTCGGTTCACTGCAACCTTCATCTCAGGTTCAAGCGATTCTCATGTCTCAGCCTCCTGAGTAGCTGGGATTACAGGCACCTGCCACCACACCTGGCCAATTTTTGTGTTTTTAGTAGAGACGGGGTTTCACCATGTTGGTCAGGCTGGTCTTGAACTCCTGACCTCAAGCAATCCACCTGTTTTGGCCTCCCAAAGTGCTGGGATTACAGGAGTGAGCCACTATGCCTGCCTGGCCACCTTACTTCTTTTCTTATAAACAGGTCTCTCTATCCCAAAGCCTGATGTGATTTCCTTACTGGAGCAAGGGAAAGAGCCCTGGATGGTTTCAAGGGACATACCGGGAGGATGGTGCCCAGGTGAGTAAGGACTGAGCAGATGGGGAAGGCACTGCTGTTTAGAACCCAGCCCATCAGGGAGGCAGCGCCGTAAAGGTATTGGTTGGGGAATCTCTTCTGCAAGGTCCCATGTAAGAGTTGTGGCCTAAGACACATGGAGAAAAGTCAAGATACCACCCCCCCACCCACAAACACACTCTTTTTTAAAAATTTTTTTTAATTTGAGAGAGAGTCTTGCTCAGTCACCCAGGCTGGAGAACAGTGATGCGATTTTGGCTCACTGCAACCTCCGCACCCAGGTTGAAGCGATTCTCCTGCCTCAGCCTCTAAAGGAACTGGCATTATAGGCACCTGCCACCATGCCCAGCTAATTTTTGTATTTTTAGTAGAGACGGCATTTCACCATGTTGGCTAGGCTGGCCTTGAACTCCTGACGTCAGGTGATCCACCTGCCTTGGCCTCCGAAAGTGCTGGTATTACAGGTGTGAGCCACTGTGTCTGGCCGAGAACCCCCTTTTACCTCCACCTCTTCAGTCTGTGCTACCCTCTTGTCATAATTTCTTTCCATTTCAAAGAATAACATTCCCTTCTTCAGAAGCCATCCTGTTTCCTCTATCTTGGAGCTACTTCTTTCACTTTAAAATTTAAACCCGTGTTGTTGCTTTAAAAACAAATCTTTTAAAATATATTTATTTTTCATACTGATCCTTGACTTTTTTTTGCCTTGTATTTTCTTGGCTAGTTTTCCTTTAATGCAGCCACTTCATGCATCAATAGATATTCATTCACTATTTTTTTTTTTTTTTTTTTTTTTTTTTTTTGGATACAGAGTCTCACTCTGTAGCCCGGGCTGGAGTGCAGTGCGCGACCTCGTCTCACTGAAAGCCAATAAGAAGAGCTTGGGGATGACCTCCCTACAAGCACAGCAAAACCTTTCCTGCGCATTTCTGCGCTGGAACGCCTACGCGCCTCGCCAAACCAAAACTTTACTACCACCCTTAGTGCCGTTTCCTGCACTTTCTTGGAGAGTTGTACCAGGTGCTGGAGACCCTCCCACCTGGTCCATGCCCGCCTCCCGGTGAGCACCGAGACACAAACTTGTGCACTGCCAGTCTTGTTATCAACAAACAGGCTAGTAAATTATAAAAAATAAAATAAAGGAAATGTAGCTGGGCGTGGTGGCATGCGCCTGTAATCCCAGCTACTCCGGAGGCTGATGCAGGAGAATCGCTTGAACCCAGGAGGTGAAGGTTGCAGTGAGCCGAGATCGCACCACTGCACTCCAGCCTGGATGGCAAGAGCGAAACTCCTTCTCGAAATAATAAATAAAATAAAGGAAATGGGGCCGGGTATGGTGGCTCACGCCTGTAATTCCAGCACTTTTAGTGGCCGAGGCAGGCGGATCACTTGAGGTCAGAAGTTCGAGACCAGTCTGGTCAACATGGTGAAACCCTGTCTCTACTATAAATAAACAATTAACCAGGCATGGTGGTGGGCGCCTGTAATCCCAGCTATTTGTAAGGCGGAGGCACAAGAATCGCTTGAATCCCAGAGGCAGAGGTTGCAGTGAGCCGAGCTCGTGCCACTGCGCTCCAGCCTGGGCGACAGAGCGAGACTCCATCTTAAAATAAAATAGGCCGGCTGAGGGTGCTCATGCCTGTAATCACAGCACTTTGGATGCTGAGGCGGGTGGATTGCCTGAGCTCAAGATTTCAAGGCCATCCTGGCCTACACGGTGAAACCCCATCTCTACTAAAAATGCAAAAATTAGCCGGGCATGGTGGAGCATGCCTGTAATCCTAGCTACTTGGGAGGCTGAGGCATGAGAACCGTTTCAACACAGGAGGCGGAAGTTGCAGTGAGCGGCGACCGCCACATTGCACTCCAGCTTGGGCAAGAGGATTGAAACTCTGTCTCAAAAAAAAAAAAAAAAAAAAAAAAAACAAATAAATAAATATAAAAGAAATAGACAAAGCAAACCTTAATGCATGAACTCAAACAAATGCTTTCACTGCCAGGCTACATCTTTGCAAAACTGAACCTAGGACAATGTGCACGTTTCTAACTAGCAATTCTGGAGGATCAGGGAGGCAGCGTGAGCTTGCTTTTCTGCAATTTAATTGACTGGTCAGTAAAGTCAGTGTTTGCAGGCATTTTCAATGTTCTGTAGTGGGCTTCAGTTCCTATGGCAGTGTGGCAGGCCAGGTTTCCAATAGCAACCAGAACAGTTTCTACTAACCCTTTACTATAATTTTGATGAATGCATAAGTTAACGTTAAAGAAACGGAGAAACTTGTGCCTGAGTATCAGGGATGGAATGTGAAAACAAACCCATTGAGACCCCACCTGGGTTTTCTCAGACCCTAAAGTCTGATCGAATAATGATAGCATTGGTACACATTCACCTCGGCCTGTCTTAAGATTCAGAAACTTTCCAAGACTCTAGAGAAATCTTTCCAGACGCTAGACCCGAGTTAAAGATAAGATGTTGATTGAATGAAACACTCCTACTTGTAGGTGCAATCCCACGTGGAGCTTAAGACGTATATAAGCACTAGAAAAAAAAAACTTGTAACTTTGAGTTGATCTGGTGAATTACCTGGCGCTTCTCCCTGTAAGTGGCTGCAGAAATAAACTTCCTTCTTTCCCAGTCTGTCTGTGTCTTGTTATTGAACAATTGCAATGGACCTGCCCAGCAAAGTCCTCTTTTGTGTGGTTATCTGGGACTCCTTTTGGAGGGAACATTTAAAATTTTCCATTTCAAAGCATTCTGTTGGCACTCTTACACTGTTTTTCTCTGCCTACCCTCGGACCTGAGTTCTCCTGGATGCGAATCTCCAGCCACAGAGCCTAGAAGCCCATTCCTCCACATTCTGTGACTGTTCCCCAAACACAGGGAGAATTTTCAGAAAATAAGCCTAAAAATCTTGCCATTCTTTGCAATAAAACCCCACATTACAAACTGCTGAAAACAGGATTTTAGCCTGAATAGGTTTTTCCTCTATTTGAAACCCTTTACAATTTTGGAGGGAAGTTTCCAAATCAATCAGTAAGTACCCCCCATCCCAGGTTTATCCTTATGTAAAGTGCCCCCTTTGCACATGCAAGATTGAATAAACCTTGAAAATATTATGCTAAGTGAAAGAAGCCGGTCACAAAGGACCACATGTTATGTAATTCCATTTAAATAAAATGTCCAAAATAGACCAATACATAGAAGCAGAAAGTAGATTTGTGGTGGCCCAGGGTTAGGGGAGTTGGGGGGAAATGGAGGGATATGGTGTTTACTTCAGGGTAATGAAAATGATCTAAAATTTATTGTGGTGATGTTTGCATAACAGTGCAAATATACTGAAAAACATTGAATTTTACACTTTAAATCAGTGGCTTCTGTGGTACGTTATCAATATTTCTCAATAAAACTTCCAAAAAAAAAGCGCCTATGTGTCTTTTTGTGTATTATTCCTCCAGAGTCCAGTCCATAGTTTTTACATTTGATGAAGAAATTAAGATTTTGTTTCTTCTTCTTCTATTTTTTTTTTTTTTTGAGACAGAATCTCCCTCTGTTGTCCAGACTGGAGTGCATTGGCACAATCTTGGCTCAGTGCAACCTCCAGGATAATTTTTGTATTTTTAGTAGAGACAGCGTTTCACCATGGTGGCTAGACTGGTCTCAAACTTCTGACCTCAAGTGAGTCCCCCACCTTGGTTCCCAAAATTGCTGGGATTACAGGCGTGAGCCACCGCACCCAGCCCAAGATTTAGTTTCCGTTGTTTTGATGCCCTAGGGCCATCTTATTCTACCTTAATTTCTGACGCATCATCTCAGTGGAAATTTTACATTAGGCCCCAAAGTATTTTCCTCTTTTTAAGATTTTATCAGCTGAGTACAGTGGCTCACACCTGTAATCTCAACACTTTGGGAGGCCAAGGTGGGAGAATGAGTTGAGCCCAGGAGTTCAAGACCAGTCTCTGCAACATAGTGAGACACACATATCTACAAAAAAAATTTTAATTAGGTGGGCATATTGGTGCATGCCTGTGGTCTCAGCTTACTACATAGGCTGAGGGAGGATCACTTGAGCCCAGGAGGCTGAGGTTACAGTGGCCATGATTATACCACTGCACTCCAGTCTGGGTGACAGAGCGATAGCCTGTCTTAAAAAAAAAAATTATTGGAATTTTTTTTTTAGAAAACAAAGTATACACTTAGTGACTTGATACAAATGAATGAATTTGATAATCTACAGAAAAAAACAAATAAATAAATAAAAACTCAATGCCATTCTTCTTATGTGAATCTCTGGTGTCTCTGAATTATAAGAATTGTGAATTATGATTAATAACAAAAATGCATGACAAGGACTCATTAAGGGATAGGCATTAATAAACTGCAATGCACACTTACTGGAGTAAGGCCTTTAAAGATGTACAAGAAAAAGAAAGAAAAGGCATTGAAAAATTGCGTTGCCTACCAAAACGCTAAAGTTTACCTAAGTCCATTAATCGGCACACACAGGCAATGGGTGTGTAAAAGGGTCAACACAGTCTCCTATGAATGTATCCTTTTATTAATAGGTCTGTGGGGGTAAGAGATGAAGTTCTATAGATCCTGGAATCAGGGATGGGGAATCTGTGAGGTCCCTGAGGTGAGAGATGACGATCTGTAGATTAGTGATGGGTGGTCTTTGGGATAGTGATGAGGTCCATGGAATCAATGATTGTGGGTATTTAGGGTCAGTGATGAGGGAATCTGGTGTCAGTGATGGGATGTGTGTGGAATCAATATGTGAAAGCCAGATTTGTGGAGTCATCTCTCAGGCTGACACATCCTGATCTGTGTGTCAGTGGTGGAAATTCTATGGGGTCAGAGTGTGACTGTCAGGTCCCTGACACTGTGTGTTCTGGGTCTGGCCAAGTGCACAGATTCCCTTGCCTTGTCCTGGCTGGGGAGGCCCTTCTCAAGGACTCCTCACATGAAGGGTGGGTTGGTGGTGGGTTTTGTTTTTGTTTTTGTTTTGCAGTGGAGGTGGGGGTGGGTTAGCTTTTTCTTTAGGGTTTAGTTTTGCCTCTTAGAGACCACAGACACATGCAGCTTTTAGGAAGAAATTTTTGTCTGGGTGGTTGCTAGGTCCTTTGGGCCAAGCCATCTAATGGGAGTAAAACTGACCATTCCCTCAGCGAGGTTCAGATCTAGACGGTCATTTTAAGGTGTCCTCAAGGTGGCGTGCAAGTGGGTTGTGGCTTCGAGTGGCAGGTGTGCGGGAAGAAACAACTGAGAAGACCCAGGAGCGCTCCTAGGCTGGATCTGTCACAGCTGGAAGAACAGCCTCCCAAACCCATCAGGCGCCAATGGGAGGTACCTCTGGGCTGTGAGAGGCTGGTGGAGTTGGGACCTCCAGACCTAGAGATTCTGGGTACAGAAGCCTATTACTGCCAGACGCTGAGGCGTTGCCATGGGATCCAAGGGCGTTTCGGGTCAGCTCAGAGCCTTTTTCAGATAATTGTTTCGGTAACTGGGGAGCTGCTGTCCAGCGCACGCCTCTATGAAGGCTTAATGTTCTGTCTCCCGCAGAGTCTTCTTTGGTCTGAGAGCCACTTGTTTCTTACATCCTTGTGCTAATCTCACCATCTGCTCCTACATACCCCAGGCATTTGCCACATGCTGGTCCTCTCTTTCCTGACAGGCGGGCCATCTCTCCAGCTTCTGTGAGGACAGTTCAAATTATGGAGGAGGGGGCAGGTGCAGGGCAGCAGTGCTGAGGGGAGTACCATGCAGTTGGGGGAGCAGGGACTCATTTTTCTTTGTAGCTCAGATTCCTAAGCCTGTGACTTTGAGTATCGGTGTCTTCCTTGCAATGTTTCAATCTGAGGTTATTGGGGAAAGTGCAGAATTGGAGCCCGATGGAAGACTGGTGGGGAGAGGGGTGGGTGGAGGGAACATGGAGAATGTGTCAGGTGGTGTCTATCCCTGACACCTTACTTTGCCTGCTGGAGTTTCCCAGTCTGTTCCAGATGCACTCTCTCGACCCTGAAGGGACCTGATGGAGGATGTTTGTTGCCAGTGTGTGCTCCCCTGGACTCAATTGGAATTGGTCCCACAAAGTGTTTTTATTTATTTATTTATTTATTTATTTATTTGGAGGGAGTCTCGCTCTGTCACCCAGGCTGGAGTGCAGTGTGGCAATCTCAGCTCACTGCAACCTCTGATTCCCAGGTTCAAGTGATTCTCCTGTTTCAGCCTCCCTAGTAGTTGGGACTACAGGTGTCCGCCACCACACCTTGCTAAATTTTTTATTTTTAGTAGAGGCAGGGTTTCACAATATTGGTCAGGCTGGTCTCGAACTCCTGACCAGGTGATCGACCCACCTTGGCCTCTCAAAGTGCTGGGATTACAGGCGGGAGCCATCACACCCCGCCAATCCCACAAATTTAGGCATTATGGTGAATTGCTACTTTTGAATCACTTATTTTTTACTTGTGTTTTTCCCCCTCCTTTTATTGATTGATTGACACAGAGTCTTGCTGTGTCACCCAGGCTGAACCACAGTGTCACAATCTCGGTTCATTGCAACCTCTGCCTCCCAGGTTCAAGCGATTCTCCCACCTCAACCTTCCAAGTAGCTGGGATTACAGGCGCATGCCATCATGCCTGGCTAATTTTTGTATTTTCAGTAGAGACAGGGTTTCACCATGTTGGCTAAACTGGTCTCGAACTTCTGACCCCAAATGATCCGCCTGCTTTGGTCTCCCAAAATGCTGACATAGGCATGAGCCTCCTTGCCCGGACTTCCCTCCTTTTCCTTCAGGGATTTTAAATGTTTTCTTTCCTCCATCTATTTAATTATATGTGATTGCCTTGAGGATTTCAGCTTGAATTAAAATTACATATATTTACCTGTCTTTATTAATATTTAAACATATTAAAATAATACATGTTCATAATGAAAATGAAACATTACAAATAAATACACAGGAAAGGCAGTATTCCCCCTCCAGTTCCACTCTTGAAATAACCAGTTAACAAGATGATGAGCAACTTTCCATGATGTTCTCCAAGATTCATGTAAGTATTGGCCAGCAAACAACAGAATATACAGGCCAGGCGTGGTGGCTCATGCCTGTAACCCCAGCACTTTGGGAGACTGAAGCGGGTGGATCTTTTGAGGTTAGGAGTTCGAGACTAACCTGGCCAACGTGGTGAAACCCCATCACTACAAAAAATACAAAAATTATTTGGGCACGGTGGTGAGGGCCTTAATCCCAGCTACTTGGGAGGCGGAGGCACGAGAATCTCTTGAACCCGGGAGGAGAAGTTTGCAGTGAGCCAATATCGCATTACTGCCCTCCAACCTGGATGACAGACTGAGATTCCATCTCAATAAATAAGTAAATACATAAAATAAAGAGAAAAAAAGAAAAATGAAAGAAAGATAAAGAAAGAAAGAAAGAAGAAAGAAAGAAAGAGAGAAAGAAAGAAAGAGAAAGAAAGGAAGAAAGAAAGAAAAAGAGAGAAGTCGTGTGCTCAGGTTGCTAAGATCGATGGTAAGAACAAATCCTCTAGCGGTGAAAATGTAAGAAGGAAAAAGAAATTTCTGTTAGTCTTGTTTGTTGCACCCCAAGCTCTAAAAAGTACAGCCATATGTGTGATAAGTGCTTAGTTAAGATGAAAAAGGCATTAAATTTGTGAGTGGAAATCAAACAGAAATGTGTTCTGATTGAAAGCAATTGGGTCAATGCTACCCAAGTTTCAGGCATCCACTGCGGGTCTTAAACACATCTCCTGCAGATAAGGGAGGGCTATTATATAACGTTTCTTTCTTTTTTCTTTAATTATAAAGCATTCTCCTTTTTTAATATAAAAATTGGCCACATATATCACTTTAGGTATAAAGATATTAGGATACCTTTATAGTAGATAAAATGCTGACACATTCTTTGTAAGAGTTAAAGTATCTTTCATTATATGAGCATTTAAGATATTAAAGTACTTTTGCCACCAAAAATAGTGCTTCTGTAAATATTCTTTTACTTATAACTTTGTTAGTTTTTACTTCTGCTGAAACAAATTGCATGAGGAAACAAGTGTATGTGTGTAAAGTGTAATATATGTATATATATTTAATATGGGTATATACAACTTAATATATACACATACATACAATAACATATACAATTTTTTTGTTTTGTTTTTTGAGATAGAGTTTTGCTCTCTCATCCAGGCTGGAGTGCAGTGTCATGAGCTCGGCTCACTGCAACTTCCACTGCTTGGTTCTCCTGCCTCAGCCTCCTGAGTAGCTGGGAATACAGGCATCTGCCACCATGTCCAGCTAACTTTGTTTTTTTAGTGGAGATGGGTTTTTACCATGTTGGCCAGGCTGCTCTCGAACTCCTGACCTCAAGTGATCCACCCACCTTGGCCTCCCAAAATGCTGGAATTACAGGTGTGAGCCACCGTGCCCAGTCTAACATATACAATTTAATGTATATACAAATATAGGTTGGGTGCAGTGGCTCTCACTCCTGTAATCCTAGCACTTTGGGGAGCTGAGGTAGGGGATTGTTTGAACCCAGGAGTTTGAAATCAGCCTGGGCAACATGGTGAAACCCTATCTGTACAAAAAACACAAAAATTAGCTGGGTGTACTTGCAGGTGCCTGTGGTCCCAGCTACTCAGGAGACTGAGGTGGGAGGATAGCTGGAGCCTGGGAGGTCGAGGCTGCAGTGAGTTGTGATCATGCCACTGCACCCCAGTGTGGGTGACAGAGTGAGACCCTGTCTCAGACAAAAACAAAAACAAACCAAATATAATGTTTATGTGCTACACACTTGATTTCTTTCCAAAGGGTTATATAACACTGTATTTTCACCAGCAATATATGCAACTACTCATTTCCTACATACTATCACTTGTGTGCAGTCAAGGAAACTTAGTAGGCCTGAATTGCCCAAACCTGGCATACTCCAAAGAATGGTGTGACTCTATCCTAGTTCCCAGGAAATAACCTCTAAGTCCTCGGACTCTCCTGCCTATCTGGGAGTTAACAACGTGATTTATTATGGGGACCTTGGACCATGCAGTCTCAGCTTGACCTTGGGAAGGGTGGAGACGGAGAAACTAATGTCATCCAAATGGGTGCTCTTGTCCATGTGACCAACCTCCAGTAAAATGCTCAACACCAAGGCTCAGGTAAGCTTTTTGTTGGGGAGTATATTCTATACTGTTTGCCAAATATCGCTGGGTGAATTAAGCACTGTCCACACGATGTCACTGGGAGAGGACAACTGGAAGCTTGTGCTTTGTCTCTCCTGGACTCTGCCCTGTGCACCTTTTTCTGCTGCTGATTTTAATCTGTATCTTTTCGTTGTAATAAACTATGAGTAAAACAGCTTCACTCGATTTTGTGAGTCTTTCTAATTAATCACTACACCTTTGGGACCTCAGAACACAATGTTGTTTCTTCTTTAATTGAATTTTCCATGTTATGTAAGAAACCTATGTGCATAAATGAAAAATCACAAACTAAGAAAGAGCTTTCCATGCAGTCTACTCCCCCACCCTGTTTCTCCAATACTCCCAGATCTACTTCCCGAATAATCAAATGTCTAAATTTTCTAAACTATTTCTAATCTATATATCTGAGTGCTTATCTCTATATTATATAATAGGTAGATCCTGCTCCTTCTCAATATATCAACTTGATATATTACCTGATGGCTTCCTGTTCTGATAGCTGATGACTTGGCTGACACTCACCCCTTACCCCAGTGCCTGGACCACTTTTCAAACATGGTGCTCTCACCATTTTCTTTTTCTTTCCTTTTCTTTTCTTTTTTTTTTTTTTTTTTTAGACAGAATATTGCTCTGTCACCCAGGCTAGAGTGCAGTGGCATGATCTGGGCTCACTGCAACCTCTACCTCCCAGATTCAAGTGATTCTCCTGCCTCAGCCTCCGGAGTAGCTGGGATTACAGGGGCACGCCACCACGCCTGGCTAATTTTTGTATTTTTAGTAGAGACGGGGTTTCACCCTCTCAGCCAGGTTGGTCTCGAATGCCTGACCTCATGATCCACCCATCTTGGCCTCCCAAAGTGCTGGGACCGCACCCGGCCACTCTCACTATTTTCAATGGCTCTCTTGGTCACCTTTCACTTGGGGGAGTAGCTGAGGCAGGAGAATCACTTGAACCCGGGAGATGGGGGTTGCAATGAGCTGAGATGGTGCCATTGCACTGCAGCCTGGGCAAAACGGTGAAACTCTGTCTAAAAAATAAATAAATAAATAAATAAATAAATAAATAAATAAATAAATAAAACAGAAAAGGAAAGAAAAGAAGCTCTCCCTCCATATACCTGTAAGGATCATTGTATTAATTTTCTTCATGTCTTAACATGATTCTTGCCTTGTCAGAGATCATCCTATCTGAAATTGAAACTATTTACCACTTCCCTTTTTTTTCCATAGCACTTAAAACTTTTTTTTTTTTTTTTTTTGAGATGGAGTCTCGCTCTGTCACCCAGGCTGGAGTGCATTGGTGTGATCTTGGCTCACTGCAACCTCCGCCCCCCAGGTTCAAGTGATTCTCCTGCCTCAGCCTCCCAAGTAGCTGGGATTACAGGCATCTGCCACCATGCCTGGCTAACATTTTTTTTTGTGTGTGTGTGTTTTAGTAGAGACGGGGCTTCACCATGTTGGCCAGGCTGGTCTTGAACTCCTTACCTCAGGTGATCCAAACCACCTCGGACTCCCAAAGTGTTGGGATTACAGGGGTGAGCCACCACACCCAGCCCTGGCTAATTTTTGTATGTTTAGTGGAGGCAGGTTTTCACCATATTGGCCAGGCTGATCTTGAACCCCTGACCTCAAGTGATCTCCCTGCCTCGGCCTCCCAAAGTGTTGGGATTACAGGCATGAGCCACTGTGCCCGGACTGCTTTTTGACAAATCATCTCTGTTCTTACATTATGTCCACTAGAATGTAAACTTGATGAGAGCAGGAGATATTGTCAATTTTGTTCAATGCTATTTATCCCTAGAGCCTAGAACTGTACCATGCACATGGTAAGGAGACAAATAGTTGTTGAATGAATATATTGAGCAGCTGTTCTCAGACTTTTTGGTTTCAGAAAATCTTTACTCTCTGTTTCTTTACTCCCGACCTCAGGTGATCTGCCCACCTTGGCCTCTCAAAGTGCTAGGATTATAGGAGTGAGCCAAAACACCCACCACCCAAATAATTTTTGTATGGTAGTAGGCACTGGGTTTTGCCATGTTGGCCAGGCTGATCTTGAACCCCCGAACTCAAGCGATCCCCCACCTCAGCCTCCAAAAGTGCTGAGATTACAGGCTGAGCCACTGCACCTGACTAAATAAACCAAAAACTTTAAATAAGTGAATTTGGAGGAAATACTTATAACAGATAAAATGGACAAACAGATAATTCTAATTTACTGTCTCTCCGGCTTAATAAAATATTAGTCAATACCCTAAGAAGAAAGGAACAAAATCTAAAAATTCACCATTCACAAACACAGATAGTCAGAAAACAAAGTCAAAACCTAAGAACTTGTTGACCTTATGTCTCCTCTGAAATCAGCTCTTGAATGTAATGTGTTGAACTAGTATTGACCTCAGATTAGGAAATTTTTAAAATATTTTTTAAAGTTGCACTTTTTGGAATTTAAAATTAATCCAGATTATGTAATATATAACATTTGGAATTTACCAATCAATACTCTATCATTTTATTTTTCACTCTTCAAATAATTTCTTGTTCAAGAGTTTAAAATGCTTTTAAAATTAATAGAATCTGCAGGCTATGGTCTGTAGAGACTGTCTCTACAAAAAATAAAAATATATATTATTTTAAAATATATATAAAATATATATTTATTTAAATGTATATGTTTCAAGTATATAAAATATATTTTTAAAATTTCATTTTTTTGCCGGATCGTATGGTAAGCGTATGTTTAGTCTGGCAGGAACTTGCAAAACTGCCTTCCACAGTGGCTGTCCCACTTTGCATTCTCAGCAGAAATAGAGATGAGTTCCTGTCGCTCCGTATCTTCACCAGCATTTGGTGTTGGTGTTTGCATTCAAGCCAGTCTAAGAGATGTGTAATGGTATCACATCGTTGTTTTAATTTGAATCCCCTAGTGACATACGGTGTTGAGCATCTTTTCAGAGGTCTAAGAAATGTGCTGGGCATGGTGGCACATGCCTGTGGTCCCAGCTACTCAGAAGGCTGAGGTGGGAGGGTTACTTGAGCCCTGGAGGTTGGGGCTGCATTGAGCCATGATTGCACCACTGCACTCCAGCCTGAGTGACAGAGCTAAACCCTGTCTCAAAAAGATAAATAAGGCCAGGCGCAGTGGCTCATGCCTGTAATCCAAGCACTTTGGAAGGCCAAGGCAGGTGGATCATGAGGTCAGCAGATCAAGACCATCCTGGCTGACACAGTGAATCCCCGTCTCAACTAAAAATACAAAAAATTAGCCAGGCGTGGTGGCTGGTGCCTGTAATCCCAACTACTCAGGAGGCTGAGGCAGGAGAATCGCTTGAACCTGGGAGGCAGAGGTTGCCATGAGCCGAGATCGGGCCATTGTACTCCAGCCTGGGTGACAGAGTGAGACTCCATCTCAATAAAAATAAATAAATAAATAAATAAATAAATAAATAAATAAATAACTGACTTAATTTTTAGAACAGTTGTAGGTATACACAAAAATAGAGCAGAAGGTATATTGAGCTCTAATATCCACCTCACACCATAGTACACACACTTCCTCTATTATCATCTTGTTAGTGTGGTAATTTGTTATGCTTGATGAGCCAATATTGATATTATTAAGTTCATGGCTAATATTAAGATTCACTCTCTGTGTTCTACCATTTATGGGCTTTGACAAATGCTTAAGAACATATATCCACAATTATAGGGTCACACAGAAAAGTTTCACTGCCCTAAAAATCTTCTGTGCTCCACCTATTCATCCTTCCCTCTGCTCAAGCCTCTGGCAACCACTGAACTTTTTATAATTCCATCTGCCTAGTTTTCCCTTTTCTAGTATTCCATATAATTGGAACTCTATACTATGTGGCCTTTTTGTATTGGCTTCTTTCACTTAGAAATACATGTTTAAGATTCCTCCATGTCTTTTCATGCCTTGGTAGTTCATCTCTTTTTATTCCTGAAGAATATTCCATTGTATGAATGTTTCAGAGTTAGTTTATCCACTTCTCTATTGCAGGATATCTTGGTTACTTCCAATCTTTGTCAGTTGTGTATAAGCTGCTATAACATTCATGTGCAGGATTTGAGTGGATATAAGTTTTCAAATATTTGGGTATATACCAAAGAATGCAATTGCCAGATCGTATTTAAACATACAAGGATGCAGGTGTCATGCACACAAATATGTATGTATATGTCATGCTCATATACAATTTTAAATGCATATATGTGTTCTATGGATATGTAAGTATTTCTCTATTTTCACAGAAATGTCACTCTAAATCAGTACCTAGGGAGGGTCATCATTTTCTTTATCTACAAATCAAGACACAGTATGAGTGGCTGCACCCAATTTGGTAAGTCCTCTATTATTGAGGATGTTTTCCTGTTTCCTTTGTCATTGTTGTTGCTGTTTTGTTTTGAGACAGAGTTTCACTCTTTTGAGTCAAGTGATGTGATCTCAGCTCACTGTAGCCTCCCGAGTAGCTGGGATTATAGGTGCCCACCACCACGCCTAGCTAATTTTTGTATTTTTAGTAGAGATGAGGTTTTAGCATGTTGGCCAGGCTGGTCTTAGCTCCTGACCGCAGGTGATCCATCTGCCTCAGCCTCCCAAAATGCTGAGATTACAGGCGTGAGCCACCATGCTTGGCTGCTTTCGTCATTTCAGACTGAGCTTGGAGAAGAACCTGAGGAAAAACATGACTTTAAAATTTTGATGAATGGAGAAATCTCTTTCCATTCACCTTCCTTTCCTCTATTTCATTCTTATTTTAAAATATGCAAACAAAGGTATGGATACATCAATTATTAAATAAACATCTGTGTGATATCTATCCAGGTGAAGAAATAGAGCACTATCACCACCGAGAAGTCCTCTGTATGCCCCTAACTGATCCTAAAGTCTTCCTTCCCCTTATTAGTAACAGATATAACAGATATCCACATTACCTGTGGATATCTGCCATCCTCTCCTTGGTTCTCTTTATAATTTTATTATGTATTTTATATATTTTTTTCTGTTTTGGAGATGGAGCCTTACTCTGTTGCCCAGGCTGGAGTGTAGTGGCAAGATCTTGACTCACTGCAACCTCCGCCTCCCAGATTCAAGCGATTCTCATGACTCAACGTCCCAAGTAGCTGGGATTACAGGCATGGGCCATGTGCCTCCATGCCTGGATAATTTTTGTATTTGTAGTAGAGATGGGGTTTTGCATGTTGGTCAGGCTGGTTTGGAACTCCTGAGCTCAATGCCTGGCCTTATTATGCATTTTTTATATGCCTAAAGTAAAGTCTGATTTTGCCTGGTTTTTCTCTTACATAATTGGAGTAAAAGTCTGTATCCTGGTGCATCTGGCACCTTTTACTCAATATTAAGTACTTAAGATTCACACTTAGCATTGTTTCTGCATTCTATTAAAACAGTACACCAGCCAGGCATGATGGCTCACGCCTATAATCCCAGCACTTTGGGAGGCCGAGGCAGGCAGATCACTTGAGGTCAGGAGTTCCAGACCACCCTAGCCAACATGGTGAAACTCCATCTCTATTAAAACTACAACAATTAGGCCACGTGGTGGCTAATGACTGTAATCTCAGCACTTTGGGAGGCCAAGGCAGGTGGATCACAAGGTCAGGAGATGGAGACAATCCTGGCAAACACGGTGAAACCACATCTCTACTAAAAATAGAAAAAATTAGCCAAGTGTGGTGGCACATGCCTGTAGTCTCAGCTACTCAGGAGGCTGAGGCTGGAGAATCACTTGAATCTGGGAGGCAGAGGTTGCAGTGAGCCAAGTTTTCACCACTGCACTCCAGCCTGGGTGACAGAATTAGACTCTGTTAAAAAAAAAAAAATTAGCCAGGTGTGGTGGTGTGTGCCTGTAATCCCAATTATTTGAGAGGCTAAGGCAGGAGAATCAGTTGAACCTGGGAGGTGATGGAGGTCGCAGTGAGCCAAGATCGTGCCCTGTACTCCAACCTGGGCAATAGAGTGATAGTCTCAAAAAAAAAAAAAAAAAAAGCCCAAGCGCAGTGCCTGCCACCTGTAATCCCAGCACTTTGGGAGTCCGAGATAGGTGGATCACCTCAGAACAGGAGTTTCAGACCAGCCTTACCAACAAGGTGAAACCCCATCTCTACTAGAAATACAACAATTTACCAGGAGTGGCGGCACATGCCTGTAATCCCACTTACTGGGGAGGCTGAGACAGGAGAATTGCTTGAACCCAGGGGGCGGAGGTTGCAGTGAGCCGAGATCGCACCACTGCACTCCGACCTGGGTGACTAAGCAAGACTCTGTCTCAAAAAATATATATAAATTTATATTTATATACATAAAATAAATAAAAAAATAAAAATAAATAAAACTACAGTACACCAGTGTGTATCCCTTCATTGTTGGTGGACATGTGGGTTGTGTTCATTTTTGTCAGTTACAAATGATGCTGTTGTGAACATGTTTGTATTTCTATTTGGTTACCATTAGTGTGTATTTATGTACAGTATAAACCAAGAGGTGAAATCACAGGTTACAGGGTAAACGTATCTTCAGTTTTACCAGTTATTATGGGTTTCATCCCAATGTTAACACACCAACTGACAGTCTTACAATGTCTGATAATTCCCAAATCTCTCCATTCTTCTTGACACTTAATTTCGTCAAAATTTTAATCTGAGTCTTTTGGTGGGTATGTGGCAATGATTGTGATATTAATTTACTGGGCCTTTTCTTCTCTATAACAGGCCCTGTCAAGATATATGTGTGGTGTGGCAGGGGTAGGAGCCCCTAGAGGTAGCATGGACTCTGGAATCCTTAATCATCCTATGTGAAAAAGTTGGTGGGGCAGTGATTTTTTTTTTTTTTTGAGACAGAATTTCACTGTTGTTGCCCAGGCTGGAGTGCAATGAAACTATCTCAGCTCACTGCAACCTCCACCTCCCAAGTTCAAGTGATTCTCCTGCCTCAGCCTCCCAAGTAGCTGGGATTAGAAGCATGTGCCACCACACCCAGCTAATTTTTTGTATTTAGTAGAGATGGGGTTTCACCACGTTTGTCAGGCTGGTCTTGAACTCCTGACCTCAGGTGATCCACCTGCCTCAGCCTCCTAAAGTGCTGGGATTACAGGCATGCACCCCTGCACCCTAATATTTCCTATGTGCAATGGTGTAGCCAGGGTGCAAAGCCAGTTCTTAATGATTCTGTCATCCAAATATTATACCTTCTCGATTCCCCTTGAGATATGCTCATTCCTCCATACAATTAAACAATCTCAATTACTCTTGAAGGAGCATAAAATCCTCCCTGTCTAATCATGGGTCTTTCCAAATTATTTGTTGGCTTGTGTTTAAAATATAAAAAAGAGAATGTAGATTTTGTTTTCTTCTTCCTGCTTAACCTGAACAAAATGTCATAGTTACCTCCTAGCCTGTTGCTAGACCAAGGAGAGTCACTTGAATAATGAACAAGACTGGAGGGAAACCACATGGATAATTTATCATTACACTATCATCACATACATGGAACTCATCAATGAAGCTTACGAAAAAAATTGAGTCATTTGTGGAAAAGTGTAAAGAGAATATAGGAGATGCCTCAAGTGAAGAGAAAAAAGCTGCAGAAAATAATTACAAAAAAAGAGTGTTAAGATGTAAACACAAATTCAGAGATTCAGGAGCACAAAGGATTAAGTTAAGGGAAAAAAGAGTTATCAGTATTTTCTTATTCATTATGGAGAGCAGGATGAATTCTTAAAAGGTCAAATAATTGTGAGTCTGATATATCTGACAATAATTTGTATTTTGTATTTCTAATGTTGTAAATGGTTGTTAATTCACAGTCATTATTCCTATTTTCTTTAGACTAGTGACCATGAGTTTGACTGACAAAAACCCATTGGGTTAGTATTGTTATCTATGTGTGTTCATCATGCTAAGTGTTAAAATAAGTCCATCAATTTTTGTCTTGTGTTTGTTTTCATTTCATTTTAGTTTAGTTTCTTTGGGACAGGGTCTCACTGTGTCACCCAGGCTGGAAGTGCAGTGGCATGATCACAGCTCATTGCAGCCTCTACATCTCCAGGCTCAGGTGATCCTCCTACCTCAGCCTCCCAAGTAGCAGGGACTACAGGCATGAGCCACCACACCTGGCTAATTTTTGTATTTTTTGTAGAGACGGGGTTTTGATATGTTGCTCAGGCTTGTCTCAAACTCTTGGACTCAAGTGATCTGTCCACCTTGGCCTCCCAAATTGCTGGGATGACTGGCATGCACCACTGTCCTGGCCTGTTTTCATTTTATTAATTGGCTGATTCATTCAGAAACATAATTATCAAGTCAAATCTCACTCTTTCCTTAGCATTTCCCTTCCGTTTAGCTGAGAAAATCTATTCCTATTTTAAAACATATACGATTATTCGAGTGTGGTGGCACATGCCTGTAATCCCAGCTACTCAGGAGGCTGAGGCAGGAGTATCACTTCAACCCTGGAGTGATATAGTGATTATATATAATATATAACTATATAGTGATTATAGTTTATAATTTTAACTATATCATGTCTCCTGCCTCATAAGTACCACTGGACTAGTTCCCTTTTATGAACTCAGCTGCTGTCAGAGGTAAATGTATTTTGAAGTGGAGAACAAAGATAAGTGCAAAATTGGCATGGAGAACTAAGGTAATTATGAAAGTTCCAGATACAAAGAGAGAGGGCTCAATATGCCAGCAGTTCTCTTCCAATCCATCCTAGCGGCCTTCTGTTAGGATTGCCTAAATAATGCAGGAGATGGGTGCAAGACACACAAGTGTTCCAGAAGCATGTAAACAAGGTACAGAGAAGAGGATAAGATAAAATAAGATGAGATAAGAATATTAGGAATGCCTTGTTCAGAAGATTGCCTACAGAGGCAAAAGGGACAGTTTCATTTTGCTGAGGGAAACAGGGTGGTAAGAACCCTCCTGGGGAAGATCCCCACTTACCCTGATACAGAAAGAAGGTGTAAAATTTCATAATGGGAGAGCATTAGGCTGAGATAGCTCCCATGGCCAGGGTTCCTGCATAGACAAAATGAAACAAGCTTAGCCCACCCACAGGTGGCCTGCCGAGTATTAGCTGGGTAATGAGAGACCTACCACCAGGATAGTTCAAATAATGCAACTGCCCACATTTTTGCCAATCAAATAATTTCTCTACTTTACTTCTATATTCACCCTGTAAAAGCCTTCCTTACAAACACCTCCAGTAGATCCTCCAACCACTTTCAGTTTGGAGCTGCCTGATCCATGAATCTCTGTTTGCTTAAATAAACTCTTTAAAATTTTAATATGTTTAAGTTTATCTATTTTTTTCTCATTTTAAAAAATTGAGATGGGATCTTCCTATGTTGTCCAGGCTGGTCTTAAACTCCTGAACTCAAGGGATCCTCCTGCCTCAGCCTCCTGAGTAGCTGGAATTATAGACGTGTGCCTCCACACCCAGCTTACATTTATCTTTAAACAAAGGTTTGACGTCTTTCTGAAATATATTTCTGTGAAGACCTGTACCCTCAGTGATATGGCAGGCTCATTTTAGACCACTGAGCACTTTTGTCTCTGGACTACAATTTGCCCTTTGTGACCTGCTCTACTAAAAAATTCAAGTGTAATTCAAGTTAGTTTACCCTCTGCTGATCAGGGGAGATTGCTCTCGGTGCAAGTTCAAAACAGGCACTCACACTTTCATTCATACCCCAAATCTCAGCATCACACAATACACCCATGTAATAAACCTGCAAAGGTACCCTCCGAAATCTAAAATGAAAGTTGAAATTCATTAAAATTTTAATTTCATCTTATTACAAAACAAAGATAAATTTACTGCTTTCCAATTTTGATATATATATTATACTGACATACACACTGTATTCTATGGTGAATTATGTTGATTGAATTTCACATTTTAAACTAACACTGAGTTACTTTGAAAAACTCTATTGGGTGATAATGTATTATGTTTTTAATATATTTTAATACAATTTGAAAATATTCTGTTTTAAAATTATGTTCCATAAATAAATAAATATGTAAAAATAATAAATGTTTGTATTATTCAAGTGAAGATTATAGCAATATTTTTGAATATCTACTTAATCTCAACTAGTTTTAATTCAGAAGTAGCAACTCCATAGAAATTCAGCTTATTACTACCTTATTACTCATACTTGTCTCCTTGAAGAAGCTTCATTGCTATCATCCAGTTTAGACTGGGATGTCATAAATCTCTAGACTGAGTAGTATAATATCCACTGTACAAATAAAATCAAATTATTATTATAATGTTATGACACCTCCAAATACAAAAAGCAAGCCCATGGATGTCAGGTTAAGGTATAGAGACAAATATTCCTACTTACTATCTTTTAGGGCAGACATATCCCAGCCAATCTGATTGCAAAATGAAATGGAAACCATATGGTGGAAGGGGACTTGAGACTCACACAGATTGGATTTTCATTCCAAACCTTACATACACAAGCTGCATGACTCTGGGTAGATTGCATATTCTCTTAGACTTTCAATTTCCTCATCTGTGCAATGGCAGTTAATGCTTATGGGCTATGGCTGATGTGGGGATAAAAGAACCAACATGGATGCATGGGCAGGGCCTGGTCCATGGAGCAGCTGGCATCAATAAATGGAAGCCCCTTCCCATCTTGTCTTTGCGTGCACCACAAAATCCGGAATATGTGGGTATAAAAAGTACTCTTAAAAGAGACATAATTGGAAACTTTTGCAAAAAGAGATTGGAAAGGTGTCACATCTTGTGGCATGAGGAGCTGTGGGCATACACTTGAACTTTGTGCTGTGAGATATCCACAGAACTTCAGTAGCTGAAGAGAACAGTTTAGATGTCATCTTATTCATCTACCATAGAACTTCCTCTTCTTCTCTGAGATTTCTAGACAATAACTTTTACAGCTCTAATAATGCAGTTGTCTCCCAATTGTTTGGACTATTCTAATAGATACAAAGCAGTATTTCACCAGCAGATGCTACTGCAGTTTGTATGATGATTTCAAACTGAGAATCTATTTAAAGTTATGCAATACTTTTTTTTGGAAATAGGGTGAAAGTAGTTTAAGTTTAAAATCCTATAAAATAGGTTTACAGTAAATAATTACTTGTTGCAATATCTATCATACTATCTTATATTCACACATGTGTTGGTGTCCTAATACATATGTATGAGAGTGAAAGTTACCTGAGGTCAGAGACTGTGCCATATGTTCCCTGCACCACTGGTGCCTATCTCAGCACATGATATACAGTAGATGCTCAATAAATACTTTCACTTAAAAAATGCACTGAGAATAAATCTTATTAGACATCAAAATACATATGAGCACAATCTAGGGACATGGTCAGGAGCTCAAAATTCAATCTTATTTATTTTTTATTTGGAGACAGAATCTCACTCTGTTGCCCAGGCTGGAGTTCAGTGGCATGATCTCAGCTTACTGCAACCTTCCTCTCCTGGGTTCAAGTGATTCTCCTGCCTCACCCTCCAGAGTAGCTGGGATTACAGGTGCACACCAACACACCTGGCTAATTTTTTTGTATTTTTAGTAGGCACAGGGTTTCACCATGTTGGCCAGGTTGGTCTCAAACTCCTGAGCTCAGGCAATCTGCCCACCTTGGTTTCCCATAATGCTGGGATTACAGGTGCCAGCCACCACGCACAGCCACAAAATGTTTTAAAGTAGCTTCAAAACCCATTTGCAAATAGAGGTATTCATAACAAGCTGCAAACAAGAAAACATTGAGCTTCATATAATAGAAGGGTTCTGCCTGGATTTGCATGTGGCCCCATCATTTGTTTGCTGTTGGGCCATAGTCAGGTTACGTAGCTGCTCTCTGCCTCCACATAGGCTTTATGCCTGTGTATCCCTCATCTACAAAATGGGAATAATAAGAATATCTAACAGTTAGAAGTGGAGAAAATATATGTAAAGACCTTTGAAAAGGGCTTGTGAAAGCTCAATAATTGTCCTCAATAATTGCTCTCAATAATTGCCAGCTATCATTCAATAATAATCATAATCATGAAAATGTATGACTCAAAGAAAGATTCTGACTTCATATCCAGCTTCCCAAAAGAATCAGACACTGGACCTGTGAAAAGAATGACATTGAGATGTATTTTCACATTGCTAAGTTGGTTTTTTCTTTGCCATTCAATTTCTGCAGTCCCTACTCTAAGCCCATGGTCCACCTTTTTATTTTTCCTCCTAAGATGTCTTCCCTTCTTGTAAGATTTACTTTTCCTTAAAAAGGGCCCTTTTCATCCACCCACTCTTTTGCCCTTCCCAGAAGTTGGTTAATGGACACAAAAATACAGTTAGATGGAAGGAACAGAAAAATTTTTAGTGTTCAATAGCACGTAGGGTGATGATCATTAACAATAACTTATATATTTCAAAATGACTAGAGGAAAGATGTAGAATGTTCTCAACACAAATGATAAATGTTTGAGGTGATGGATATGCAAATTATCCTGATTTGATCACTACACATTGTATGCATGTATCAAAATATAACATGTACCCTACAAATATGTATAATTGTCATGTATCAATAAAAATAAAAAGGCCTATTTCTCTTTCCTTCCTCCCCGCATTCCCTCCTGTCCCAGATGTGTGTTGTTCCTGGTGCTCTCCTGCCCCCCATTCAGCCAGCACTGAGCCAGCAGGAAGGATCTCACAGGTCATATCCTGAGATCAACCCTCCACCACTTCAGGTAATAATCCTCCTGCTTTTAGTCATTTATATCCTTTGGTTCATACATATTTTGAGTCAAGTACCTTCTAACTACTGATCTACATAATATTCCTTGGTT
The DNA here is from genome assembly GCF_000001405.40 of Homo sapiens. Taxonomy (NCBI): domain Eukaryota; kingdom Metazoa; phylum Chordata; class Mammalia; order Primates; family Hominidae; genus Homo; species Homo sapiens. Next base: position 41,710,076 of record NC_000009.12, on the reverse strand, counting down.
TTTAAAGATAATACAAAGTGGATTTTAGTAACAATCTTGAGTCACCACAGAAGCTAATGAAGTTGGGGATTCCACAAAGCCATCCAAGCATATAAAGCCCATTTCCTTGGGTCCCTTTTCCTTAGCTCAAGGCCACAAAAAATCAGAACGTAAATTCCAGCCCACATTTGCATTATGTCTAAATAATTATGAGTTATAAATGAAGCTAACAAATAGTTAAATATGTTCTATTCTCCTATTTCGATAAATATACTGCCATAATAACCCACAAGGTCAAAGTTGAGTGTAGAATTCTCTGATTTCTTGGTGCTCTGCACAGGAATGTGGTAGTAAAGGGAGAGCCGATCATCAGCCCCAGGCTAAACTTTTTTCTTTCATCGTAGGTAGCCCTGTCCTCACTTGAGAAGCTTTGCATACCCTTGTGTGGGGAACTCCCTAGGCCCCATGCAAGCTGCATCCACAATTCTCACCCCTTCAGAAAGCAGATCCTTGGGCACCATTTGGACAAGCACAGTTTGCACTTTGAAATGGACCCAGGGAAGAGGCCATGCAGGCTCAGGCACATTTCGCCAGGTCCCTGAGTGCCCAGCGTGTGCCCTAGAAGAGATGGTGAAGCTCTGAGTGGGCCAGGGTACAGTCAGTGGAGGGCCAGAGAGGCACCTTCTCAAGTGCAGGATTCAGGGCAGGGGTCCTCTTGCCCAGATCGATGGCTATGATTGCTTAGTGCAATGGCGCCTGCGTCATGTTTTCTCAGCTCACCTTTCATTCAGTCTCAGCCACCGTGAGAAGTTCCATGGAAGCACAGGCTTCTCTTGTGCTGCCAGCAAACTCAAGGTACACTTTCTGCCCTAGGGAATCTCCATTATTGTAGGATTTTGCCTGAGCACAAATACAGCCCAGAAACACTTGCAGGTTAACAGCCTCAGGGGAAGACCTCAACCAGTGTGGGACAGGTGGACAAATGCTCCAGGCTCATGTTTCAGGTGGACATTTCCGGATAACTTTCCGGAGCCTCTCGGAAGGTCCTGCAGAAAAAACTGCATGGCAGGAGCCTCAATAGCATGCCATTATTTTGGCTTTTCTTTCTTGCCTGGCTCACTCTTCCCACTTCTGACTCTTGCTTCTTGGAATCACTTTCCAAATAAACCACCCACACCGAAGTCCTTATTCCAGCTCTGCTTCTAGGGATACAGGCACACCTTGGAGATATTGCAGGTTTGGTTCTAGGTAACACAATAAGGTGAATGTCACAACAGTGCAAGTCACACGAAATTTTTTGCTTTCTGGTGCATATAAATGTTATGTTGCCAGGCATGGTGGCTTACGCCTGTAATCCCAGCACACTGGGAGGCCGAGGTGGGTGCATCACCTGAGGTCAGAAGTTCAAGACCAGCCTGGCCAACATGGCGAAACCCTGTGTCTACCGGAAATACAAAAATGGTGGTGCGCACCTGTAGTCCCAGCTACTCAGGAGGCTGAGGCAGGAGAATTGTTTGAACCTAGGAGGCAGAGTTTGCAATGAGCCAAGATTGCACCACGGCACTCCAACCTGGGCAACAGAGCCAGACTCCATCTCAAAAAAAAAAGTTATGTTTAAGTTACTGTAGTCAATTAAGTGTGCAATAGCATTATGTCTAAAATATAATGTATATACCTTACTTTGAAAATACGTGATTGCCAAAAAATGCTAACCATCATCTGGGCCTTCAGTAAGTCATCATCATTTTGCTGCTGGATGGTCTTGTCTCAATGTTGATAGCTAGTGACTGATCGAGGTGGTGGTTGCTGAGGGCTGGAGAGGGAGTGGCAATTTCTTAAAATAAGATGACAATGAAGTTTACCACATTGACTGACTCTTCCTTTCACAAAAGATTTCACTGTAGCATGCTACGCAGTTTGGTAGCATTTTACCTACAGTAGAATTTATATCAAAATTGGAACCAATTCTCTCAAACCCTGCCACTCTTTTATCAACTAAGTTTATGGGATATTCTAAGTCCTTTGTTGTTCTTTCCACAATGTTCACAGCATTTTCACCAGGAGTAGATTCCGTCGCAAGAAACCACTTTCTTTCCTCATTCATAACAAGCAACAATAATATATTATTTTATATATATTATATATGTATTATTATATAATATAAATTATATATTATATAACATTATATAATAATATATAATATATATTGTATATTATATTAATTATATTATATAATATTATATATTGTATATTATTATATTAATTATATTATATTATATATTTTATCATAATATAATATGTATTATAATATTATATATTATATAAGCAGAAATGATATCCCTTGGTTTTTAAAGATAATACAAAGTGGATTTTAGTAACAATCTTGAGTTGTCACAGAAGCTAAGGAAGTTGGGGATTCCATGAAGCCATGCAAGCATATAAAGCCCATTTCCCTGGGTCCCTTTTCCTTAGCTCAAGGCCACAAAAAATCAGAACATGAATTCCAGCCCACATTTGCATTATGTCTAAATAATTATGAGTTATAAATGAAGCTAACAAATAGTTAAATATGTTCTATTCTCCTACTTTGATAAATATTCACAGTATATTATGATAAATATATTGCCATAATAACCCACAAGGTCAAAGTCGAGTGTAGAATTCTCTGATTCCTTGGTGCGCTGCACGCGAATGTCGTAGTAAAGGGAGAGCTGATCCTGAGCCCCAGACTAAACTTTTTTCCATCTAATTCCATTTATTTCCATTAAGATTGCAGCAATTTGGCCGGGTGCGGTGGTTCATGCCTGTAATCCCAGCACTTTGGGAGGCTGAGGCAGATGGATTATCTGCAGTTGGGAGTTTGAGACCACCCTAACCAACATGGTGAAACTCCTTGTCTACTAAAAATACAAAATTAGCCAGATGCAGTGGCACATGCCTATAATGCCAGCTACTCAGGAGGCTGAGGCAGGAGAATCAATTGGACCCAGGAGGCGGAGGTTGCGGTGAGCCGAGATTGCGCCATTGCACTCCAGCCTGGGCAACAAAGCAAAACTCCATCTCAAAAAAAAAAAAAAAAAAGATTGCAGCAATTCACTCACATCTTCAGGCTCCACTTGTAATTCTAGTTTTCTTGCTATCTTCACCACAACTGTGGTTACTTCCTCTGCTAAGGTCTTGAACCCCTCAAAGTCATTTATGAGGGTCAGAATCAACTTCTTCCAGACTCCTATTAATGCTGCTATTTTTACCTCCTCTGGTGAATCATGAATGTTCTTAGTGGCATCTATCATAATGAATCCTTTCCAGAAGGTTTCGAATTGACTTTGCCCAGATCCATCAAAGGAATCATGACCTGTGGCAGTAACAGCCTTATGAAATATATTTCTCAAATAATAAGACTTGAAAGTCAAAATGATGCCTCAATCCATGGACTACAGAATAGATGTTGTGTTGGCAGGCATGAAACCAGCATGCATTTCCCTGTACATCTCCATTAGAGCTTTTTAGTCACCAGGTACACTGTCAAAAAGCTGAAGTATTTGAAATCAATCTTTTTTTCTGAACTGTAGGTCTCAACAGTGGGATTAAAATACTCAGTAACCCATGCGGTAAACAGCTCTGATATCATCCAAGTGTTGTTGTTCCATTTATAGAGCTTGGGTAGTGTAGATTTAGCATAATTCTTAAGAGGTGCCCTAGGATTTATGGAATAGCAAATGAGCATTGGCTTGTAACAAGAAAGTCAGCCTGTCCTTTAAATCTTTTTCTTTTTCTTGATATAAGGTCTCACTCCATTACCCAGGCTGGATTGCAGTGGCATGATCTTGGCCCACTCCATACTTGACCTCCTTGGCCCCACAATCCTCCCACCTCAGCCTCCTGAGTAGCTGGGACTAGTAGCATGCACCACCATACATGGCTTATTTTTATTTATTTATTTATTTATTGTTAGAGACAGGGTTTCACCATGTTGCCCAGGCTGGTCTGAAGCTCCTAAGCTCAAGCCATTCCCCCACTTCAGCCTCACAGAGTGCTGGGATTACAGGCGTGATCCACCCTGTCTGGCCTCTAAATTCGTGTTATGGAGACTCATTTTCATGGTTAAAATGTCCTGAATTGACTGTGGCCTGTTGGGAGGCGGGATGGAGGAAACTACTTATGGAAAATGAAGAAGAAAGGGAAGCACACCAGAAGCAAGAAAGTGTCATCAATTTTTACATCAAGGACTCCATGATAAAGAGAAAGTACAGGTGGCCTGTTATCAAGGCTGACCATTGGACTGTGGACTGCACCTGCATCTACCAGGTTCTTCTGGATAGTCCCAGTTTTAAATTTTTGACCTGACATTCATGAACACAGTGCTACTGGTCAGACCTTTGTCCAGGTTTAAGCTTCAGAACATAATGTCTTCATGCAGTGGGAGGCCTGATTATGGTTATGATTCTGCCCTGGGGCATCTGCCCCTTCTTACCTGGAGGTAAACTTGGCATCTACTACTTACCTCTACACTTGAACAGCCAAGGATGGGCTGAGCACAGAGGCTCACATCTGTAACTCCAGCACTTTGGGAGGCCAAGGAAGGAGGATCGCTTAAGGCCAGGAGTTCAAGACCAGCCTGGGCAATATAGTGAGACCTCGTCTCTGTAAAAACAAACAAACAAAACCGAGGATGGGTGGGTGACAGGGAGCAGTTCAACATCGGAAACCATAAATCTGAGAGGTGGAAGGACCCTTAGACCAGCCCCACATTAACAGATGAGACTCTGCCCTGAGATTATAGCCTAAGGTAATGCATTGAGCTTTTCTAGAGATTTGAAAATAATCAATCCTAAAACCCCCAAGCATACTGCTACTGTTTGCTATTGAATAATGTTTTCTAGTCTGGGTGTGGTGGCTCCTGCCTGTAATTCCAACACTTTGGAAGGTCGATGCAAGTGGATCACCTAAGGTCAGGAGTTCGAGACCAGCCTGGCCAACATGGTGAATCCCTGTCTCTACATAAATACAAAAAATTAGCAGGCCATCGTGGTGTGCACTGGTAATCCCAGCTGCTTGGGAGGCTGAGGCAGGAGAATCCTTTGAACCTGGGAGGCAGAGGTTGCAGTGAGCTGAGATCACACCATCGCACTCCAGCCTGGGCTACAAAAGTCAAATTCCATCTCAAAAATAATAATGATAATAATAATGTTTTCTACAAGCAAGGAGTTACTTTGTACTGTGAACTGGTGTGAAGGGATCTGCCATGTGTAAGCTTTTGGATTGATGACAGTTATTTCTAATTTTAAAAATAGCAACCCAACAGAAAATTGGGAAAATGCATTAATAGGGATTTCACAAAAGAGAAAGCCTGCAAAACATAAAAATTTTCTCAACCTCATTAGTAATCAGGGAAATGCACAAGATACTACACATCTATTCTCTCCACAAATATTAAGAAGTTTGACAATACAAAATGTATTAGTCCATATTCACACTGCTGATAAAGACATAACCGAGACAGGGAAGAAAAAGAGGCTTAATTGCATTAAGGGTTCCACATGGCTGAGGAGGCCTCAGAGTTATGGTGGTGGATGAACAGCACTTCTTACATGGCAGTGGCAAGAGAATACGAGAAGGAGGCAAAAGAAGCAAAAGACAAAACCACTGATAAACCCATCAGATCTTGTGAGATTTATTCACTATCACGAGAATAGCATGGGAAAGACCGGCTCTAAAGATTCAACTACCTCCCCCTGGTTCCCTCCCCGAACACATGGGAATCCTGAGCAATACAATTGAAGTTGAGATGTGGGTAGGGACATAGTCAAACCATATTATTCTGCTCCTGGCCCCTCCAAATCTCATGTCCTCACACTTCAAAACCGATCATGCCTTCCCAACAGTCCCCCAAAGTCTTAACTCATTTCAGTATTAACCCAAATGTCCACTGTCCAAAGTCTCATCTGAGACAAGGCAAGTCTCTTCTGCCTATGACCCTGTAAAATCCAAATCAAGCTAGTTACTTCCTAGATACAATGGGGGTACAGGTCATTGAGTAAATACAGCCGTTCCAAATGGGAGAAATTTGCCAAAACAAAGGGGTTACAGGCCCCATGCAAGTCCAAAATCCAGCAAGGTAGTCAAATTTTAAAGTTCCGAAATGATCTCCTTTGACTCCATGTTTCACATCAAGGTCATGCTGATCCAAGAGGTGGGCTCCCACAGCCTTGGGCAGTTCTGCCTCTGTGGCTTTGCAGGGTATAGCCCACCTCGTGGCTGTTTTCATGGGCTGACGTTGAGTGTCCACAGCTTTTCCAGGCTCATGGTGCAAGCTGTCAGTGAATCTACAATTCTGGGGTCTGGAGGAGAGTGGCCCTCTCCTCACAGCTCCACTAGGAAGTGCCCCAGTAAGGACTCTGTATAGGGGCTCTGACCCCACATTTCTCTTCTGCACAGCCTTAGCAGAGGTTCTCCATCAGAGCACCACCCCTGCAGCAAACTTCTGCTTGGACATCCAGGTGTTTTCAAACATCCTCTGAAATCTAGGTGGAGGTTTCCAAACTTCAGTTCTTGACTTCTATGCATGTGCAGGCTGAACACAACATGGAAGCTGCCAAGGCTTGGTGCTTGCACTCTCAAGGCCGTGGCCTGAGTTCTATGTTTTCCTCTTTCAGCCATGGTTGGAGGGGCTGAAACGCAGAGAAACAAGGCCCTAGGCTACACACAGCACAGTCAACCTGGCCCAGCACAGAAATCCATTTTATCCTCCTAGGTCCCAGGCTTGTGATGGGAAGGGCTGCTGTGATGACCTATGACATGTCCTGTAGACATTTTCCCCATTGTTTTTGGGATTAACATTCAGCTTCTTGTTACTTATGCAAATTTCTGCAGACAGCTTGAATTTATCCTCAGAAAATGGGATTTTCTTCTCTATCACATTGTCAGGCTGCAAATTTTCCAAAACTGTATGCTCTGCTTCCTTTATAAAACCAAAGGCCTTTAACATCACCCAAGTCACCTCTTGAATGCTTTACTGCTTAGAAATTTCTTCCAGCAGATACCCTAAATTATCACTCTCAAGTTCAAAGTTCTACAAATCTCTAGGACAGGGGCAAAATGCTGCCATTCTCTTTGCTAAAACATAACGAGAGTTACCTTTGCTCCAGTTCACAACAAGTTCCTCATCTCCATCTGAGACCACCTCTGCCTGGACCTTATTGTTCAAAACACTATCAGCATTTTTGTCAAAGTCATTCAGCAAGTCTCTAGGAGGTTCCAAATTTTCCCACATTTTCCAGTGTTCTTCTGAGCCCTCCAAACTGTTCCAACCTCTGCCTGTTACCAAGTTTCAAAGTTGCTTGCACATTTTTGGGTATCTTTTCAGGAGCACCCCACTCCACTGGTATCAATTTACTGTATTAGTCTGTTTTCACACTGCTGATAAAGACATACCCAAGTCTGAGAAGAAAAAGAGGTGTAAAGAAAAAGAACTGTAATTGGATTTACAGTCCCACATGGTGGGGGAGGCCTCAGAGTCATGGCAGGAGGTAAAAGGCACTTCTTACATGGCAGCAGCAAGAGAAAATGAGGAGGAAGCCAAAGCAGAAACTCCTGATAAACCCATCAGATCTCATGAGACTTATTCACTATCATGAGAATAGCACAGGAAAGACTGGCCTCCGTGATTCAATTACCTCACCCTGGGTCCCTCCCATAACATGTGGGAATTCTGGGAGATAGAATTCAAGCTGCGATTTGGGTGTGGACACAGCCAAACCATATCACCATATATGGAGAGACTGTGGATCAACAAGATCATCTCGAACTAATACAGGAGGTGAGCGTTTAAATTAGAACAACCACTTTGGAAAGCAATTTGGATTATCTTATAAATTTGAGCATTCTCATATGTTATGGCAAAGTAATTTCTCTACCATAGGCCCTGGAGAAACTCTTGCCCATATGTACAAGATGTAGTAAAAAAAAAAAAAATGCTCACGTAATGCCATTCATAATAGGAAAAATCTGGAAATAAGCCAAATGTTCATTAATAGGAGAATGGGTAAATTAATAGGAGAATGGGTAAATAAATTATACCCTTAAAAACTAAGTAACATGTCATTTAGGGTAATCATATGTATGCAATAAAACAATGTGTTTTTTTTAAAGGAAGAGAATCCTAAACATAAATTCAGGGTAGTAGTTACCCTCGGGCTGAAGGGTGAAAATCAGGAAAAAGGACAGAGGAGGAGCAGATGTTAGGGTCAGAACCCTAGTTCTTTGGTTGTGTTGTAAGTTGACAAGTGATTACCATATTGTTCAAATACATTTACACAGAGGCCCAGGCACAGACAAGGGTGAAATAGGAGCCAAGGTGTACTATGAGCCAAGGATTATGATTAATCCAATTTTGTGCACTTAAGCCATTTGAAAAACAGAAAAGCAAAACAACAAAATAATTTTTAAGAAATTGAATATAGGGTGCTATGCTCTGAATGTGTCCCCCTAAAATTAATCACCAATGTCATAGGATTAGGAAGTAGGGCTTTTAGGTAGTGATTCAGTCATGAAGGGAGAGTCTTCACAAATGGGTGTAGGATCCTTACACAAGGACTGGAGGGAGTGGGCTTCCCCTGTTTTGCCCTTCCGCCTTCTGCCATGTGAGGACACAGTGCCTCTCCTCCTGAAGACACAGTGCACAAGGTACCATCTTGGATGCAGAGACCAGGCCCTCACCAGACACCAATCCTGCTGGCACCTTGATCTTGGACTTCTAGCTTATGGAACTGTGAGAAATACATTTCTGTTCTTCAGAAATTACCCAGCCTAGTGTATTTTCTTATATAGAAGCACAAACTCATTAAGGCACAATGCCTCTTGTCATTTTCTTCTACAATTTTCTTTGTGGCCTCTTTAGCACTGGGTCATTTTATATTTGCTCCTTCATAATATCTCTTACTTTCGGTTTTTCACATTTCTGTTCCAAGTGTATTCTTAGATACATATTTTCCACTATTAGTTAACCTCAGGGGTTGCCTGGGATGTGTGTTTCTGTGCCACCACTGTAGGACTGTGTGTGTGTGTGTGTCTCCCATTCTCTCTTCTCTCTCTGTCTCTCACCCTCTGTGTGTTTCTTTCCCTCTCTCTGTTGGTCTGTGTGTGTGTGTGTGTGTGTGTGTTTGTGTGTGTATGCCTGTGTGTGTGTGTGTCTTTGGACGAATGTGCTCTGTTTGCCAAAATGCGATTTTTTGCATGTCGGCCAGTCTTTGTTGAGCCTCTTTCTGTGTCTCTGTCTGGGTCCCGTGGCCGGTTGTCCATCGTTTTCACGGCGGTTCCACTTTGGGTTTGTGAAGTCCTCGATCACGTGAGGAGATGCGTCGGTCCCGGAGCAATCGAAGTCTCATCCCCATCCTGAGCGGCCTCTTTTCTAGGATCAAGAGGACCACACTCCAACCCAGGACAAAACCCCACAGCAGCTCATTGTCCGGCAGGAGAGGAGCAGACACACCTCCAAGAAGATGGTTGTACCCCTGCACGGCTCTTCTCTGAGCAATGAAGCCACACCACGATACAATTCTGAAGAGGAAGCCGGGAATGGAAGACGGCAACAATCCCTGTCCCTGGAATGCTGGCCTCTCTGGACAAGTCATGCGTTTCGCACCCCTCCCCTTATGCCTGTGGCGGTGGCAAGGTTCTGTAACCTGCCTGGGCTCTGGCCTGTGCTCTGTCCTCCCTCTTGCTCTGTCTCCCCTGTTTCTGAGGGGCCTAGTTGCCTCTTGGTCTGGCTGAATAACTTCTACGAAGATCGCTTCCCAGTCCATCAGGGAGACACTTTCTGGAGATCCGCGACATGACTCTTTCTCTCTCCAAACCTGTTTCTGCTGGATTGGGCAGGTCTGATAAGCCTGGAACACTTGGCTTCCATGCGTGTCTCAGACAGGGAAGCTTCTTTGGTCTCCTTGTTTCACCTCATCGGTGGGTGGATTGCCTAGAATGAGCGCTAGGTGATCATGACTGGCCTTGTCTTCTAAGACAGGTGGTGTCCCATTTCCTTTGCACGTCCTGTCTCACAAATGAGGGATATCCTCTCCTCTGCTCATAGGTGGACTGATTCCCTGAATCTTTTGTCTGTAACGAATGTCAGGAAACCAAAGGAACTGGGCTGGGCCTGGGGATGGGGTTGGGGCCGGGTGCAGGGAAGTTGCGTCAGGGCTACCTGGGCGGTGGAGGCTTCGGGGTGGGGTGAATGTTGCAGAAACCTCTGTGCTCCTCTGGCAGGCATTTCAAAATGTGGCTTGGACTGAGGCAAAGGCCCCGTCCAGGTTCCCAGGTCTTCTTTGAGTTCCCTTGGCACTCAGGGAAAGGCCACTTGTTCCCCCTTTCCACCGGGCACATGCCTGGACACCATTGTTGGTTTTGCCATCACCCCATATGCCTCCGGTGACACACATTCACACCATCTGCTGTGGGATACGCCAGTGCCACGCGTGATCGCATTGTCTCCACCTCGGCTTCGCACCATCCCTGTTTGCACCTGTCCTGGAAAGCGGTGTCCGCTTGCAGGAGCCCCAGGGCTTTTAGAAGTGGGGCACGCCACTGCTCTTTCAACGGAGGAGGGAGGCAGAGGGCTCACAGATCAGTGAACTTTCAGCTGACACCACGCCTTGAGGGCCATGGGATCATTCCGTGCTGCAGCGACGACCTGCCTGCCTCACCAGATGTGCTGAGCCCATCCTTTCTAACCCGGAGGGGTCAAAACTAGGATCTGAAGAGGAGTCCTGAGAACCCAGCAGGCACCCTGAAGATCCCCCTCCATCGGCGGAAGTCGGCTCAAGGAGGTCTTGAAGATTGGACTCCTGGGGGTTTGGCCCTGGGACAGGATACTCAAGGACTCCTCTCCCACCCCGCCCCAAACTGGACCTCAGCCCCCATGCCACAGCCCCCACTTTCTCCCCAGAGCTGAGGGACAGACAGAGAATTGCGACTAGAAATTCGATCGATTGGTACGAGGGACCACGTGGCCAGGGGCTGGCCAATGACCAGGCCGCCCGGGATGAGCTAATAATGGAAGCAATTTGTAACTTTCAGTAGCTCTCTAGGCCTGGGTACCGGAGGGAGGGAGGCGGGCAGAGGAGGGGAGATGGGCACCCCCAGTCTTTCCATCCTCCTCATTCGTCTAGGGGCACCCGAATCCCCTATTCCTTATTTCCCCTATCACTCAGGCACTGGCAGGGTCCTTTGCCCACTCCTGTTGGCCGCTGCGGCTCCAAAGCGAGGTAAGCTGGTCCTCTACCCCTCAAACTCTTCACAACCCTCATCCCGTTTACTAGCACCTGCAAACCACAGCCTCCCTTCTTGTCCCATTAGTGAATTTAAATCGGATTTTGTTTTTCCTCTTAGTTGAAAGAAAAATAATCTTTTTGTATTCTTTTGCGTAACCTATCTCGGATTTGGAGAAAATTTTAATTCAAATTAATACGCTTATATTGGGGGGGTGAGTGGTACTTTCCTCCTTTTCAATAAATTTCTATACTTGCTACTTTATGGAGAGTTTACTTTTCTTTGGGGATGAGTTACACCTTATGTTTTCACATGTGTTACTTCTTTAATGATAAGTTCAACTCTTTTCTCCATTCCATCCTCCAATTTTGCTATTTATAAATATCACCTAATGGATTTAGAGTTTATTCATTTTTCTCCTCCCTCACTAGTTTTTCAGCTGTTACAGAATCACCACAATTTATTTTTCTCTGTATGTGGATGAGGTTTTGTGTTGATTCCTATTTTGTTTTGTAAATGAATTTATTGTTTGGGAAACTCTTGGGGGATGTGTGTGTAACAAAGGTCTCTTGATTAATTCCAACCTCTCCTCTTCTGAAGAACAATTTGCTTGAAATGTTTTGAGTATTTTCCTCATTTTTATTATGTCTAAAATTGAGGTATTTTACCTTCTTTAAAACCTGGCCTCTTTTTAAAATTTAACCTTTTGCATGTTAAACCATTTTTAAGGTTTTTATTTTATAAACTGCAATGATTAGTAGATTTACTTGCCTTTCCCTGACCTCCTTCACACGCCTGCCTCCTCCATCTCAAAACTCCCATCCCCAGCTTCCACAATTCTCAGCTTCCAATGGACTCATCCTCCCCTCTCCTCCCAGCCAAGGAGGGATGCCTGGGAAGTAGACAGTGTCCTTCTTGGGTCAGAACCTATGCTCTGGTTCTAGTTCAGGACACCTCCAGTCTGACCTCCAAGCCGGCAAAACGAGTGAGAGAAGAATTTCTGCTCAACTTTTTCATTTGGGACTAAGTTCTTTCCACTTGGCTGTATTCTGGAGAACTCTGATACATGAAATTGAATTTTAAATTCTCCTTTTTTCCCTAAATTCTAAGAAAAGTGCAGGCAGATTGTTTTTCTTCCTTAAATGTAAGCTGTTAGCTTAGGGGTCAGCCCTTTGGGTCTTTTATCTCCTGAGGGAGACTTCTCAGAGAGACACACAGTGTTGATTCTTCCTTTTAGTTTTGGGTAAGGTAGAAGGGGCAGGGAGTGGGGAAGCCCATATTGATCTCTGGCTCTAGCTCTGAACAAAGAAGGGTAGAGAGCTGGCCTGGGGACTTGTCCCTTTGGTCAGTAAGGTTTGGCTTAGGAGAGAGTTTGAAGTAAATCCCAGCTCTGAGGAAATTCTTCTTTTTAGCATTACTGTGAAAATAAACTCTTAAAATGGTGTGACTTGGCGTCAAACTATTCAGATTCCTTGAAGTAACAAAAATAAACTTACAAGAGTAATTTATGTTTCCCAAAGATCCGCCTCCAGTGACTGTCCATTTCTCTCAGGGAAACAGAACCCAACTGGGCAGAAGTAAAACTGCCACCCTTCCCCTTTCAGTTCCCCAGTCACATTGACATTCTGGGCACATTTGGCCCAGCCCTCGTCCCTGCTTCTCCCAAGTATGAATCTAAATTACTATTAATAAGGGGCCGCTCCAAGTTAATTGGCATTAAAAGAATTCATTTCAATTTGTTAATATTAAATGAATGCTCTGCACTTTAGCTCCCTTCTTCGCCCTGGATTCCCAGATGAGTGATGGGAAGAAGGGGCAGGGAAGTAGAATGAGGATTTTATTTCTGGCTCTCCAGCTTAGCCACTGTGGTGCCTCCCCTGGGGGTGTGCAATCAGGCACAGTGGGGGCCTGCTTGGGGAAGGTCTGATGGTCTTTTTTGGTGAAATTCATCTGTTTTAGCAGGAGTTGTGGGGGAGGGTGGGTGGGGAGCAGAGGGAGAGGGACAGAATGGTTTGGGGGACTTTGTGGGGAGCAGAGGGTCTAGAGAGAAAGTGGGAAGGGAAAGGGACAGAGGTCAACAGGAGTTTTGGAGAACAAGGGTTGTAGGCTGTGGGGGGTAAAGCCGATTTGTGAAGAACTGGTGATAGGAACTAAACAACCCACCTAGAAGGGGAGGGGCTTTGAGCAGGGGTGGGGAGGTGGGATTTGAGGCAAAACAGCTAGGAGTTCTGAAACTATTAATATCTAGCTGTGTGACTCAGGGCAAGTTGCTTAACTTTTCTCTCTGCCTTAGTTTCTTGACCTGTAAAACAGGGATACTAATAATAGAACTTATCTCAGGGGGTTATTTGGAATTAGAGGAAATACATGCCATGTGTTTTCCACAGTGCTTGACACATAGAACCTGCCAGTAAATGTTAGCTCTTTTTATGGCAGAGTGGTTAACAGGATGGATTCTGGAGCTAGACGGCCTGGTTTTGAATCTCAGTCATGCCTTATGTGAGTTGTATGACCTAGGCAAGTTACTTAACCCCTTGTGCTTTAGTTTCCTTGTCTGTAAAATGGGGTTAATAGTACCTAGCTCAAAGGCTGCTGTCAGGATTAAATGAGTTATATGTACGAAGAGCCTGGAACAATGCCCATCCCATAGGAAACACTATGTAAGCATTAGTTGTCACTGATATTGTTGCTCTTCTGATCTAGGAAGGTTGAAAATAGAGGCACAGGTGAGCTACTACTTACAGGCTAAGACTGGAATCAGATCAACTCTTTCACTCCTATCCCTGAAGCTAGTCCTGCAACTGGGGCTGCATATGAGGGCTTGGGGAGAGATCCTATAACCCTGGAATCTGGGATATCCAAGTCCTTCCTCTGCTCTAGCTCTTGGGTTGGTGGTCCCTCCAAGACCCATAGACTCGAAGTCACTTCTTTTTCCCTCAGCAGGGTTGGGGTGGGGCTGGTAATGGGAGAATTACTTTCTTGGTCTAATAACTCCCTTTAGTAGAGAGTTAGTCCTGGGAGTGTGAGTTGGGGGAGGTTGGGTAGAGCAGAGGAGATTAAATATCCTTTATGTACCAGCCCACACACACTTGACCTCACCAGAGGGTTGGGAAGACAGAGATTCAAAGAGGGGAAGTGATCTGACAAAGTCCTAAAGCTAGAACTTGGCAGAGTTGGCATCTGAACTCTGATCTGCTTGATGGCAAACTTAAAGCCCTTCCATTGTTGCATGCTTTTTGAAGGGAGAAATGGGACACGTGTAAACTTGGGCCAGGACCATGGGGTAGATGGAAGATGGGCGAAGATAGAGTATTGGAGTGGGAAGTGGCCAAGCAGGAATGTTTCAATCATGGAAGATTTCCTGAGAAAAGGGATTCCACATCAGGGTTCAGATGGTAGGGGAATGAGGATAGGAAGTAAAGAAGAGGGAGGGAGCCATGCATTGACAAGGAAGGAGAAGAAAAAACAATTTATGCAAAGGCTGGGTCAGAGTAATGGACATGAGTTCAATTTGCCTTGGGTTTGCCTTACCATTTATTGAAGGCATACTATGTACTAGGTACATACATGATCACATTTGATGTTCACAACAGCCCTGACAAGTGGGTTTCTTATCCCTATTTCCAAAAGAGTTCATTGAAGTTCTGAGAGCTTAATCCCCGCTTTAGGTTACACAGTAGTAGCTGGATTTCCTGGCATCAGAACCCTCACCTACGCTGCCTCTGAGCATGGCTTCTGTGCCCCAGTCTCAATTTCCATGACTGTTTCAAGTCCTCCTGTTCCCCCGCATTTGTAGTCATTCTTGGTGACTGGGAACGAAGGGCTAGAGCGTGAGCTGAAACTGAGACAGGGAGTGGCAGGCAGGCAGTGGGGACAGAAACTTTTCTCAAATCCACCCATGTGAAGAAGATGGACAGAAGGGTGGTCTTTCTGGAGAGAGGCTTCCAAGCCACTTTCCCAAGAAAGACAGCTGATCTTGGGATGAATGGCAGGGACCTGATTGGGTAGGGGATGGCTGGTCACATTGTTTTCTGGGCTGTAGACTTTATTTCCCTTCCTTTGGGAAGAGAAGAGGAAGAGGACAGCTCAGGCGTGGGTTTGAGCCCTGGATTAAGACTGCCCATTGTCCACTAAAATCTCTTCTTTCCTTGCTGCACGAGGGTGGAGGGACACCCAGCTGGACACTCCATTTCCCAGCTGCTCTTATTGCCAGGTGTAGACACAGGGGAATGTGAGGTGAGCATGTCCTCAAAGCCTGACAGATTGGGTAAATTCTCCCTTGTGTTCTCTCTTTCATGAGCTGGGCAGATGTGCCTGACACAGGTTTGACCAGGCAACTGAAAAGACATCTCTAAGAGAAGACAAAGCAAAGGTATGAAAGGAACACACGTCCCTGACTGACTAGGAGGAACAGAGCTGCCTGCTATCTGGAACAACTTCCTCCCAGACTAAGTGAGAAATAAACTTCTGTTTTCTATATGCTACTGTGTTTGGGGGCCTTTGTGTTATAGAAGTTTTGCTGTCATCCTTTCCAATTCACCTTCTCACACCAGATATTTCAAATTAAAAAGATTATATCAGGCCAGGTGCGATGGCTCATGCCTGTAATCCCAGCACTGTGTGGGGCTGAGGCAGGTGGATCACTTGAGGCCAGGAGTTCGAGACCAGTCTGGCCAACATGGTAAAACCCCATCTCTACTAAAAAATACAAAAATTAGCTGGACACAGTGGCACACTCCTGTAATCCCAGCTACTTGGGAGGCTGAGACAGGAGAATTGCTTGAACCCAGGAGGCGGAGGTTGCAGTGACCCGAGATCATGCCACTGTGCACCAGTCTGGGCTACAAAATGAGATTCTGTCTCAAAATAAAAAACTGATTACATCAGATCACGGAATAACTATAATAATATTTATTGGGCCAGATAGTATGCAAAGGACTCTATGCACATTATTTAGTGTAATCTATGTGACAATCCTCTGAGATATGTGTTACTATTCCAATTTAAACAAGAGGAAACAGGTTCAAGGAAGGTAAGTTATGTGCTGAGGGACACACAAGAGGGAGTGGAGCTGGATTTCAAGCCCACTGGGTGTACAGAACTGAGCCTCTTCACCATGGGGGCAAATCCCTCCTGAGGACAGGGCTGGAAAGGCCATGGAGATCATCTTGTGCTTGGACAAGCCTCTCACCAGTCACCACAGGGCCCTGACTCCCATTCCTACCTTCAAGAAGCTCAGCAGGCTACTACTCGTGTTCATGTTGGGTCACTACATACGGTTTTATTTGAAGGAAGGACCCCAGAGTTAAACTCATTTGAAAACCCCTGATAAATTCAGTCCCCTCCCTCTTTTTACAGGTGAGGCCCGGAGAGAAGATATGACTTGCTTAAGGTCACACACTTAGTTTCTCTGTCAATCTTTCTAAATCGAGGACGAGTTCTCTTCCCACTGTATCAGGCTGCCTCAACAAACAGGGAAGTACAAAAATAGCCAAATCCAGGAAGGAGGGCAGTGGTCTGTGTGTCCTCCAATTATTTCATGGGACAGCCAAGCCTATTTTCTTGATTTCCCTTGTGCCCCTCCTGTCGGATATCTGCTTTGGGACCCATCTCTTTTGGGCTTGCAGAGAGAACGGGCTGCACCAGCTCTCTGCCCTCTGCATCACCCAGATGGTCAAACATGCAAAGGGAAAGGAGAGCTGGGGCCAGAGTCAAGGCAGGCAAAGAGACTCCTCGACCCCCTCCAGTCTTTCCACATTTATATTTTTGGAATTTCAGGCTCCCTCCTCCCCCGGGACCTTTCCTAGTAGCCCACCAGGGAGAAGAAGAGGGAAAACTGTCATAAATTTCTCCTATTTATACAAGATGACAGAGTTTCTTGTGCCAGAAAAAACACAGAAAGGGAGCTGTCAGGGGAGAAGGGACCCAGCCCTATACCTTCTGGGGTCAATTTATCTTTCTGAATCATGGCTTGGGGGCTACCCTAACATTACCTGTATGAAATGCAGGCTTTGACTTGGGGCAGCCAGGCCAGACAGCCCCTGAGCTTTGTTTCTGATCACAGTTTTCCTGCTTCATCTCAACTTCCCCCTACCCCTTATGCTGTCTTTTTAAAAAACAACCTTCTTGAGGTATAATTCATGTGTCATACAATTCACCATTTGAAATGTACAATTCAATGGTTTTAGTATATTCACAGGTATGCCAAACCATCACCATAGTTAATTTTAGAACATTTTCATCACCTTAAAAAGAAATCTTGTAACCTTTAGCTATCACCTCCCTATCCTCCCATATTCCTTCTTGCCCTTAACAATACTAATGTACTTTCAGTCTCTGTAGATTTCCCTATTCCGGACTTTCATATGAATGGCATCATATAATAAGAGACCTACTGTGACTAGCTTCTTTCATTGAGCATAGTGTTTTCAAGGTTCATCCATGTTGTGGCATTTATCAGTACTTCATTCCTTTTCAAGGCTGACTAATATTCCATTGTATGGATATATCACACTTTGTTTATCCGTTCATCTATTGGTGAACATTTGGGTTTTTTCCACCTTTTGGATATTATGATTCTCTCTTTCCTCTTATTCTCTAGACATCTTGGATAGTATCCAGTGAGGCCTGTGGGCAAGAATGGGTGTTTCTTATATTTGGGAACACCTAATATCCATGAAAGCAGGGTCTTGGCACATGTCTGCTTTCATATTAAGTACACGTACTAGCTGGAATTTTCCTCCCTCTGTTGTTACTGAGTTGGGGCTGCTCCCTCCTTTATCAATTCTCCCTTTTTATCATGATTGCTATGTTGGAAACTTGCTGACTCTTCAGACTAGGGGATTCAGATCCTTCTCTTGGGGCTTCAGAGACATGGAGTGGATGAATGTCTTCCCATGAGGGAGAAGTTCCCTGAGTCTGGTCTCAAGTGATTATCCAGTGCCTCACAGTGGAAGGAAGGTCTGTGAAGACTCCAGGGTCGAGGGAAAGTTATGTTCTTGGAGGTATGACTGAGCCCAGAATCCAGGCCTCCAGTGTCCATCTCCTTGCCTGGCCCATTTCAGTCTTCAGACATGCTTTGAGGTCAATCCAGTCACTCACCCAGCAACAGACACTGCCTCTGCCCTCATGGACCTTGCAGTTCTAGTGGTGAGAGTAAGATGAATACAAGTGAACAAAATGATGGCAAGTTGTTCAAGCTTGTTCAAACTTCTAAACACTGTTCAATGAATGAATGAACCAACAAGAACTTACTATGTGCTCTGGAAAGAAAATGTGAAAAATGTCGAGTTGTAAATCACTTTCTGCTACCGCTACCTTTCCTAGTCTGGAAGTCAGCATTACTTCTCCATCCCTTGGAGGAGATAGTGGGCAGATATTACAAAATGTTAGCTAAAAAGAGCTACCATTTATTGGACCAGACATACACCAAGGGGTTTCTATAGTTCATTAATTTTCACCCTTTGAATTAGGCATCAATATTTCCATTTTGAAGATGAGAAAAACCGAAACTCAGGGTTTAAGTAGCTATCTGAAATCACACCCATAGCAGTAAGTGGCAGAACATTTGCTCTGGACACTGGGATAAGTATGTGTGTATGGGTTTTTTTGTTGTTTTTTGTTTTCTGTTTTTGTTGTTGTTGTTGTTTGTTTGTTTTTGGGATGGAGTTTTGCTCTTGTTGCCAAGGCTGGAGTGCAATGGCATGATTTCAGCTCAATGCAACCTCCACCTCCTGGGTTCAAGTGATTCTCCTGCCTCAGCCTCCTGAGTAGCTGGGATTACAGGTGCCCACCACCACTCCTGGCTAATTTTTGCATTTTTAGTAGAGACGGGGTTTCGCCATGTTGGCCAGGCTGGTCCCAAACTCTTGACCTTGTGATCTTCCCGCCCCGACCTCCCAAAGTGCTGGGATTACAGGCGTGAGCCACTGCACCCGGCCATGTATGTGTTTTTATGCCTAGCACTTCATAACAAATGCCAACATCTCTTTCTGCGGCCCTACCACAGAGGGAGCTGATCAGTTTCCCCTCCTGCCCAAAGGCAAAGCAGCCACAGTGGAAGTGCCTGAGTCCTCCCTCACAGCCTTCTGTCTAGTGGTTATTCCCGCTTCAAGGCTAAGGAAGGGAAGGACCCGTTTTGCCTTCAAAGGCTTTTTCCTTCCAGCCCTTGCTGTGCAGCCCGTTGTGTGTGGGAGGAACCATGAGAGGCCTGGATATTGTCAACAAAAGACTTGAACAAGCCAAAGAGCTGATTATGTTGACAAGAAGGGGACCTTAACAAGGCAGATAATCAAAAGCTGATGACTGACAGCCCCTTTCGCATCCCTTCACCCTCTACTAAATCAGGTCTCTTACATGATCTTGATGACAAATAATAAAAATTATAAACACATTACAGTTTTCACATGCATTTGTTCACTTCTCACAGCAAATATGAGAGGTATCTAAGGCTGAGCAGCTTATTACAGAAAAAAGTTTATGGGACTAGAACCTTAATTTTATGTAACAAAATTTATATAGAGCTTACCATGGATCATGTACTCTCCTAAATAGTTCAAAACTTTCATTTTTAGAGAGATGGGTGTCTTGCAGCCAGGCGCAGTGGCTCACACCTGTAATCCCAGCACTTTGGGACACCGAGGTGGACAGATCACCTGAGGTCAGGAGTTCGAGACCAGCCTGACCAACATGGTGAAACCCCATCTCTACTAAAAATGCAAAACACAAAAATTAGCTGGGTGTGGTGGTTCATCCCTGGAATCCGGAGACTGAGGCAAGAGAATCACTTGAATCCAGGAGGTGGAGGTTGCAGTGAGCTGAGATCATGCCATTGCACTCCAGCCTGGGCAACAAGAGTGAAACTCCATCTCAAAATAAAAAGGGGGGGAGCAGTCTTGCTATGTTACCCAGGCTGGTCTTGAACTCCTGGGTTCAAGCAATCCTTCCACCTCAGCCTTCTGAGTAGCAGGACTATGGGCCCATGCCACCAGGCCTGGCTGTATCTCATAACTATTAACTCATCTACTTTTTCACCACCATGTGAAGTAGGCATTACTGTTATTCACATTTTTTAAGATGCAGAAACGAGGCATGGTAATCAAGTATCTTACCCAAGGTTGTACAGCCAGCAGGTGGTAGAACAGGCATCTTGAGCCCAGCCCCAGCATCTGTAACCACTTCGCAAGGTGGGCATCGCATGGGGACTACACTTGAAACTCTAGTTTGTTAGTCTGGTGACCCTGCTTCCGCCTGCCTCCCTCAGTCTTTATGGCCCATTGGAAAAAGTAAGCCAGAGCTGTGGCTCCCAGGGTGACGATCCTTCAGCTGCATCCTTGACACTGTCATTCCCTCCTCCCATCTCCCACCAAGGGCTACAGCCGAGAATACCACAGACGGTTTGCCATGGATCAAGATTTCTCTCAAGAAAGAGCTCACAGAAAGGCTGCTGTGAGAAAGGAAGTCACTTGCTACTCCCCTTATTCCTCCATCAGGAGGAGCTAGATGAGGTCACTGCACATTTGAGTGGGTGCTATCAAAGCACAGCCTCTGGCCAGCGTGGAGACAAACGTGGGCTGTGTGGCCCGTGACTCAGTGGCTTAAAGGAAACCTGAGGTGGTAGGTGATGGAACTGATTGAAATAAAACTTCTGTAGGAATGCTGCATGCCATTCATTCAACAGTGCTCCCTGACCAGGTCCCAGGGCTGTGCATATGAGCTGCAAATGGGTTTGTTCATTCATTTACGTATCTATTTGCTTATTTATTCAATAAATTCTGATTATGCCCCTAAGAGGCACTGTGCTAGATATCAAGGAAGAACAAGACAAAATCCCTTCCCCACAAGGGCTCCCGGTCTAGAGAGGGGAGGAGGAAGGGAGATCCACAGTGATTTGTATCATATGCTGAGGAAAGAGAGTCATTTACTATCACCGTTTGACATCCTCACCCCCAGTGCGGTCCTTCTCTTTGTCTCTCCATGCTGGGAGTGGGCAGTCCCTGCTATGCTGCCCTTCAGACACAGCCCTCTTCCCTCAAGCTGCCCTCTGCCTGGATCCCACCTTCCTTGTGAGCTGGAGTATTTGCTTGAGGGAGTCTTGACTCTCCTTCCCTGTCAGTCACTGTTTGGCTGCAGGCAGTGACAGTGGTGGCAATAAAGCAGCAGAGAGGAGGCTTTGGTATCAGAGCAGGGACTCACGGGTGGGATGGGACGGGGATGGTTTTATGTTTGCCCCGCTGTGTTCTCTGTGCTGCTCTGCCCAGGGAGGCTGACCTCTGCAGACTGTGTCACATGGGCCCCCTGATCTCTCGGCCAATAGAGTTCCCGGCTGAGAAGGGGGAGAGAGGAGTCAGGGTATTTGTTTCCTCCATTCCCTGTCAGCCCCCCTTTTTGCCTGCTTGAAGCTCTGGTGGTGGTTGTGTTTCCTCCTTGGTCACAGCTTTGCTGAGTGGCCTCTCTCCTGTGTCCCGTGAGCCCAGTTGGCATTGGGCTTTGGTAGAGATATTTCTATCCTGGTGCCACACTAGCCCTTATTAGTTTTCTTCATCTGATCTATGCCTTTAGAAACTGCCACATCACTAAACCCTTCAGTGAAACCCTCTCGAATGTGTCATTTATTTTCTGTTGCCACCCTGACTGGCTCACCTGGGTGCAGAGGAGGTGGGGACAGAGCAGGTTGGGGCTCCAGTTCAGCTTTGTTATCCCTCTTTTTCAGGGTTTCCCAGAGGAAGAGAGAGAATTTGGACAAATGAATGAGGAACAATGCTCTCCTGAGAGTTTCTTTAAGGGGCGAGGGTCACTGCCACTAGCTCCTTTGAAAGCAGAATTAAGAGGCAGTGCAGGAAGGCACAGCAGGAAGGCTTATGGTTAGACTACAGAGAAGGAAACAGCCACTGCTGGGGACCTACCCTGTGCTGGTCACTGACAAGCTGTCTCATGAAACCTTCCCAGACCCTCAACCCCTCCTAGTATCTTATCCTCATTTTACAGATGAGAAGACTGTGGCCCAGAGAGGTAAAGATCTGGGGAGCAGGATGGGAGCTTCACTTTGTCTCAGTTGCTCTGGCAAAGAGAAGCCTCACCTTGTGATCAAGGGATTGGGAGGGTGACAGATAAATTTTGGCTTAAGTGTCAGCATAGCACTGGGAATCTGGAGCTAGATGGCACTGGCTTGACTCCTTGGATCTGCCTCTTACTGGCTGTGTGATACTGGGCATGCCTCTGTTTCCCCATCTATAAAAATGGGGCTAATGATAATAACACCTGCCTTACAGGTTGTGTAGAAGGTTGAATTTGTAGTTGTGAGGTGCCCAGGAACAGTGCTGGCACACAGTGAGCACCATACACAAGTGTTAAAGAATGGAGCCTCCTGCTCTCTCCTTATTTTCCACCCCCTGCCCTCTTCTCATTGCCCACCTCCCCTGCCTTCTCCTCACCATCCTGAAAAAGGGTGAACAGCCACCCAGGAGCCCCTGAACGGGCATGTTGGTCCCAGGCCCTTTGTGAGCATGCTTTTCCCTGCCCTGCCCCCTGTCATCACCATTCTGGATGGAGCAGCAAGGACGGAGACACTTAGTTGGGCTGTCCACTCCAGGTCCAATGCCAGTGGGATCAGCTTTGATGGGATGCACACAGACTGACCTCTTCTCCCCAGCCTCTTCAACTTCCCAGAGCTGCAGGGGGCCTGGGAGTTCTTGGTAACAGCACATTAAACCTCTGTTTGTGGGAACTTTAATTTAAACACAAATTAGAGATGGCAAATGACTCTGGCAGCCAGATAAGCCATCCCGGGAGAGCAAGGAGAAAGCCAAGAGAATCAGCCCAGATAAGGCCTGACTTTAAACTACTGGTGATACCCAGAAGCCTGGGACAGATGAAATCTAGGGGTCCTGAATGAAGAACCCCAGAAGCTCCACACCCCAGTTGTCCTTGCTCTGGGCTCTATGCCAGCTCCCTCTCCTGTGTTCTCTATATTTCTATCTTTTTGCAAAATTCTAACCTGATTCTTTGGCTCCATCCCTCCCACCCCCACCCCACTGTTTTAGAGAATGCACTTTCTTTACTTTGCTTCTCATCTTCTTCTGTGACCTACTATTCTGAGAAAGTTCTACTTGTTACCTAACCTCCATCTATGCTACTACATTTAGAGTCTAATACATCCTGCTTAGTGGTAGCTCTGGGAGTTTCTGTTCATGTGGCAAATGTGGTGTAGTAAAAACAACCTGAAAAAGACCTGGGTGAACTTCTCTGCATCTCAGTTTCCTCATCTGTATGATGAGTGTGTGAGAAAGAATCTCTAAGGACTTGTAAACTCTGACTTCTCACAGAGAATCTGAGGACAAGGACATCCCAGGAAATCTCTATTGTTCTGGAACCCATGAATTTTCCACTGTTCTACTGTTTGGGAGTGAGCGTGGGGAGAGCAGTCAAGCCTGTTGATTCCTTTCTGGAAGGGGTCTACAGGCTTTGCTTCCACCCCTCCGCCCACAACCCAGGCTTAGGCCAGGCCCAGGCCCAGGAGAGAGGATGCCTTTTCAGTTCTGTCAAGGCCTGCTGAGCCCAGCTCTGTGGGGCTGTGGCTGCTAAGATGTTGTCTCCATCCTCTGGGGTAGGAGCAACATATGTTCCCTCTGTCACAGCACCTGTGAGGGTGGCAGAGGGATGGCAACCCCCAAGAGGGCAGAGTTCCATCTCTCCAACTGACTTTGAAGCATCTTTTTATCCTGCTTTTCTGGGAGGCTTAAAGTGAAGGCGGAGGGAGATATCACACAGTCCCAAAGCCCCCACTAAATGGGGAGCTACCGTCTTTCATCTTTCATGCAGGGTAAAAGAAGACACCTTGGCTACAGCAAGAGGAAAGAAGGTCAAACCACAGGCAGAACTTTCAGGTTGAATGTTAGAGCAGACTGTGATCCCAAGAGATCATCCAAGACCCTTGGTCTCAGAGGATGCCTATGAGGCCCTGGTCCCTGGCTGGGGTGGGAACAATAATCTCAACAGCCCCATGCTAGACTGACTTGGGAGTCAGAAGGTCCCTGGGACTAGAATAGAAGGACTTTGGCATTTTCCCTGGCCTAGGGCCCTTAGACAGAAGTGGGCAGCTGCCATCAGGAGCCTGGGGCCCAGCTGTGTCCACACCTTGCCCGCCTCCCCCCTCCTGAGTGCCTGGCTGCCCCTGGAGCCCCAGGCTTGCCTGCCATCTGGGCAGCTCAGAGGAGAGCCCACTGCCAAGGGAGTGCCAGCGTTGATTTATGGCCCACAACCTTGGCAGGCTCAGGCTGTGTGCCCGAACTGCCTTTGCTCAGGGAAGAGATGCTCCTCTTAAAGGGACAGTGCAGAGGAATGCAGGAAAGTCCAGGACGAAAGCTTGGCAGGGGGCTGGCAAAAAAGACCTCCACCCATCAGCACTCTGGGTGACTGTCACTCCCTAGGGAAACTTCTCCCTAGGGAACCACCCATCATACATGTTATCATACCCTATCCTTTGTAGACTTGGCCCAACTGTAACATATTAATATGTTTACTGTCAGTCTCTCCCACTGGACTGTAATCTCTAGGAGGGTAGGAACCAGACCCATTGTGCTCATTCCTGAATATTCAGCACCAAACACAGTGCCTGGCGCCTAATAAGATCTCAGTAAGAATTTGTCAAGTGTAGGAAAGAATGAATAAATGAAGGTCCTTGTCCATGAGGTGGAGGGAAGCCCACGTGTCTTCTTAGTGCCTGCCATGGTTTCCGAGACCCTGCGGCATCTGCTGCTACCCCCAGGATCTCTCCCTCCAGGACCCTTCCTCACCCCTGTCATATCAACCCAGGACCAATGGGGCCAATCTTATCTGGATACCCTTGCCTTCCCACTTTCCTTGAGTCACCTTTCTTAAGTCCTTCACACAATGTTCTTTTCCTCCCATTTTCCTTCCTCCAAGATACTTTCTCAGATTACCTACAGCCTCAGTCCTGGATTCAGATACTCTTTCAGATAATCTTTTATTTTTTTATTTTTATTTTTATTTTTTATTTTTCTTGAGACAGAGGCTCCCTCTGTCACCCAGGTGGAAGTGCAGTGGCAGTCTTGGATCACTGCCACCTGTGTCTCCCAGGTTCAAGTGATTCTCCTGCCTCAGCCTCCAGAGTAGCTGGGATTACAGGCTTGTGCCACCATGCCCAGCTAATTTTTGTATTTTTAGTAGAGACGAGGTTTCATCACATTGGCCAGGCTGGTCTCGAACTCCCGACCTCAAATGATCTGCCCCCCTCAGCCTCCCAAAGTGGTGGGATTACAGGCATGAGCCACTGTGACTGGCCTATCCAGCAATATTTACTGAGTATCTACTATGCACTGGGCACAGGTTGCCAAGAATTCATGAATAAATGGAACAGGCATAATCCCTGAACTCAAGGACCATACATTTCAGAGAGTGAAACAGACAAAAAAATAAGTAAGCAAGTTAGCAAATAGATACATGCAATTTTGAGACCTGTTGTGAAGTGGGTAATCACAGACAGGGTGGAGCAGCGACCCTTTAAATTGGGTGGTCAGCTAGGCATGGTGGCTCACACCTGTAATCCCAGCACTTTGGAAGGCTGGGGTGGGCGGATCACCTGAAGTCAGGAGTTTGAGACCAGCCTCACCAACATGGAGAAACCCTGTCTCTACTAAAAATACAAAAATTAGCCAGACGTGGTGGCGCATGCCTATAATCCCAGCTACTTGGGAGGCTGAGGCAGGAGAATCGCTTGAACCCGGGAGGCGGAGATTGCCATGAGCTGAGATCGTGCCATTGCACTCCAGCCTGGGCAATAAGAGCAAAACTCCGTCTCAAAAAAACAAAATAAATAAAATAAAATAAAATAAAATAAAATAAAATAAAATAAAATAAAATAAATTGGGTGGTCAGAGAAAGTTTCTCTGAGGAAGTGACACTTGGGCTGAGGTTTGAAGAATGAGAGGGAGCCATGTAAAGAGTGAGGTAACAGCATTCTAGAAACAGTTCAGTCACTTGGGTGTGCACAGCAGCATTTGGGGGATGGGAGTGGGAGAGGAGCTTTCCCAAACTGCACTCTCCTATCTCTTTTACATTTTGAAAGCCCCTGCCCTTCTAATGTGGGAGGACCACTGCTTAAAATCTTTGGAGAAGCAGCCCTGGCCTTACCTGGAAGCTGGTTAGAAAACAGAGCTCAGGTGCCACCCCAGATCTACTGAGTCAGAATCTGCATTTTAACCAGGTCCCAGGTCATTTGTATGCACAGTGGTGTTTGAGAAGCAGTGTTTCAGGAAATACCTCACAGGAGGGATGGAGTGTGAGGACATCAGATGATGTGAGGTGGGTGGGGTTGGGGGGTTGGTTGCTGAAGAGTGGATTTGAATCAGAGATGGGGGTCTGAGTGTGTATATGTGCCTCTGTGTGTGTGTTCCTCCAGCCCTAATGACTGTGGGCTATATGAGGATGTGCATCTCCAAGCGCTTTTCCTTCCATGGGTGTGGAGTACCAGGGGATACATCTTTATCCCACTGTGACAATGCCCCCACTTCCACCTACAGCTGTGAGTCAAACAGAATCTGCCAACCTCTGGGCGGTGGGAGCATCTCGGAAGCAAGGCAAGGCAAGGAGAGCCCTTGTTCCTGACCTCCGGCAATCCATTTTATTTGACCCGAGTCTCATAAAGGAGTCCTGATGAGCCCAATCGCTTGCTAATGGTTATGAGCCGAGACCTGGGGATTTATGGCTGAGGCCTCCGTGGCCACGAACAGGAGTAGGGCTACGCAAAGGAGGCCAGGCTGTGCATGGCTTCAGTTCATGGAGGCCTGTACCCAGAACCACCGCGGAGACTACCACACCCCCACCTCCAAATCTGGGGCAAAGAACATTGCCCTGGGTGGGGGAAGCTGGGCTAAGGAGAAAAAAGACCTCTGGCTGGAGATGTCCAGGGATGAAGGGTGAGTGTCTGGGAAACTGGTCTGACTTGGCTGGGTGGGGTGTAGGGGGAGATACTGGAGAAGTGAGTGGAAAGGGCACGGGAATTGGAGCCAGTCAAACTGGGGTTCAAATCCTGGATCTGTTTTGCACCCGTGTATGACACTGGACAAATCATGGCTCTCCCTGAGCCTCATTTTTCTCATCTGTAGATGGGAATTGTGACGCTATCTCATAGGTTTGTGAGAATTAAGTGAGGCCAGGTACGGTGGCTCATGCCTGTAATCTCAGCACTCTGGGAGGCCAAGGTAGGAGGATTTCTTGAGTCCAGGAGTTCAAGACCAGCCTGGGCAACATGCTGAAATCCTGTCTCTACAAAAATACAAAAATTAGCCAGGTGTGGTGGCATGTGCCTGAGGCTGATGTGGGAGCATTGCTTGAGCCCAGGAGCTTGAGACTGCAGTGGGCCATGATCATGTCACTGCACTCCAGCCTGGGTGACACAGTGAGATCCTATCGAGAGAGAGAGAATTAAATGAGATAATGTTTGTGAAAAGCACTTCGAATACCAATTGTATATATTTAAGTGGGTCAAGAGATTGGGATTCTAATTCCAACTCCACCACTAACTTTCTGGGATTCTAGCACTGGTTTTGTTACAAATGGCTTTTTTTTTTTTTTCCTGAGACAGGGTCGCACTCTGTCGCCCAGAATGGAGTGCAGTGGTATGATCTCAGCTTGCTGCAACCTCTGCCTCCCAGGCTCAAGCAATTCCCCTGCCTCAGCCTCCTGAGTAACTGGGATTACAGGCATGCTCCACTACTGCCCGCTAATTTTTGTATTTTTAGTAGAGACAGGGTTTCGCCACGTTGGCCAGGCTGGTCTCGAACTCCTGACCTCAAATGATCCACCCGCCTTGGCCTCCCAAAGTGCTAGGATTTCAAGCGTGAGCCACCCCGCCCGCCCAGTTACCAATGGCTTTGTGACCTGGGGCACATCACAGACCCTTTCTAAGTCTTAGTTGCCCCACAGATACTAAGAGGGGACACAGTGCTCTTTTGGTTGCCTCCAGCTCTGATGTTTTGTAGTTCTAACGAGGAGTCCTTATTTGGAAATGGAACTTTGGAATGGTTTGGATCTCATTCTGGCCATAGAGAGGGCATCATTGCAACTGTGGCTTCAGGGCCAATGTGCGGTTAGGGGGGCTGAGTCAGAACAGCCCCCTCTTCCTCAATAGTGCCATCCTGTGAGTATAACCCCTGTATGGGTGTTGGACACAGTGTTGGGGAAGACTGTGCAACAGGGGTAAGTAGGAAAGGCCCTGTGGTAGGGGGTTAGCTGGGTATCCATGGAAATGCCTGAACTACTCATGCCTTTTGCACAAGTAGGTCTTCAAATAATCTCTTCTGCTTCCCTCTTTCCCACTCTTTCCCTGTCTAAGGTGTGTGGTGGTGGTGGTGGTGGTGGTGGTGTGTGTGTGTGTGTGTGTGTGTGTGTCTAACCTGATTGGGAGAGTAAGCCAAATGGAGTGAAGTGGAGAAACATCCCCAAAAGTCCCAGGTAGAGACCTAAGGATTCCTAAATCACAGTGCAGAACAGGGTCCTCTACCCTTTTCCCATTCTGGGAACATCCTGAAGCCAGTCATTGTGGGAGAGAGACATGATCCCCAACCCAGCCTCACAGACCCCACCCTTCTTCCACGCTTTGCCCTACCCTCCTTTCTTGTGCTTGTATCCTAACCTTAAGCCCTAGAGACTTCTAGGTACCCAGAGAGCAGCCTATTCAGTGATGTTTACTGAGCGCATGTTATGTGCCTTGCACTGGGCCTGGAGCAAGGGCTAAGGAGTGAAATTAGACCTGATCCCTGTCCTGAAGATGTCACAGCTGAGTAGGCAGAAAGACTTTAAACAGATAATGGCAACACGATGTGCTAAGGAACATCAATGTACAAGATAACAGGTAGTCTGTATTTATGGGAGAGGGAGGCATAAAAGAAGATGCTTCAGCTGCTTTCTAAACATGTTTGTCGTGGAACATTGAAAACATATGAAAACAGAGCAGTATAGTGTCCTCATCATGCAACTGCAACAATGGTCACACCAGGATCTTGGCGTGTCTATACTCCCACCCACGTTCCATACCCCACTGCACCATTACTTGGGGTGGAACTGGGTTGGTTTTGAAAGAGGAACAGCAATTCCCCAAGTAGAAAGTGCTGGAGGGAAAAGTTTGCAGGCAGAGGGGATGCTGTGCTCAGAAGCTTGAGCAGTGCCTGATGCTGGTACATCAAACCGAAGCTGAAGGAGTGGGACAAGATGCTTTGGCCCCCGTGCATTCTGGCCCTAATGCATCTGTCACACAGCATGCCCTGTGGCTCCTTTTGGAACTCGGGTCTTCAGGCAAGTCTTCGGAAGAGCCAGGTTAGCGCAGAGCCAGCCCTTTGAGTGCAGGGAGTGAGGAGGCACCGCTAAGACGGCGGGCCTTGGCTGGGCGTCCGCGGGGCTTTGGTGGGCCTAGAGCGCTAGGGACTGGCACGCACCAGCACTGAGGGGCAAAGCGGGCGCAGTCAGGCCCTCCACCCCGCGTCGGCACGCGGTCTTAAATATTACCCCGGAGTTTTCAATTATCTCTCCTTAATGGATTTGCAGGGGCTCTTTCATCAAGCGCGGGGTGGCTGGATGTGGGGGTGCGGGGAGCGCGCGGCGAGGGCTGGAGCTGGGAAAATGGCCCATATTTCAATATTAAAGCCCTTTACGATCGTCAGCAGCATGAAAGATGCTGCAAATTAAACGGAGCCGCCCGCGCCAGCCTCTCCATCTCGCAAGTTTTAATTAACGCTGAGGGGGAGGCGGCTGACGGGCGGGTCGGAGCCGGGCCAGCGGCGGATCTGGGAGCCTGCGGATCCCAGATTCCGAACTGGAGCGTCAGGGATCTCGCGGGCCAGGCCAGGCGGAGGCGGAGGGTGGTGGGCTCCGAGTCCCGGGCGAGGGCGCGGAAGATGCCCGTGGAGATGGGCAAGGCTGAGGGGTGGGGGACAGGTTGGAAGGTCTCTGAGCATCTGACCGGGAAACAAAACTCTGCAACTGAATGCAGGAAGCTTTGTTCTTAAAGGTGAGGGGGCTTGTGGCCAAATCATCGAGCTCTTCATCCCCAGGCTCCTTCAGCGCGCGTCCTTCTGCCTCTCTTCTTTCGACCAGCACTTCCCCCAAACGCTCCCCCGCGTTGATTCCCGGTCCCCTCCCACCTCATCCTGTGGCTCCTTGTTTCGGGACGCAGTTGTGCTTCTGTGACCCCGCGGCTCCTGTTCTGGGACGTCTGCTTTCTCCATCACTCCCTGGCTTCCCGGGCGGGCCCCATCCTCCTGAGCGGAGGGGAGCAGCGCGCACAGAAGCGCCACTGTTCTGCCTTGGCAGGGCCTGGCCCGACAGCTTGTGCCTGCGCAGCAGACCCATCCGTCAGGCGGGAAGGATGGAGCGACGTCCGGCTGCCCGCTCTGAGGACTCCCCAAGGGAGACACATCTGGCCTTGGCCCAGACTCCTCTCTTCCCTTCTCCCAACCCGCCAACCCTTCCCCCAACTACCAGCTCAGTATATACTTCTGTCTCTCCTGCTTTCCTTGCTTCTCCTCCTCCCTCCCATACACATGCAGCCTGGGGCCTGGGGCCCAGGAGAGCTACTCCTCTCATGGGTCACACTGAGAAGTCCTTCCTCCACCTGCATCCACATGGCAGGGCATAACTCTAAAGCTTAAAAAGATCCAGCGATCTCAGTGGACCACAATCCAAAGCTAAGTCAGCCAATCAACACTCAAGGGCTTAAATCAAGGACTTTGGGCAAACCCTATAGAGTGGAGGAATTAGAAAAATAATACAAATAAAAGACATGGTCATTATTCCTGGGTATTTACAGATACTTCTTTGTGCTTCCTGAAATGTTTTGCAGAAATCACATTCTCCTCTCATTGTGCTACACAGCTTGTAAGCACCAAGACAAGAAATTCTATGATAAAGCAAAAAGAAAAGAAAAGAAAAAAATCCTCTTCTACTTTCTTCTTGGTGTGTATTTTTTCTTGTCAATTTCTGATAATCTATCAAGCCTACTTAAAATAGTGCCTGCTTATGCAGTATGGTTAGGATGATGAACACACTTAAACAGGATAGGGAATAAGTACAAACTACAAGTGCTGTGGGGATGCAGAGTAATAGGACAAGTGGTGAAAATTAAAACATTTTTGGCTTAATCAAGGAGTACTTCCTGGAAGAGGGGAGACCTGATTTGGAAGGAGAGGTGATATAAACTTGAAAAGAAAGTTCCAGATGTGGAAACACTGGTTTTATTCTTTATTTTTATTTTGAGACAGGATCGTACTCTGTCATCCAAGTTGGAGTGCAGTGGCACGATCTTGGCTCACTGCAACCTCCACTTCCCGGGATCAAATGATCCTCTGCCTCAGCCTCCTGAGTAGCTGGGACTACAGGTGTGTGCCACCACACCCAGCTAATTTTTTTGCTTTTTTTGTAGAGATGGAGTTTTGCCATATTGCTCCAGCTGGTCTTGAACTCCTGGACTCAGGCGATTCCCCTGCTGCCTTGGCCTTCTAAAATGCTGGGATTATAGGCATGAGCCACCACACCTGGCTAACACCGGTTCTAAAATTAGGCAGAATCTATATTTTACTTCAGGTTGAGGAGCAGATAATCTTGGCTATATTTTCCCTGACAATACAGTAAGATGAAAGAAGCCTTGTGCAATAGCAGGAAGAATTCAGGGTAGACAGTGGGATCTTGGCTAATGCTGGAGACTAAAGTGAATGGAGAGAGACCCTGAAGCACCCTTCTCCCATACTTGGCTATGGGCTATGGGAGGGATGCCTGGACTCTGAGACTTGGCCACCATGTTTTGTTTTGCCATTAGAAGATTTGGACATGAAGTTGAATAAGGCAGGAACGACCTCACAGCATCAACCACAACCCCCAATGTGGCTGGAGAAGGAGGGAGAGAGGGCAAAGAATATCTTCCTCTTACTCAGATTGTAAGTGGAGAAACTGAAGTCCATTCACTCAAATCCATAAGTGTCTACTGAGCACCTCCTATGTGGCAAGCACTATATAGGCCCTAAGGATCCAGAGATGATCAGGGCATGGTCCCTGTCAACATGGTGCTCACAGTCTAGTGGGAAATAGAGTTCACTCGTCATTCTATCATTCAATCAAAAACAAAAAGTATTGAGCACTTACTCTGAGCCAGGCAGAGTTGCAGGTGCTGGAGATGCAACTGTGAACAAGACAGACCCAATCCCTGCCCCATCAGAGAGTACTACCTGGTGCAGAAGACACATACATAAACAGGCAGCTATAATTCAGGGTGATGTATGCTATGAAGGGGAAAGGACAGTTGCCATGGGGTGGCATATCCATAGATATGCCATAGATCCATAGGTTCCCATGAGGGGATCTATCCGAGTCTGTGAAAGGGGATGTGAGGATGATGTGGAAGAAGCAACACCAAATCTGATCTGCTCACAAGGTGCGCAGAAGTCAAGTGTGGGATGGCATGGGGAGGGTGTCCTGGGCCGAGAGTTTGTGTTCCTTTTCAGCATCTTACTAGGAGCTTGTGGCCAAATCAGGCCCAGGCAGAGCTTCTTCCCTCTAGTCACAGGATAGCACTGGCCTGCACCAACACAGCTCTTCCAACACCAGCAGGGGAAACCAGATGATAATCCTAACAGAGCCAGACCAAGGAATGAGGTTATCAGTTTTCCTTTTTCTGCTGGGAAGTTTCTGCCTTGGGGCTAGGCTATGTAGGGGGAGGCTGGGAGGTGGGAGGGCACTGTGGAGGATCTTACTCGTTCCACCCTCCTCTCACTGATCCTAGTTTTGAACAAGAAACAGGTGATCTGTTTCTCTAGTTGCAGCTGAATAGAAACCAGGACAAGAAAGTGTTGTCCTCCCCAGACACGTTTCTGTCTCCTGGGTCCTAACCAGCTGCCTACTTGAGCCATCTGACTTCAATCCACAGGGCCTCCCAGGAGCTGAATCCAGAAGGGCAAGAACAAAGTAGCAAAGCAGGAAAGGGCATTCAGAAGAGAACAGCATGGGCAAAGGTCCCAAGGCCAGAGGACTTGGAAACTGCAAGTCCCTCAGTGTAGAGATGAGTCTGTAGAGGAGGTTGACACAAGCTTGTGAAAGACCCAGTATGCCAGGCTAAGGGGGTGGGAACAGTGAGGGACACTGAGGGTTTTATGGCTTAAATTTTGACAAGTGTATCTACATATAGACAACTAATGTAACACTCATTTTTTTTTTTTTTTTTTTTTTTTTTTAGAGATGGAGTCTCACTCTGTCGCCCAGGCTAGAGTGCAGTGGTGAGATCTTGGCTCACTGCAACCTGCGCTTCCTGGGTTCAAGTGATTCTCCTGCCTTAGCCTCCTGAGTGGCTGGGACTACAGACTGATCCCACCACAGCTGGCTAATTTTTTGTATTTTTGGTGGAGACAGGGCTTCGCCATGTTGGCCAGGCCGGTCTCGAACTCCTGAGCTCAAGTGATCCACCTGCCTCAGCCTCCCAAAGTGCTGGGATTACAGGCAACACTTTTTTTATTTTCTTTTTTGAGACAGAGTCTTGCTTTATCATCCAGGTTAGAGTGAAGTGGCTCAGTCATAGCTCACTGCAGCCTTGACCTCCCGTACTCAAGCAATCCTTCTTCCTCAGCCTCCTGAGTTGCTGTCAATTTTTTTTTTTTTTTGAAGAGACAGGGTCTCACTATGCGGCCTAGGCTAGTCTCAAACTTCAAGAGACCAAGGTGGGAGGATGGCTGG
The DNA here is from genome assembly GCF_000001405.40 of Homo sapiens. Classification (NCBI taxonomy): domain Eukaryota; kingdom Metazoa; phylum Chordata; class Mammalia; order Primates; family Hominidae; genus Homo; species Homo sapiens. Next base: position 41,676,104 of record NC_000009.12, on the reverse strand, counting down.
GCTCAAGAGATCCTCCTGCCTTGGCTTCTCAAAGTGCTGGGATTGTAGGCATGAGTCACTGCCTGTCCATATAAAGTAACACTCTTGAACTCACTATCCAGACTTGAGGTTTTGTTAAGTTACTGTTAAAATTTTGTCAATTTTGCTCTTGAGTTTTCAAAATAAACAGGTCATTACAGATAAAGTTGAAGTTCCCTTTGTCCCTTCCCCAGTACCATTCCCCTCCCTTTCAGAAGCACCACCATCATATATTTTTTCTATTTTTATCATAGATATATATCCATGGATAACATTATAAGGCTTCAGTGCATTTTAAAAAGAGGTCCAATGGTTATGATATAATTTATAACTTTAGTTTTCCATCGCACATTTTTAAAAAAGTCTTTATTTGAGGTTTTCGGCAAAGTGCTGACAAGGGTAAAACTAGCGTTAGAAGATCATGCTGGTTACCAAGTGGAGTATTCCAGGTGACAGAGGAGGACCAAGGATGGTGACAGTGGGAAGGAGGAGACAGAGGTAAAAGGAGACTCCACACCACAGGTCACTGGTGATCGCCCTGTGAGGGCAGGGTTGTTTTATACATGCTGTTCTTCAGCACCATGAACAGGGCCTGGCTGTTGGAGATGCCCAGTAAATATCTGTTGACAGAGAAAGGTTGACAGGGGCAGATGGATCCAGGATGACTCCCAAATTCCTAACCCAGTGCAAAAGCCTGGATGATGATCCCAGTCTCCATTATGAGGGCCCCAGGAGGAGAAGCTGGATTGCAGGGAAAGATGAATCCAGAAGCCATCTCTCTGATCTAGAGGAAACGAGGCTGTGCTGTGTGGAAGGGATTAATGTTAGGAAGCAGACCAGACTTCCATTCTTAGGACAGAAAAAAATCTTGTAGCGGGTAGTTCAAGGCTATAAAAGATCTGAAGGGACCCAGAGATGGTAAGAGTGGAAAGGTTCAGTCCTGCTGGGGGCAAAGGGATAGTTGAAAAACAAGCCAAAAACAATAATCACTTTCCTCAGAAGGCCAGGAGGGCAGGGCCCAGCTTCTCCATCAGCCACAGTGAGTGTCTTATAGCCCTCTGTGCGGTGGGTACCCACAGCCCATTAGCCAAGGCAGAGGAGGAGGAGGAAGGTATAGTAAGTGCATCTAGGATCATAAAGACCTTGTCAGATGCCCACACTCAACTTTGCTCCCACTCCATATTCATCAACAAGATGGAAAAGTGGGGTGCTCACAACTGCTTCTTAGGACTTATTCTTGACCAAATTCAATTTCTCTGTTCAGGGAAGGATGTGAAATATAACCTGCTTTCCAACTCTTAAGACCTAGAGCTCTGGCTCTTCACCTCAAAAAGCTACCTTCTGCAAGAGCTCCCTCAAAGTCACTGCCACCCCCACTTCCTCACCCCACCACCCCTGCCCCAGGCACAGCCACCACCCACCCTCTGCTGCTAATTCACCTATAAATGGTCTCCTGCCTTGAGTCTCCACTCAGTTTTGTTCTTTCTCTAACAGGTTCCACTCCCCTGAAAGCCCACCCGATCCTTCCTGTTACCCTAGCGCTGACTTCCTAAATGAAGTGCGGTGGCTTACAGTTCTGTCCTTCTCTGTTTTTGTCACTCTTTCCACTCACAATTCTTTGGGTCCTGGCTATGGTTAAGTGGCATTTCTCTACTTCATCCCTGGGTGCAGGGACAGAAATGCTTTTACCATCCCCAGTGCCCCTCTCTGGGGGTAGCAGAGAAGTCACTTTAGTTTTGTTTGGTCTGGTGGAGTAAGGCACGCCCTTCTTTCAGAGAGGGAGCTGTCATGGATCTAAGCCAGTCCCTGTCCTAGGAGTACTTGCAATTTAGACTTGCTCTTTAGTCAAGGAATTTTAAATATTGTAAAGCAATGCCGTAGCTGGAGGGGGAGAATCTTGGAATCCCCTTTCCATGAGTCTGCTATTTGAAGGTGTGGTGGGATCCCTTGGAAGTGTGGGCCCCTTGTACTCTGGATCTAATCCTTAGAGTCACCAAAGGGCCAACATAATGATTCTCAAACCAATCTGTGATCGGTCCCCTCATACCTTGAACTTGGGCAGGCTGCTAATTTTTATCAGAGCAATACACCCTGTAGATACCACCTCCCTGAACTCTAAACTGAGCAGAGCTCTAAACCATCAAAGAATCAGGCTATATAGACTTCCACCTTAAATGGGTGTAGATTCAACATGATTCCGAAAGTCACATGACTTGCCTCGCTAACCAGGGTTCTTCCTCAGTGGGGAAACTACTTGGGCCATTTTTCCTTCTCCTTTTCACCTACCTGAATTATTACATTTATTTATAATTAACATATATTGCATGTAATATTAAAAAAAATAAAACTTAGAAAGACTTGGTGGTGGGTGCTGCTGAATTAGGTATCAGAGCCCCAGTTAGGTGGGTGTCCTGTGGAGTTTCTGATGAATCAAAAGCCGTTGTTGGGCACTTTAAAAACATGGACGCCTTGAGCCCTGGGCAGCCCCAAGGCTGTGACTACCGAGGGCACCCACAGAGGATTAGAACTGGGGCACTGGAATGAGAGGACCATCAGAAGCAAGGCCTGGATGCTCAAATTCCCACCACAGTCATAAAACTTAAGAGCATCTAAGTCGCAAGCAGCTTTTAGTTTCTTTCTTAAGAATCCAACTAATCTTGTGTTCCGCCTTGTAGCCTTCTATAAAGTGTGACCATTCACTTGGTTGATGATTAATGATTCAGCTAGTAATTATTAAACAGAAAGGAACCAGAAATAAGAATCACAAATTTACACAAAACATTTTGTGTTCTTAATGCTAAACTTGAAGGTAAAACACTAGGAAGGTAGAAAACACACTGTTGCTATTTGTTTTGTTCTTTTAAAGAATGAAGAAGTCAGATTTCCTGGTCCTTGTGTAGGCTCTCTTCCTGACAGGGTTTCTCAAACTTTTCTGCCAAAGTCCCTTTGTTATTAGAGGCAGGAGGGTAAACTTGGACCCCAGCAGTCTGGGGGATTGCCCTGAAGGGCCATTAGCAAGGACCAATTATTTCTTTTTTTTTTTAAAAAAAGACATGTTTAATTAAATAATAGGTTACTTCATCTTCATTATTTGCATTATATAAAAATAGGATTTTTTATTAATAAGAAAATAGCAGATTCTTTTGTGGCCTTAAGTTTTAGCTCTAAAATGATGCAAAGTTTGCATTTTATAACGTAGTATATTTTATACAACTTAATATAAAAATGATGTTTTAAACCATCTGCCATCAAAAAACCTCTGTGGCCCTCAGAGAGGCTTCTTATATATCCGGGGAAACCCTCAGCGAGCAGCTACTGCAGTGTGGCCTGGGGAACTTGCACCCAGGTGAGAGGTGCTACGGGGTGTGGTGGTTTGTTAAACTAGCTGCCACTGTCCCAGGTTGTATCTTTAATGACTACCATTTAGTGAGCACTACTATGTGCCAGACTCTACGCCAAATGCTTTTATATGCTTACGCCATTTAAATTCTCACAACCACCTGCCTAAGGCCACACAGCTGTAAGGTGGCAGAGTGGGGATTCAAACACCTGTCTGCTTGGTTTCAAAGCCAACTGTGACCCCCTGCTGACTCTTAGAGGCCAAGGCTGAAGCCCCTGGCTGAGTGAGTGGTGGTGACCTGGGGAAAGGACTGTTGTGGTGCATCTGGAAAGAGTGTCGGGGGTGTTCCGAAGGTAGTGCCTTATCTCAATTGATTGTTCACAGTCAGTTACAGATCAAACTCCTTGTTCTGCTCCTTCCACCTTCTCACTACTGCACTTGACCAGTCTTTAAAAAAAAATACATACAATGCAGGTCTAATACGAGAAGGGTCAGAAAAGCTAGGCTTAGGTCTAGCTCTGCCTTTGACTAGCTATAGGTTCTTTAGGGAGGCCCTCAGCCCCGTCTATAAATGGGACTATAAAGGTCTGTGAAAGGGGCAATGGAAAAAAGATGAATGTTGAGCCACATCTCAGGCTCCTTTCTTGCTCCACTGCTTATCAGCTGTGTCATCTTAGGCACATCACTACGACTCTAAGCCTGTTTCCTCACTTCTAAAATGTGAAGAACAATACCCACCTCACAGGGCTGCTGTGGGGATGAAAAATAATACACATGAAACACCTGGAACAGAGTTTACATATAGTAGTTGCACAATAAATGCTTCCCAATAGTAGTTATCCTTGTAATAGTGGTATTAGCGATACTACTAAAGTATTATTATATAAAGTAGTATTAGCGATGCTACTAAAGTATTCATATTTTAAAACTGTGATTATTAAAGTGAGAAAAATGTATGAAAGGAATACTACAAATTAAGGTAATCCACTAAAAATAAGGAGCTGGAGGCTAGGCATGGTGGCCCACACCTGTAATCCCAGCACTTTGGGAGGCCAAGGTGGGTGGATTACCTGAGGTCAGGAGTTCGAGACCAGCCTGACCAACATGGAGCAACCCCGTCTCTACTAAAAACACAAAAAATTAGCCAGGTGTGGTGGCGGGCACCTATAGTCCCAGCTACTCGGCAGGCTGAGGCAGGAGAATGGCATGAACCTGGGAGGCAGAGCTTGCAGAGAGTGGAGATTTTGTCACTGCACTCCAGCCTGGGCGACAGAGCGAGGCTCCATCTAAAAAAAAAAAAAAAAAAAAAAGAGGAGCTGGAGGAGGCCCACCTTAATGTATGCCAAAATAGTTCTGCTGGTTGAAGGCCTGGAGTTCCCTGCAATGGGTGGGGAAGGGGATTAGCCTGGGGAAATAATGCCTGGGTCAAGTTAGGGAAGATCCAGGTCCCTCTGCTGAGGGACAGTTTGGAGGACAGAGCCTGACCCTCCATGAAGAGAGACTCTCAAGGTCTCTTTTAGCTTTAACATTGGCTAAGTGTGATTCTATGACTCAACCAGTCTGCCCTAATTCCTCAGTGTGGGCAGGACATGAAAGACAACCCACCAGTATCTCAGTGAGTTTGTGTGGCGCCCACCTTGGCAGTCACACACAGACACTTCCCAGAGTCTCAGTGATGACGATTCTCTCTAAGGGGAACCCAAGCCTTAACCAAAGACCACCTCTCCATCTTCCTGCTGGGGCCTTGCAGGTCAGCCTAGAGGGAGTTTTCCAGAGCAGGTGGCTTCCTGAGTGGCCAAGATCATGTGAGCAGGATAAGTTCTCTTCTCGCTGGGCCTTTCCTCCCTAAGCTGGTGTCCCAGGCACCTCTCTCTGTTTGGAAATCAGATTCTTTATGGTTTATTTTTGACACCAGATAATCGCTGCCCAAGTTTCATCAATTTGTCACTGTTTTTATTGTCAGCAATTGCCCATAACTGGAGCACGTTTAAAATGTCATTGATCTTGGTATTACAGTGTCATAATCTGACAGTAATATGTGTAGCCAGCACAGGAAGCCCAGGCTCTGAGATTGATGGGGCACAGCACACCAATTATATTCTGTCCATCTAAGTGATAAAAGAGTACGTAGGAGGCCTTCAATAGATAAATTAGATATCACTCCCAATTATGTCCTTTATTTTATGGAGTCATATGCTCCCCTTAGAACTTTTTTTCTTCATTTGGCTTGTAAAGGGGAATTACTTGACCCCCCTAAAGACTGGGACTGCCTCCCCTGCCTGTCCCAACTTGGGTTCTACCCTGATCCCTTCCGACAGGCTCATAGTCTTTCACCTGGGCTTTCTCTGGGACTCACCTAGGAGTTCCCCAGTGTGGTAGGTCCACAGGTGTAAAGGGAAGGAGGCAGAGGTGCTTCACCATTTGGGAAGGAGTTGGGTCAGGCCTTTGGGAAGGACTAGGAAGTCTGACAATGCCTTTAATGTGACACTGCCCAAATAAATGAGACCGGGAGAGGGGCTGGAAAATGGGTAAAAATCCTCCAGTCCAGACAACAGAGCCTTCAAATTAGGACAACTAGTAATTGGCTATGGCTGGGGAGGAAGAGGATGGTAAAAAGGTTTTCAGTCCTTAAGAAGTGAATTCATCCATCCCTCTACCTCCACTCCAGACTGGGTGGGGCCAATTCAAGCCCTTCCTCGGAAGAACTCCCAGAATCTTCTACATCCCCATTCTGATCCATATCAGATGACTTCCTCAGCTCAAGTCCTAGCTATGTCACTGTGGTAGGGACATAATACCAGCTTTCCTGGGGGAGGCAGAGGGCTCCTGTTTGAGAAAAAGCCCCAAGAATGGTTCATTTCCAAGAAGAGAGCTCACCTGAGGCAGGGAAGTGCCTGGCCAAGGAATAGAGGTACAGTGAAGGCATAACTTTATTGGAGGCCTGGCTTATAAGCATCATAAACTCTGAGGACAGCCTTGACCTGGTCCAGACCCCTGTTTCCCCATCCCCCAAAGCCAGCAGGAAACATGGCAGAGGCCGAGACACCAAGTAGTAAACAGTGATCTAGGTCCATTGATCGAGCTTTCAAAGAGAAAGTGTCCATGGGTTGGGCTGCTCTCCATTGCCCTGTTGCCATCTCAATGTTATAAATAATTCTGGCACTAAGTGCCCTGTCACACCGAGTGGAAGTAGTTCTTATAGAGTGAAACCTGAGAATATGGGTCATGGGAGGAGGGGTGACTGGGGGCAGGGGTAGAGATGGGGAGCGATCACCCCAAGGCTCCTCAACTATACCTCTAGGCTGGTGATAGATGAATTTCTGGAGCAGAGGATGGCATTTCAAATGAAATGGTTATAGGAAATGAGTGTGATTTAAACAACGTCTTGGCTGATAAGCACCAGCCAGCTGGGGGGAGATGGCAGGCTAGAAGTGGAGGAATCAAAAGCCCAGAGGCCCCCAGTGTTAAGTAGCTGTCTGAAGCTCCGCTCAAACACACACACCAGCTTTGGTCTCAACATGTTTTTAAGAGCTGGTTATGATTTCCTTGAGGGCGGCTCAGATTAAGACTAGAGTGGAGCCCCCAGCTAAGCACCTTCAATAACTGTCCATCACATCCTCTTTAGAAACAGCAGCCTCTTCCCCTTGGCTCAGGGACCCTGTAATTGGGGAGGGCTGTGAAGCTGCGTGGCTTGTCAGCCTGTTCCCAAGCAGCACGGGGCCTGTCTCTCCTTTGCCTGGGGTCCTGCCCTGGATCCCAGGAACAGAGATTGAGCCCCACCCACAGAGAGCTCTCAGTCTTCAAGAAGAGAGAAAACATACAACCTAGAAAAGAAGAGAGGAAGCAAAGAGAGCAAAAGGATGGAAGCCAAGGAAGAGGAAACTGTCACCAAATCCAGAATTTGGGCCTTTCTCACCACATGCACTGCTGCCATCCTGGTCCAAGCCACACATTTCTCACTTGGATTAGTGCAATGACCTTTCAACAAGTCTCCCTGCATCTTCCCTTGGCCCCCTGTGATCTATTCTCAACACAAAAGACAAAAAGACTATTTAAAAACTGAAGTCCAGGCCAGGTGCAGTGGCTCACGACTGTAATCCCAGCACTTTGGGAGGCCAAGGTGGGTGGATCACGAGGTCAGGAGTTCAAGACCAGCCTGGCCAAGATGGTGAAACCCCGTCTCTACTAAAACTACAAAAATTAGCTGGGCATGGTGGCAGGTGCCTGTAATCCCAGCTACTTGGGAGGCTGAGGCATAAGAATCACTTGAACCTGGGTGGCAGAAGTTGTAGTGAGTGAAGATTGTGCCACTGCACTCTAGCTTGGGTGACAGAGTGAGACTGTCTCTCAAAACAAAACAAGACCCTGAAGTCCAATCATGTCTTTCCTCTCTACTTCACTCAGAATAAAAAGCAAAGTCCTTAAGTTGACTTACGAGGCCGAACATCATCTGTTCCCTCCTTACCTCTCTGATGCCATCTCCTCCCACTCTTGCTCACTCCCACAGACTTGCCAGGCATGTTCCTGCCTCAGGGCCTTAGCACCAGCCACTCCCTCTACTTGGAATACTCTTGCCAAGATGTCTATGGGGCTAACTTCCTCTCTCACCTCTAAGTCTTTGTTCAAATACCATATTCGCAGTGAGCTCTCCTTGACAACCATATTAAAAACCTCAGATTTCCCCTCCATGCTGATCCTTCTGTACGTGATCTATTCCTTTTCTGTAACAATTATCATTTTCTAATATATGATATAATTTACTTATTTAGTAAGAATATTGTTCATTATCTGTCTTTCTCTGCTAGAATGTAAACTCCACACAGGTGGGGGGTCTTTCTCTGTTTTGATCACCAATGTATTCTAAGAACTTGGAATAGTACTCAATAATAATTGCTTAGTGAGTAAATGCAAAGGATGAGGTTCACCAGGGGAGGGTTTGGAGAAGAGAACAGAGGGGAGGCCATCCCAGGCTTGGGATGAACTTGTGCCTTATCTCACAACAGGCCATGTGTGAGGATCTGAGAGTCCGAGTGTTGGGCACAAGTTCAAGAGTCGGGCTAGGGCATCACCCAAAATGGAGAGATTCAGTTATCAAAGAGACTAGGCTGGATTTACCTCTGGAATCTGGTGGAGGACTTGGCTTTAGGTTGGGATTTTACCATCATCATGACCAAAGAATACTTGGGGATAATAATGCCAAAGGGATGTGCAGGGCAAGAATGAGGTGGTTGGGAATGGAGGCAGACTGGGAATTCAGGTGGGGGAGGGTAGCTGAAAGAACAGGCATGTGTCTTCTAAGTCTGGAAAAAAGATTGAGGTGGAATTAGAGGGCCTGAAGGAAAATTGTGTATGCAAGTGGGAGGAAGAGCCTGGGTCACTGGAAGCTATCATCTCCAAGAGCATGTTCCATCTCCACTGAGGGCAGAATCAAAAGCCATGGGCTGCACCTAAAGTCGAAGGAACTAGAGTGAGACATCAAGAAAGGCCTCCCAACAATGTGACAGGTGGTGGAGGGGAAGCACTGGGCCTTTTTCTCTGGAAAACTTGAGCAGGACCTAACTGGGTGCATACCTGAGCCAGGCTAACCCAGAGGGCACTGTGAGGCTCTGGGGTGGGAGTGTGGTACTAGAGCCCTGGAGAGGGTTCCTGCCTCTGCCTGGCTCCCAACTCCATCCTCTCACCTGCGAGGCTTCTGAGCTTCTAAGCACGCAGAAATGTCCTCTCTCCTGACCTCAAGTTTCTGCATCTTTTCAGAGTGGAAACTGAGAGTATTTAGTATTCCAAGGCCCCACCAGTCCAGGGGCCAAAACATGTTTACCACATCTCCTCAGAATATCAGTGCTCAACTCGGTTTTATGGTGGCCTCAGGGTACGAGCCAGGAGAAGCAGAAAATACCTTTGGAGGTTATACAATTCAGTGGTTACTGCAGTTCTAACGGAGTGAGGACATGGGTGGCCTGGGAGTTCTGAGGTTCCGGGGAGACTTACTTGTCACTGTATAACTTTTGGTGCCTTTTGAGTTTTGAACCATGTACGTGTATTTCTTATTCAAAAAACATAAAACAATTAAAATCAGATGAAAGCAACAACAATAATAACAACAAAGAATAGGTCTAGGGAAGTGGGAACTTGATGCCTCCAATTGCTACCCTGAAGGCAATGACCTGCCTCCTCTTGCCCATGTGTACCCTCCTCCACGTCTGGCATCTCCATTCTCTAGAGGCTCAGAGAGGGGTGTGGAAGGCCTGATGTCACCCAGCATTTAAGACTAGCAAAATTCTGGGGCTTAGCTGTCCAGACTCTCAGTGTTGTCTTTCTTTTCTGATCCTCAATGACCCCGTCTACTCATTGACCTCTCCATGTTTTTGGCAGAACTTTGCATATGCTACAAATCAACCTTCAATGGGTCGTTTTTAAAACTGTGTGGTCTTAAATGCCACCTTTCCCAGGAAGTAATCTCTTTTCACAAAGAGAAAGAGATGACAGCTCTCCTCTCCCCCAGTGTGGTGTCTGATGGTTCATTCCCTCCCTTCCTGCCTCCCTCCTCCCTACCACCCTCTACCACTAAAGTGGCTCTCCACTGAAACTTGGCCCTGTCTCTGATGAGATATGTGACCTTGAGCAAGTCATTTAACCTTTCTGTGTGTCTGTTTCTTCATCTGTAATTGAGGATCCTGACCTTCCTCCCATGGCTCTTCACTTATGCATTTGTACAGCAAGCATGTATTCTGTGCCTGGTGCTGAACCTGGCACTGTGGATCACACAAGACAATGTATGTGAAGTTAATACAGAGACAGAAAGTTACTGCCAAGGCCTCCTTCCTTGGATGCTGTTCTGGGCTGGGTGCTCCAACCCCCTCATCTGGCATGCCCTTGGAGGAACTGCTTCACAGTCTACTCCAAACCTCTCAACTTCTAGCATTGCTCCTGGGCTGAAGCCGATATCCTGCTCTGCATGAAGGGTCAGGGGGTGCAGAAATAGCCTATTTCCCAGGCTTTTTCATTTGGTTAGATCCTTAGGTACCACTTTGCCTACAAGAAGGAATAATGCTGAAATCTGTCTGCTGGTCTTTAGTCTGGAATTTTCAGTGTCCACCTCTCTTGCCCTCTGTGGGCCTTTCCCTGGGACTTGGGCTGGAACAAGGGGTAGGAAATGGATTCTATCCATGTCCTCACTCTGCTCATTTCTCTCCTTTCCTGAATCCCACGCATCCATGGAGATTGGTACAGTGGCTAAGATTCTGGGATTGGAAACTCACATTTGTCTCCCTCCAAATGTAAGCTGGGCTGTGGAGGAAAGATGGTCCCTTCTTTAAAATGAACACCACCATCTCAGAGTATACAGGAGCTTGCTTCAGGCAGAGGAGGCAGAGCTGCCTTCCAGAGCTCTTGGCAGGAAGCTGTCCCCACTCCCTGCCTGACCACCGAGGATTGGGTGAGCATCACTGGGAGGGAGCGGTGTTTATAGAAAAAACGTGCTGCTTCAGCCCTGGTCATTGCTGATGGACCATGGCAGCAAGGAAGGTCAAGTCCAGACTAAGGAGGTACTTCTCATTATCAGGGACTGGGTTTAAGGTGAGAGGTTGGTTGGAACTACTCAGACATGGTCTTCCCAGAGCAAGGAGGAAGGATGAGATGATCTGGGAGTTGTGAAGGACTCAGGGGTTCCATGATGTTGCAGAGCTGGCAGTGACTGGGAGGATGCCAGGGAGATGTCAGTTCACCCATGTCTAGAGCAGAAACCCCATGGTCAGAGACCAGGTATCTGGAACCCCAACATTCCCAGCATAATGCCTCGCACAAGGCTAACTGGAGACTGAGGAAGACAAGTCCTTCCCTGGAAGATGGTGCCAACACTGTGCTCACAGAAGGACAGCTACTTTAAAGCCCCAGCAGGAAAATGATCCCACACTGTGGGACCTGGAAGTACTTCTTCATGTCCAGCCTCAATCCTCCTTACCACAGCTCAATTGGATCTCAGTCCAACCTGTGGGATTTGTCCATGCCCAGAGGTGAAACCCAGCAAGGAATATGGACTTTGCTTTTAGGCCTACGCTGTTGGCTGTGGGAGATAGAACAAGTTGGCCAAACTGTCGAGTACCTGTCTCCACACCTGGGGAGTCCCCAGGAAAGTGGAGAGGGAAGATCTTCCAGGGAACGGCCACCCTCCATGAGGAGATAAGCAGAACAGCAGAGGGCAAGGAAGGTTCAGTGGCCAGGAGAGGTGGGGCTCAGGGAGTCCCTCCTGGCTGGGGGTGAGGGAGCTTCCTGGATGCTCAGCCTCTCCAAGCCCCTGAGGAAAGACTGTAGCTTCTGGAGGGCAGGAGCTGATCCTGCATCATCTCGGCAGACCAGTGCCCAGCACACAGCAGATGCTCAAAACACATGGGTTGAATGAATGAGCCTGCGGTCAAGAGCCTGCCCAGCCAGCAGGTGGAGTGGGTCTTTGGAGAAGGGATTCCCCTCTCTGGGCCTCCATTTCTTCATTTGTAGAATGAGGGGCTGCAGTAGATTGTCTCTAAGGTTTTGTCAGCCCCTGACGATCTGTGGTTTCCTGTTTCCCTGCTCTCTCGTCAATTCCTTGCCTATTCTTTTTCCCTCTACAGCTTCTCTTTTCCTTTCCCTTTAAGGCTTTTTCTTCCACTAACCCCCAATCTCTGCACCCCCATTTTCAGTCTCTCCCCTCCCCAGACAATTTCTCTGGCTTTCCCCTTTACAGGTATTTCTTCCTCTCTGCTTCTGATAACTGCCCCCATCACTACCCTTCCCTGATGCCTTCAGTGTTCTGCACCCCCTGCCCCCCAAAAGCCGCCCATTCTAGTGCCCCTTTCATCCACCTTAGATCCCAGAGGCGGGAGATTGGAAGAAAAGGAGGAGGGTCCTAAAGCAGCCACTCCCCTGCCCCTGCAATGGCCCCACCGCGATGTCCCCGTCCCCCCGCCCCGCCCCCCTCCCCGCCACGCCTCTCCCTCAGCAGCCAGTGCCGCACTGAGCCCTCGCCCCACGCTAATGCGATCTGGAGAGACCCGGTCGGTGCCGGCGGCGGGCAGTCTGGCCCAGCGTCCAGGGCGGCTTTGATGGATGGTCCCCTGACAGTAATCGCAGAATGAGGATGCGCAGGTGACGCTCCTGCCCGAGGCCCTGCTGTTTGGCTAGCCCAGGAGTCTCTCCCTCCGCAGCGTCTGCCTTCTGGGCGCTCTCAACTCACTCGGCTTTGCGGGAGGCTCAAAGCCTCAGGTTAGGGCAGAGGTGCGGGCTTCCTCTGCTCTCTCTCTCCCAAGACACTGGTTTCTGTTTGGGAACAGATCCCTTCTTGGATCCACGCTGCTTCTGTGATTCTGAACAAGCCACCGATCTCCTGGAGTCTCAGTTCTCCCTTCTGTATAATGGCCTTTAAAGCCTGGTGGAGTGTTGGGGGCACGGGAGATAATACTGAGGAAAATCACGCTCTCTCTTAAGTAGAAACCGAATTTCACTTTTAGTTTACAATGCTCAGAATAATCTGGGCCAAATGTGCGAAGCCAAGTAAGAGCTGAGTGGCTACTCACACACAGAATATATGTTTATACACATACACATAATGTTTTTAGCATACCAGGACTGCTTAGACGTCTTTAAAGAGAACGCTAGCCCAGGTACTTCTCCAGGGAGGCGACTGTCTCCAGCAGGACTTTTTCTCCCCTCTACTGAGGCCACCTACCTGTCTTAAGCCCCCAGACCCCATCCCTTCTGGAGTTCCCCTGCAATCCAGAGCCAGGCTGAGGTGGTATGCGGGAAGATCTCCCTTTGAAAAATGTTTCTGGATAATTTCCCAACTCCTTGACCATGTTCTCCCCACCTCACCCACATTCAGATAACACAGGTTCTAAGGCTCCTTCACTCCTCCACCCCTGGGGGATACTCCTTGGGCCTGGCCCTGTGGAGGGGCTGGGAGGTGGGATCCAGAACCAATTGCAATTCTGAACGCACACCCAGCCGCTTCCTCACTCCCTTTTAACCTTTCCCTCTAGTCAGAAGCCAAATTGAGATAGTCTTGAGTTTTGATTTAATTCCTGAAATGGAGTCATAATCTGCTTAGTGTCCTTTCTCCCGAGTCCTAGATACTGAAGTGTGTGTGTCTGTCAGGGGGAGTTAAAAGAGCAGCTCTGTGACCTTTGGAGGACCCTCACACTCACTCACCTCCCAAACACCACCAAAGAGCAGGAGACGCCATGGCACTGAGTTGCTGGGTAGTATGATGATGGTACTGACAACTCACATTTACTAGGCACTTACCACATGCCAGTACTGAGACAGGCACTATACACGCATTTCTCACTTAATTCTCACAACTACCTTTCAGGTAGGTACCATTCATATCCCCAACTTACAGATGAAGAAACTGAGGCTTAGCGAGGTTAAGCAGTTTATGTTCCATCCTGCAGTGATCACAGACGGTCCTCAATTTATGATGCTTTGACTTACAATTTCTCAGCTTTATGATGATGCCGAAGTGATATGCATTCATTAGATACTGTACTTCTAATACTCATACAACCGCTCTGTTTTTCACTTTCAGTACAGTATATTATAACATGTTGAATCTCATGTTGAATACATGAGATGAATAAATATCTCATGTTGAATACATGAGATATTCAACACTTTATTATAAAATAGGCTTTGTGCTAGATGATCTTGCCCAACTGTAGGCTGATGAACGTGTCCTGAGCACTTTAAGGTAAGCGAGGCTGAACTATGATGTTTGGTGGGTTAGGTGTATGAAATGCATATCCACCTTACAATATTTTCAGCTTGCTACAGCTTTATCGGGACACAGCCTCATCGTAAGTCAAGGAGAGTCTATTATTAAGCGGCAGAGCCCAAATTTGAAACTACACAGTCAGACTGCAGAGCCTGTGCTCTTAACCACTTAGTTGTGTGACACCTGGCAGGGTATTTAACTTCTGCATGCCCTGTTCCCTCATTTGCAAAACACAGATAAGTAGGGATGATAAGACATTCCCTTCAAAGAATTATGTTGATTAATTGAGCTAAGGCATTCACCATACTCACAGTAAGCATTCAGTAGTTTAGGTGCCCTACACATTGGAGCAGGGTTGAGGAAGGGAAAGAGTACAATCCAATGGGCTATTAATTATTCATTGTTACTGTTGATAATAATAGTTATCATGCATTGAGAGCCAACTGAGCATAGGCCACCCTACAAGGTAAAAATTATGTCTGTTTTACAGATGAAGAAACTGAGTTTCACATAAATTACGTAAATTACCTAAAGCTATCCAGTTAATAAGTGACAGAACAGAGCTCTTGTTTAAACACTGGGCCCTTGACTCCAAAGCCTGCAGTTCCCAGCACCCCCAGGGTCACCAAAACCTGGCCTCTCCTGGGGGAGGTCAGGGCTGAGGCCAACAAGCCCAAGTCACACCCTTTACCACCTGGGACCTGATTTTCTCCAGGTGAGCAATGTTTTCTTAAAAGAAGAGGAGGACAGTAAATAATTAACCAAGACAGTTTCTCCCTCCCTGAAGCCAAGGTAGAACTTCCCCACTACAGCCAACCCCCACTCTCCTCACTGCTGTTTCCTCTGTGTTCAAGTTTGTGGCCATTAAATAGAAGAGGAGAAAGTTTGAGCCAGGCATGAAATATTTATCAGTTAATTACAATATGCAGATTCTGTTCCTAGGGGTGATTTATCTTTTTGGAAATATAGGAAAAGATCCTGGAAACTTGTATCCTAATCGCTTGGCCTATTATTGTAGCAACCAGGTAGAAACTGCATTTACTATGTAACTACAAATTTTCCAACTACTAGAGGTATCTGCCTCTGCTTCTATCACTGGTGATCTGGGGACCATATGCTTTTCGGATAAGAGATGAGCCTCTTAGAGGTCAATTTGTCAATTCCTCTGTCTCCTCTTGGGGTGGCCCCTTTGTAAATTCTAATAGCTATAGGAAATGAAAAGGGTGAGAGTCTCTGAAATTCTGGGATCTCAAGAGAAGCTAATTCTAAGTGAAAACCTCCCGGACTGAAGCAGTGCCTGTGGTGAGGGGATGTCCAAGGTTGAGAAGCAGCTCTCAGCTGAGTATCCCTCCCCTCTCTTGCTCTGGCAGAAGTGTCAGCCCTCCCCTTATCTCTTGTATCATTTCCTAGGGCCTGCATCTCAACCTCTGGCTACACATTAGCAACCTGGGGAGTTTTAAAAATCCAGATGCCATGGTGTATATGTGCTACATTTTCTTAATCCAGTCTATCATTATTGGACATTTGGGTTGGTTCCAAGTCTTTGCTATTGTGAATAATGCCGCAATAAACATTCGTGTGCATGTGTCTTTATAGCAGCATGATTTATAGTCATTTGGGTATATACCCAGTAATGGGATGGCTGGGTCAAATGGTATTTCTAGTTCTAGATCCCTCATATACACCATGGAATACTATGCAGCCATAAAAAATGATGAGTTCGTGTCCTTTGTAGGGACATGGATGAAATTGGAAATCATCATTCTCAGTAAACTATCGCAAGAACAAAAAACCAAACACCGCATATTCTCACTCATAGGTGGGAACTGAACAATGAGATCACATGGACACAGGAAGGGGAATATCACACTCTGGGGACTGTGGTGGGGTGGGGGGAGGGGGGAGGGATAGCATTGGGAGATATACCTAATGCTAGATGACAAGTTAGTGGGTGCAGCGCACCAGCATGGCACATGTATACATATGTAACTAACCTGCACAATGTGCACATGTACCCTAAAACTTAAAGTATAATAAAAAAAAAAATCCAGATGCCCAGGCCCTACTACAGGCCAACCAAATTGGAATCTCTGGAGGTGGGACCCAGGCATCAGTATTTTAAAAAACTTGTGGCTGGGCATGGTGGCTCACACCTGTAATCCCAGCACGTTGGGAGGCCGAGGCGGGCGGATTACCTGAGGTGAGGAGTTTGACACAAGCCTGGCAAACATGGTGAAACCCCGTCTCTATTAAAAATACAAAAATTAGCTGGGCATGGTGGCAAGCACCTGTAATCCCAGCTACTCGGGAGGCTGAGGCAGGGATAATTGCTTGAACCCAGGAGGCAGAGGTTGTAGTGAGCCGAGATGTGCCACCGCACTCTATCCTGGGTGACAAGAGCAAGACACCATCTCAAAAACAAAAATGAGCAAACAAAAAAACTCGCTGGGGGTTCCAATGTGCAGCGAAAGTTGAGACCCTCTAGAGCTAATAGAAGAGTATCACTGCCCGGTAAATGGGTCCTGATTATCTGCAACACTGTGTAATTTTTATCCCTCCCTCTCTGGTGCTGGAGGAGGCAATTCCTTCACTTTTTAGAATCTGAAGAACATCTCTCTTTCTTCACAAGAAGCTTGTAACACAATAACTACCATTTATCAAGCCCCTGCTGAATGCTTGGATCTATGCAAATAAAATTCAATCTGATCTACAGAACAACTCTATAAGGTCAGTGGGTATGTCTATTTTATGGATGGCTCAGAGATGTTAAGTAATTTGCCCAAGTTTGTACAACTAGCGAGTGTCAGATGAGGGACTTGAATCACAAACCCATGCTTTTAACCCCTGTGGTACACTGCCTCTCACTTTCTCAAGGCCAGAAGGGAAGGGCTTCTGGTCCACCATATGAAGTGCCTACGGAATGTCTTGGGGAAGGAAAGAAGAGAGAAGCAAGAAGTATAGGGAAGCAGACAAGGGCTACACATGCATAGGGCATGGAGGACAGAATGGTGGCTGGGAAAGACTGAAGAGGGTTTGTAGGGCTAAGAGGAGGTACCTGAAGGAGGGTGTGGTAAACCAACACGTGCATGGGAAGGGGGCCGTGGCTACGGAGATAGCTGGGGAGTGGGGGAACGGGGTCCAGGAGTGGACACCGGCAGTTGGAACATCCAGTGAGCAGTGCCCATCGTGGACTGGGTGGTTGGGGAGTGGGAGGGACCTCGTGTCAGAGGAGGGGTCTTTGTGAGCGTGCAGCAGTGAGGAATGCTCCGCCATGAATACTAAGGGCAAGAAGAGAAAGGGCCAGAGGGGGCTGGGTGATGTTTAGCTGCTGGGGTGATTAATGGGGGTGAACGGAGGGTGAAACTCAAGCCCTTCCAACGAAGATGGTGGGGAATGGTTGTCCAAGAACAACAGTGCACTGTTTCAAGGAGAAAGCCAATGTCCAGGGGACGGGTGGCTGAGAAGGACGCTAGGCACAGTTGCTCCTTCCCTTTTTTCCCAAGTTCTCTTTATTTACCACCAAACAGTAAATTAAACTATATTAGCCAGTTCCAGGGGACCCTCTGAATGGGCTTCCTACCTGCCTCCTGGCTTAGAAGAGACCAAGGAATGTTGGCGTGGCTTGGAGAAAGAGTGAGTGAGGTCTGGGCTGAAAGTTGAGATGACTCCATGGACCACCCCCCTCGTGGGGCACAAAATGTTGATGTGCTGGCAAGAGCCACTGGCTCCCTCTGGACCAGACAGGCACTAGAGATCCATGGGTGTTGGGCCCTCAGGTGTCCTGTAGAAAGTGGTAGTGTTCTTAGAGCAGTTTTTAGAGCAGCCCCTTGGCCTCAGGGAGGGACACAGGGCTCCTTTTCTGTGAGAGAGAGAGAGTTGGGGGAACAAGGAGAGAGGGCTTCCCATGGCTCTGGTTTCAGGGTGTTGACCTGGGTTTGAAGAATGGAGATAAACCTTGTGGGAAATAACAGGTTTAAGCCACTCTCCCCTCATTTCCTACTTCTGTCTCTTCCTCTAGGTACAGCTGTTGGGAGATGCCTCTCCCGCCCTCAATCTCCCTGTCTGTGGTTCCAGAGGGAAGAAGAGTGGGGAAAAAAGGATGAAGAGAATTGTTTCAGTGCTGGGGGAGGTGAGCTTATAGCAGGGATTTAGATGGGAATTACCTCATGGGATAGGAGCAGTTTTCTCCCTCTCCAGGCCTCTCACAGATGTGAAACAACTGGCAGATCTGACTTTCCCACCCCTAACCATCGGAGGGGATGATGTGTCTTGAAACCTGTGCTTCTCTATTGAGAGGCTGGTGGGGGAAGAGAGGTCAGGAAAAGGGGCCAGATGTGTGTTCAGGAGTCCCCAGAGAGTTGAGGGAGACTAGCATCTCCTTAGGGTAAGGAAGGCAAAATGCCCATTCCTGATCCCAGATTGCTTGGATACTGTGCCTGGGAGTCCTCCCACCTCGCCTTAATTCCTGTCTCCACACACAGCTTGGCCAAGTTTCTTCCCCTGTTGGAGTCTCACTCCCAGTCCCCTACTCTATCCCTCCAGGAGCCTACAAAGCACTTTGAAATCCAAAGTTTGTGGGAGGTGGCTCTATCGCACAAATACTCTGAGGTGCAACATGACTTGACTGGTAATGAGGCAACCATCCCACCTGGGGCAGAGTTCAAGGACTGCCTTCAAGAGGGGCTGGCCTCGGTTTGCCTGTTACAGAAGCCAAGGGCTAACAGAGGCTGCCCTCTGCCTCACAAAGAAGGAGATAAATGGGTCCACTGGAGAGCAATGGTCACAATTAAGTCTTAATGATGAATTAATAATTCATAATTACCCCAGACTTGCAGATAAGCACAAGCCCACTGGAATTATTTCCCAGGGAGGAACACAGTCAGAAAGTGTGAGAAGGGGACTTCAGTATAGACATTACTTCCAGAGGCCGTTAAGTTCATTCCTCTGCTTCCCAACCAGAACCTGGAAGAGATCCATTAGCTTCCTTGGCTGATTCCTCCTAACAGCTACCACCCCCTGAGCTTCTAAACAGTGTCATATTGCCCCTCTGTTCTTCATAAGGCCAGAGGACCATTCCTGCCAAAGTGACCTCAGAGCCTGGACTCTGGATTTCTGGGGTCTCTCTGTTCTCTGCTCCCCATTCTGCTATTTACATATGAGGTCCCCTGTAGGAGGGCCTGGTGCTAGGTGTCCCGGCGAGATGTGGACATCTTTCTGGCTCTTATCCTTCTCTTATCTAAGTCCTCACATGGTGGGAAAATACCTATGTAATGCTATGTAGAAAGAGAAGCAGGGAGTGCCCCTTCTAGCGTGGATGCCTTTGGTTCCCAGATCTGGATTTGAGGGGCTGGCTCTATCTCTTAAGAAGACATTTACCTAGCGTCGGTAATGGAGATAGGGCCTTAATAGGGCTAGGGAGGCACACCCAACTCCAGACCCAGCTCTCTGCTATTCCCCTTCCCAGTGCACACAATCCCAATTCCCACTCCAGAAAATTTTTAAAAAACATATCTTAAAAAAAAACCTCGAAAAGCCAAGCAGACCCTCAGCTTCAAGGTATCTCCTCATTCTCTCTCTCTCTCTCTGAATCTACAAAGAAGGAGTGAGTTTTGTCTCTCCAAGTACTCAGAGCCTTAGATCCTGGTCTTTGGGAGATCTTTGACCACCACCTCTGCTGTGGCACGACCATTGTCAAAATGCTAGAAAGAAGAGAGACTGGCTCTTAGACCAAGGGAATTTGGGATTTGAAAGGACTTCCAATTCCAGTTCTATAGATTTCCTTCCCATTAGCCTCTTCATGTGTATCAAATGTAAATGGCAGGCTAAACCTACAGGATGAAGAGAGTTGAAAGACTGCTGCCTAAAAATGCCCTTTTCCAAATCTGTGGGTGCAGAAGCACATTGAAAGGCAGCTACCCAGCCTGGCGGTGTGGCACATGCCTGCAGTCTCACATACTTAAGAGGCTAAGGTGGGAGGACTACTTGAGCCCAGGAGATTGAGGCTTCAGTGAACTATGATGGTGCCACAACACTCCAGCCTGGGAAACAGAGCTGGACCCCATTTCCAAAAAAAAAAAAAAAAAAGTAGTTACCCAGGTAAGGTGGATGATCAAGTACACCCAGTGAGAAGCACACAAACCTTACCCTTTACCCAAACTCTCTCCCTTACCTGGCCCATTTCCGGTCTCTAGAGGAGGATCAGTTAGGGGGTGTGACCCAAGTTACCCAGATAATTAACTGTGGAAGCAAGTTTTTTTTTCACTCCTTTGGCCTCTAAATATGAGAGATCTTTACATCTCTTGCCTAGCTCCCTCTTATTCTCTACCCTCTCCCCAACACACACGCAAATCCTAACAACAAAAAATCCTAAATATAGGAAGACAAACCTTCCTGACCTACCATTTTGGCCCACCTGCAACCCCTGTCCCCCACCCCCTCCCCAATTTTTTTCTCTCCTGAGCCTCTGCTCTTCGCTTCTAAAATAAAAAAAAAGAAGAAGAAGAAGGAATTTTCAATAGTCCAACTTGTCAAGCGAAGACCATCTTTTAACCTTCAACAGCAGCGAAAGCCGTGTGAACTCTTGGTGAACCAAGACTGAAGTCATAAATCACGCGTACAAAGGCGGCTGCGGAGGCTGGCGCGGGCTGCTGCACCTTTAACGCTTTCTGGGGCTGACAGGCGGCGGCCCAGCTAAAGTTCACAGCGCCCCGGGAGGGCCCGCCTCCGCCTCCCCTCCCGCCCCCGCCTCCCGGCCCCGGACCCCGGCCCAGGACCGGCCTGCCGCGCGGCCGCCTGAGCTGCGAGCTGAGGAGGCCCGTTGGCTGTTCCCGCAAAGAGTGGGGGGCGCATTTTCTCTCCTGCCAGCCCGCTCCATCCTGGTCGTTTATTCCCGGCCTTCCCTCACCCCCCACCCCCACAGCCTGCTGTACGTAAAGAGGCAAATAGATCTACAGGGACACAATAATTTAGCTTGGTTGGTCTTTGGCATTTTCTACAAGACCCCAAGAGATGGACTTTCCTCTCCCCTTCCTCCTTTTAGAAATGGCATCCTTCATCTCTGTCTAGGCAGGCCCAATTATCCAGATACTTGGGGCTCCAATAGGGTCTGAGTCATTGGAACCAGGAACACCTGGCTGAAACATGCCACATAATTAGATTTTCTTTTTCTTTACCTTTTCTTTCTTATTTTTATAAGAGGCCCGGAATTAGCCTCTTCGACTGGGGCGGAGTAGCTGGGGTGTGGGAAAGGAACACCTTCATACAACTTCCAGCTTTCAGCCCCTTGGAGAGATTTCCAAATTCCCCAGAGCCTCTAGGACTTCCTTTCCTCGATCTCTCGGCCACCTCCTCCTCCTTCTCCGATCTGTTTTTTTTTCCCTCCTCCCACTGTCTTCTCTATGGTTTAATCAAAGTTCAGCGACTCCACTTGCCTCTCCTCTCATTTCTTTCGGAAAGGGGAAACCAGACGACCCAGCGGCCACGGGACGAGTCGCCCCAACTCAACCCCAGCAGGACGCTGGAGGGGCCTCCCTTGCCCACCTCTCTTCGCTGGCACTGGCCTCCTGCACCCGGGTCTGCAGTCCCTCCGCCATCTCACAAGTGTGCAGCCGCTAGGCCTGGGGGATCCGAATGACTGGGGCTGGATAGGAATGCCTTCGTGTTTCCCAAGACCCCCGGGCCTGCTCCACAAAGTTTGAAGGGTGGGTACACCCCGACCCAGGCAAGTTACTCCCCCAAACCCATGACTGACTAATCTGATATGACAAAAGCCCATGATGGATTTGGTATATGTTAATTCACAATGCCCTTTCCTCCAGAATTTAACTATAAGTTAATACACACCGGAAACCACGCGCATGCACGCTCCTTAATGGGCTTAGGTATTAGCGAGTCCTAACGATGCATACAAATGTGCTCTGCGCTCTGTAGACCCCTCAAGATTTATGGGCCTTGAGCTCTCTGAAGCTGTAAACAAGGAGAAAAAAAAAAGAGAAAGCGAAAGCGACTGGGGGGAAGAGACAGAGGCCTGACTCGCCCCTCCAGGTTTTGGAGAGAAGGGATTCTTTATGTA
The DNA here is from genome assembly GCF_000001405.40 of Homo sapiens. NCBI lineage: Eukaryota > Metazoa > Chordata > Mammalia > Primates > Hominidae > Homo > Homo sapiens. Next base: position 41,653,931 of record NC_000009.12, on the reverse strand, counting down.
TTTTCCTTTCCTTGCAAGCTCGGTGCGTGTGGGTTTTGGCGTTGGTGTGGGGGTGGTGTTCTGCCTGAATGCTGGTGTGCGTGGGCAGTGTGTTGTTTGCATGCTGGGGTAGGATGCCTGCCTCTTCGGATTGCTGTGCAGGGGCCCGAACACAGCAGGCATTTGTGAGCATATATGCGTGAGTGTGCACTGTGTTAGGGTGTGTGTGTGTGTATGTGTGTGTGTGTGAGAGAGAGAGAGAGACAGGGAGAGGCAGGCTTCCCACTGGGCCAGGCTGCTGTCCCTTGAACGGTGGTGAACAAATCTCTAACGACAATCTTAATAACAATAAATAATGAATAATAATAATAAAACAGTAGTTAACAGTCCCTGCATAACAGAATAACAATAAAATGCAAGAGGAAATATTTTGAGGTGGAGACAGAAGGAGTCAGGATCACAGCATCTGAGGGGGAGATAGGAAAGGAAGGGAGGAAGACAGCTTCTTAATATGCTCTTGGTGGGGCTGGGGTTGGGAACCCCTTTCCCAGACAAGGGACGTAAGAGGAGAAGGAGAGCCAGGAGGCCACTCTTTATTGCTTTTTTTCTCAGGCTTCTGCTTTGTGTGATCAGGGAAGGGATCCCACATATGGGAATGGTTAGTGGATTTTGGGACTCTCTAGGAGCCCCTGTTTTAAGAAGGAGGCCAAATGTGCAGGCTCAGGCCAAGCAGCAGAGATGAATGAGGTGATGACCACAGCCTTGATCCGGCAGGAGCTCAGAGATGCCCGGGAAGACGGGGGGCCCGAATGGAAGCAGAAAAACACTTATGGCCGCTGGGAAGTTGGGAGAGCCAGGCTGGGACTCCGGCAGGCCCAGGGAAAGTTCCCCTTCTAGGCTCTTTATTAAAAAATTTAAAAGGAGGAGTTGAGGCGCCTTGAATTTTCCTTCGCGAGTTTGGAGACCAGCCGATTTTTCACGAAGCAAGCAAAGACCGCGGTCCCGGATCCTGCAACATATACCTCATTTTCTCCAGGTACAGTTTTCTGGTCATTTAATTGGTTTGTTTTCTTGGGGGAGATGGGAATCACAGGCGTAGAGATAGTAAGTTGGCTAGAGAGGAAGCCACCCCACAGTTTCGGGTCTAACGAAATCCCTCCTTTAAAAACATTTGTACCCCCAATAAAAATAAAATTAAAGAGGAATATAGAAACACAAATTAGCCAACTTTTTTAAAAGAGAAAAAAGAAAAGAAAATCATCGTAACAGATGAGCGTGAGAACTTCTAAAAAATTTGTCACGAACCCTTTCAGAGGTCTGGATTCTTTTTCAGTAGCCGGTGACCCATTTGGTCTGAAAAGAGAAATACACTATCCACTGAGTCACTTATTTAAAGCCAGCACACACACACACACACACACACACGCACACACACACACACACACACACACACACGCACATTCAGAAAGCCCTGGGTGCCCTCGCATTTGAAAACAACACCGGGTGGAGGACGCTGCGATACCTAATTGGACAAAACAGCAATAAAATAAGACCAGTGGAAGTGCTGAGCACAGGGCGCAGGGCTAGGGCCCAGGTTTTGTGTTCCAGGCCGAGGGCGAGGCAGCGGCCCCGGGAGATGGGGCGCCGGGCAGTCAGGCACCGGCTGGCGACTCTGCTCGGCCTCCGCAGCCCGGCCTGCAGCCCCTTACCCCCAGCCTCTGGGCCTCGTGGGCTCTCTACGCTCCGACGCCTGTTCGGGGCTTCCCTGTTGAGAGGGTTTTAGGCCGAAGGGCTGAACGACTCAAGCCAGACTCTGCTTTTTCATTTTTCTCCCTTAGGCCTCTCCACTTGCCCGAGCTCTCAGCCACCAGGAGACAGACGGAAGGGGCTTCTGGGCTGTGTTGGGAGCGGGCATTGTCCCCTACCCACTCCTGCACAGTTTCCCAAAGTCCAGCCACCTCCGACCCTCCTTGGGGGAAAAAATACCAGTACCCAGACACCTCTGCACCCTGTTATATGACTGGGCTTGCTTCAGGAATATCTTACAAAGAAGAAGGAGGAGGAGGAGGAACGGCTTGGAGTCATGTTTACATCTAGTTCTACTGATCCGTTCACATCTGGAGAGTTTATTTATAACTCCCTCTATAACTCTCTGTTTGGAGGCACTGGTGGCTCTACTGACAGACTGATGTCTAGGAAATATTGCTCTATGTCTAATGGTACCTAAATGTGCTGTGGTTGTATTTACAGATTTACGTTTGAGGGAAATATAATTATTTCCATTGTATTTGTGCATATACAGTAGTTATAGGAGCAGATTTATATATGGGAAAATATGCGACTCCCTTACAGCCATCCGGCTTTATGTACATTTGATATCCTGACAGATTTATATCTCTGAACAGCTATATAGATAAAAACGTATATTGTTAGAATTATGTATCAGGAGATATATACTTATTGATTGCGAAATAGAGTAGTTAGAGCATTCACTTAGAGCCATATATGGCTATGGAGATATTTCTATATTATTATCACTGTATATAGGCATATCTATTTATAACTGCATAGTTATAAAAATAGACATAAGTAATTATAGTCCTATATGTGCATGCTGCAATCTCTCTCTAGAGTTATAGACACTTTCAAATATAACTCTATAGAGAAATCTGTATGTATATAAGGTGTAATTATCCAGTGATGTGTTTACGTTGGGACTTAGGCCCATCTGTCTAGAACAGACACATTTATATGTAGGGGCTGGGAGAGACTTATTCACAGATATCTGCAGAGGGCCGACTGGAAACACTGTATCTGCCCTCTAGGAAACCAGCTAGGAGAGTTGTGTACTTATGGAGGGATGGAGTTACAAAAGGGTAAATAGAGCTCAGGGAGCCTTAAGGAGGGGAGGTGAATGGAGGGTGGGTGGGCTCGGTTTGAACAGATAGTGGGAGGAAAGGGGTAAACACCAGCACCCACCAGAAGGCGAGAACCAGTTTTGTGAGGGGCTGGTGCAGATGACTGTGGACAAGGAGCTTGTAAAATGAGAAGCGGCTAACAGTCCTGCCACCTCACCCTGAGACACTCTCCACCGAGGAAGCAGCCTTCAGTTTGGCTTTTAGTGCACTGTAGGATAGGGACTGTCGTGTCACTCCTGTAGTCCTAGAGCGTTTCTCTTGAACCTTAATTTTTAGGTCTTAAAGAGTGGGCTTCAGAGATAAAGAGGTTTCGGCAGGGACAGGGCGAGGAGCGTGGGGTGTACTTTCGCTTTCCAATAAGTAAGGTAATCCAGGAAAGTGAGTTAATTTGGCCAAATAAAGCTTGTTTTTATGTGGGCCTCCTGTGCCCTGGTGGGGATGTAGGATGGGACCAGAATCTGGTGGACTGAGGAGTGAATTTCCAAGTATTGGGCCTGCTCTGATGGGGGCTTGGGGAGGTTGTCCTCACCACCCGCCCTCCTTCTCTGAGGCCTGAGTGGCCTAATTCCCTCTGGGTACAGAGGGACTCCTTCAGCTCCCTAACAGTGCTGCCCTGGGTCTTTTCAGGGAGAATTTGACTTTAGGAACAGGGAACATGGACTTACCCCACTAGATCTCACTTCTCCTACTCACAGCTACACCACTCTTACGTCAGCCTCCTTCCAGGCGCCACTCGGCCAGGGGTCCACAGTTCTTCCCCTGCTACCAACCAGCCCAGTGGGGAAATACCTCCCACGACTGCCAGTTTTTGTGTTTTTGTGTGTGTGTGTGTGTTTTTTTTTTTTTTTAACCAGGAACTTACAGATTAACTTCATTAACTGCGTGAAGGAATTGTCCTGAACTCAGTCTCTGTGGCCAACCTAGCCTCCAGGATCTCTAGGATGCTAGGAAGGGAGTGGAGACCCTTGGACCAGGCTAACCACCATGTGCCATCCTCCACACACCCCTGCCCACAGGACTAGGAATTCCTGCAGTGTAGGGACTCTGTCTGCTGCCTGGCACAGAATGGTTGCCCAAACATACTTCTTGAGGTAAATGGAATGGCAGTCAATACAAAAACTCACCCTCACTCTGCACACCACCATAGCCACTGCTGGCTAGCAGGCACCCTAGCCAGGCTAGGAGATAACATGGCGGCTGGCAGCAGCTTGGGCTTTGACCGGACCGGTGGTTAGTAGGGTGGGAGAGCATCCTGAGCCTAGGATGGGGCGGGGACTGGAGCAAGGCACCTGGAATCCAGAAATTTGGGGGTAAGCCAAGGCAGACCCACCGCCCCAGTGAACTTCTGTTTTCTATCTCCAGTCTCATGGCTCCCTGGACCCCCAAAAGTTATGAAAACTAAACCAGAGCTGAGAACTGGGCTAGGATGGAATTGCCTGTCAACCCGAGGGATGCAAAGAGGAACCACCGTTGGGTCCATTAAGAAATCCACAAATAAAATAAAAATAAATCAGTGTGACACAGACCACCTGGCTGAAGGAAAGGTTTCTCTCTATGCCTCAGCCCTGCTCCAGGGCTACCAAACAGATCAGGCTTAATATTTAAAATGTTTAATAGTTAAAATTTTTTAACAATTTAACTTTAAAAAGGTCACACATTTTCTGATCCAGCAATGCCCCAATCAGATTGTTTCATTTTATTATTATTATCAACACTGTCCCCTTTTTGGCACCTGTAAAATAGTTCCTTTCGGGAGTTTGGAGCCAGGCCAGGCACCGTAGGTGCATGGGATGAGATGGGCAGGTTTGGAGCTCCTCTGTCTAGTGAGGATCACGGTCTGCAGAGAAGGGTTGGCCTCCCCGTCTCCCATCAAGGCTTAAAGCAAGGAGAACCATCCCGAATTTGGTTCCTTTTCCACTAAGTATCCTTAGAGGCGATCCACCCTGTGACTAGGTGACTAGGTGAAGGACTGAGGTCCAGAAAGGAGCTATCTTAAACCTGGAATCCCATTTCCTAGTCTGCAGCCTTAAGCAGTTTCCCTCTCAGACAACTAGCCCTCTCCTTCCTCCGCATGAAAACCCATGGCTTACAGGGATGGTTGTTGCTTTCCCTAAAGAAATTCAGGAAGGGAGATGTGAGGGTCAGTTCTCAGCGGTGGCGTTCTTTGAAGGGGACGCAGCCTGACTGCCAGGAGGGGAGGAGTCGGCCCAGCCAATGCGCATGCGCGAAGCACAAGCGGTTTCTCCCGTCACAGTGGTTCCCACGGTTGTCTTAGAAACCAGTCCCCGAGGCTTGGCAAAGGGGGAGACTTCCGTGGCAGTGCTTGGGTGTCAAGGCTCTGAGGCTCCGGCCTGACGACTCCACTGGGTCGAGGGGAAAGTCTCCGGATGCCAAGAGTCACAAAGGGCCAAACAGGGTGAGGAAACCCGACGCAGAGTCCGGAGAAGGCAGCATGGAATCCCTCCCTCAGGCCTCTCTGGACGGTGTTGGTGGGGGTGAGTCTCCCCAAAAGTCGTGACGCGGTGATCTCGAGGACAGGACGGCCTGCGTGCCCCTGGGGTGCTCTCTCACCGAAGGGTCGTTCTCGTCGAAAGCAGAACCCCACAGCCTCAGGGGTTGCCTGGGTGTGTGTCTTTCAATGCCTTTGCTATAAGACTCTGTGTGTGTGTCTGTGTGTGTATGTGTGTGTGTCTCCCATTCTCTCTTCTCTCTCTGTCTCTCAGTCTCTGTGTGTTTCTTTCCCTCTCTCTGTCGGTTTGTGTGTGTGTGCCCGTGTGCGTGTGTGTCCTTGGCCGAATGTGCCCTGTGCACCACAAAGCTGTTTCTCGCATGGCGGCCTGTCTTTGGTGAGCCTGTTTCTGCCTCTCTGCCTGGGTCATGAGACCGGTTGTCAATCCTTTTCGCCGACGCGGTTCCGCTTTGGGTGTGTGAAGGCCTGGCCCACGTGAGGAGATTCTTCAGTCCCGGAGCAATTGAAATATCCTCCCCATCCTGAACAGCCTCTTTTCTAGGATCAAGATGAACACACTGCAGACGAGGACACGAGCCCCACAGGAGCTCTTTGTCCCGCAGGAGACCAGCGGACCCACGTCAGAGAAGATGCTTGTATCTTTTCATGGCTCTTCTCTGAGAAATGAAGCCACACCACAATAAGGTCTGGAAGAGGAAGCCGGGAATGGGAGATGGCAACAGTCCCTGTCACTGGAATGCTGGCCTCTCTGGACAAGCCACCCTTTTGGAACCCCACCCCTTATGACCCTGGCAGTGGAACGGTGATATATCCTGCCTGGCCGCCGGCGTCTGCCCTGTCCTCCCTCCTGCTCTGCCTCACCTGTTTCTCAAGTGCCTCAATGCCTCTCGCTGACGCCCAATGTCTTCAACAAAGATGACTTCCCAGTCCGTCAGGGAGACATTTCTTCGAGATCCGTGTCGTGATTGTTTCTCTCTCCAAACGTGTTTCTGCTTGATTGGGCAGGTCGCATGACCTGGGAGCTCCTGGCTTCCATTCGTGTCTCAGGCAGGGAAGCTTCCTTCTTCTCCACGTTTCCCCTCATGGGTGGGTGGATTGCCTAGAATGAGCGCTAGGCGACCATGACTGGCCTTGTCTTCCAGGAAAGGTAGTGTCGCATTTCCTCTGCACTTCCTGTCTCATTCATGAGGGACATCCTCTCCTCTGCTCCTGGGTGGCCTGACTCCCTTGATCTTCTGGCCGAAACGAATGTCAGGAAACCAAAGGGACTGGGCTGGGGCTGGGGCTGGGGCTGGGGCTGGGCGCAGCTGAAGTTGCGTCAGGGCTACCAGGGCGGTGGAGGGTTGGGGGTGGGGCGAATTTTGCAGAAACCTCTTTGCTCCTCTGGTAGGCATTTGAAAACGTGGCTTGGGTCAGGCACAGGACCCCCACCCCCCCGGTCCTAGGTGTTCTTCGATTTTCCTTGGCATTGATGGAAAGGTCAACCGTTTCCCCATTCAACCGGCACATGCCTGGACACCACCCTTTGTTTCGCCGTCGCCCCGTATGCCTCCAGTGACACACATTAACACCAACTGCTGTGGGATAGGCCAGTGCCACGCGTGGTCACATGGTCTCCACCTCGGATTCGCCCCTGTTCCTCTATGCAGGTGTCCTGTAAAGCACGGTGGGCTTTCCGGAACCCCAGGGCTTTTAGAAGCGGGGCAGGCCACCGCTCTTTCAAAGGAGGAGGGAGGCAGAGGGCTGACGGATAAGTGAATTTGCAGCTGACACTAGGCCTTGAGACCTATGGGATCATTCTGCGCTGCAGCGAGGCCCTGCCTGCCTCACCAGATGTGGTGAGCCCATCCTATTTCACTCGAAGGGGGCCAAAATTGGATCTGAACAGGAGTCCGGAGAACACAGCAGGCGTCCTGAAGCTCCCCCTCCCTCGGTGGAAGTCGGCTCAAGCAGGTCCTGAGGTGAGGACTCCTCGGGGTTTGGCCCTGGGACAGGAGAAGACACCCACGGCCCCCTCTCCCACGCCGCCCTAAACTGGACCCTGGATCTAGCCGCCGCCGCGGGGCTAGCAGGAGCCTCGCTGCTGCCGCGCTCAGAGGTGGCAGTATTTAAAGGGGACACAGCCTGACTGCCAAGAACGGAGCGCGAGTCGGCTCAGCCAATGCACATGCGCGAGGCGGGAGCGGCTTCTCCAGTCACAGTGGTTCCCATGGTTGTCTTAGAAACCAGTCCCCGAGGCTTGGCGAAGAAGGAGCCCTCCGTGGCAGTGCTTGGGTTTCCGGGCTCTGAGGCTCCGGCCTAACCTCTTCTTGGGGTCAACGGGAATGTCCCCAGATGCCAGGAGTCGCAAAGGGCCGACTACCATGAGGAAAGCCCAGCGGAGACGGGGGAAGCAGCACGGGATCCCAGCCTCAGGCCTGACCGGACGGTGTTTGTTGGGGTGAGTCTCCCCAAAAGTCGTGCCTCCGTCAGTGATCTCTAGGACAGGTCGGCCTGCATGCCCCTGGGCTGCTCTCTCACCCGAGGGTCCTTCTCGTAGAGAGCAGAACATCACAGCCTCAGGGATTGCTTGGGGGTGTGTTTTTCAATGCCCTCCTCCTTAGAAAGAGCAGTGGCCTGCCCTGCTTCTAAAAGCCCTGGGGCTCCGGAAAGCCGACAGTGCTTTACAGGACACCTGCAAAGAGGAACAGGGGCAAATCCGAGGCGGAGACCATATGACTACGCGTGGCACTGGCCTATCCCACAGCAGTTGGTGTTAATGCGTGTCACTGGAGGCATACGGGGAGAGGGCGAAACAAAGGGTGGTGTCCAGGAACGTGCCGGTGGAAGGGGGAAACGGGTGACCTTTCCATCAATGCCAAGGAAAATCGAAAAACACGTGGGACACGCGGGGTGGGGGGGGGGCCTGTGCCTGACCCAAGCCACGTTTTCAAATGCCTACCAGAGGAGCAAAGAGGTTTCTGCAAAATTCGCCCCACCCCAAACCATCCAAGGCCCTGGCAGCCCTGACACAACTTTGGCTGCACCGAGCCCCAGGACCAGCCCCCAACCCTAGACCAGTCCCTTGGGTTCCCTGACATTCTTTTCTGCCAGATGATCAAGGGCTTCAGTTCACCCAGGAGCAGAGGAGAGGATGTCCCTCAAGAATGAGACAGGAAGTGCAGAGGAAATGCGACACCACCTGTCCTGGAAGACAAGGCCAGTCACGTTCACCTAGCGCTCATTCTAGGCAATCCAACCACCCATGAGGGGAAACGTGGAGAAGGAAGCTTCCCTGCCTGAGACACCTAAGGAAGTCAAGAGTTCCCGGGTCATGAGACCAGCCCAATCAAGCAGAAACAGGTTTGGAGAGAGAAACAATCACGGCACGGATCTCGAAGAAATGTCTCCCTGACGGACTGGGAAGCCATCTTCGTTGAAGGCATTTGGCCAGAGCTAGAGGCATCCAGGCCCCTGAGAAACAGGGGAGGCAGAGTAAGATGGAGGACAGAGCAGAGGCCGGAGCCCAGGCAGCATACAGCACCGTGCCACCGCCAAGGGCATAAGGGGTGGGGTTCCAAAAGGGTGGCTTGTCCAGGGAGGCCAGCGTTCCAGGGACAGGGATTGTTGCCATCTCTCATTCCCGGCTTCCTCTTGCTGACTGTATCGTGGTGTGGCTTCATTTCTCAGAGAAGAGCCGTGAAAAGACTCAAGCATCTTCTCTGACGTGGGTCCGCTGCTCTCCTGTAGGACAAAGAGCTCCTGTGGGATTCTGCAGTGTGTTCGTTTTGATGCTAGAAAAGAGGCTGCTCAGGATGGGGATGAGACTTCAATTGCTCCGAGACCGACGCATCTCCTCACGTGGGCCAGGCCTTCACAGAGCCAAAGCGGATCCACAGCAGCAAAAACGATTGACAACCGGCCTCATGACCCAGGCAGAGACGCAGAAAGAGGCTCAACAAAGACAGGCCGCCATGCGAAAAACCGCTTTGTGGCACACAGGGCACCTCCAGCCAAAAACACACACGCACACGGGCATGCACACACAAACCCACAGAGAGAGGGAAAGAAACACACAGAGACTGAGAGACAGAGAGAGAAGAGAGAATGGGAGACACACACACAGACACACACACACACTCACACACACACACACACAGAGAGACACACACACAGCGTCATACAGAAGAGGCATTGAAACACACACCACCAGGCAACCCCTGAGGCTGCGGGGTTCTGCTCACGATGAGAACGACCCTCGGGTGAGAGAGCAGCCCAGGGGCACGCAGGCTGACCTGTCCTCGAGATCACGGATGGCGGCACGACTTTTGGGGAGACTCACCCCAACCAACACCGTCCGGGCAGGCCTGAGGCTGGGATCCCGTGCTGCTTCCCCCGACCCCGCCTGGGGTTTCCTCATCGTGGTCGGCCCTTTGTGACTCCTGGCATCCGGAGACGTTCACGTCGACCCCGTGGAGAGGTCAGGCCGGATCCTCAGAGCCCCGACACCCAAGCACTGCCACGGAGGGCTCCTGCTTTGCCAAGCCTCGGGGATTGGTTTCTAAGACAACCGTGGGAACCACTGTGACGGGAGAAACCGCTCCCGCCTCGCGCATGCGCATTGGCTGAGCCGACTCGCGCTCCGCTCCTGGCAGTGTGGCTGCGTCCCCTTTAAATACTGCCGCCGCCTCGCGGCGGCAGCGCGGTTCCTCCTGCCGCCATGGCGGCGGCTGGATCCGGGATCCGGTTTGGGGCGGCGTGGGAGAGGGGGCCGCGGGTGTCTTGTCCTGTCCCAGGGCCAAACCCCTAGGAGTCCTGTCCTCAGGACCTCCTTGAGCCGACTTCCACCGAGGGAGGTGGAGCTTCAGGATGCCTGCTGTGTTCTCCGGACTCCCGTTCAGATCCGATTTTGGACCCCTCCGAGTGAGATAGGATAGGCTCACCACATCTGGTGAGGCAGGCAGGGCCTCGCTGCAACACAGAATGATCCCGTAGGTCTCAAGGCCTACTTGTACTGTTGTACATAATGTATATAATTGACTTTTATTCACTCGACAAAATTTCCTAAAAATACATCCAAATGATTGCATTAATTAATATTTTGTTCCTTTGATGACTGAGTAGTATTTCATGGTTTCTGGTATAAATTCATCACAAATTAAACATTCACCTGGGCTTATTGACCTTTTCAACTGTAACAAATTAAGCTGTTGTAGACATTCGTGAACAAGTTTTTGTGGGACCACAAGTTTCATCACTCCAAATTAAACACCCACAACTGCAATTGCTGGGATCTATGGTCTATGCATATCTGGTTTTTATTTTACTTTAAAAAATTTTTAATTATTTTCTCAAAATTTTATGTGTACACTGAGTGCCCACAGAAGCTAGTAAGGATACTGGGGCATTGGAGAGGAGGTAGAGAAGGTTAATCAGCACAAAAAAAAAAATGTGGAAAGAATGAATAACATGTCTGTCTTTTAAAAAAACTGTCAACTATTTTTCAGAGTGGCTCTATTATTTTACTTTTCCACTAGCAACTTATGAGTGATCGTATTTTTTACATCCTGAATAGCTTTTGCTATTGTCACAATTTTTAAAAGTCATTTTGATAGGTGTGTAGAAATATCTCACTATGGTTTTATTTGACATGTCCATGATGATTAATAATATTGAACATGTTTCATGGATTATTTGACATCTGAATATTTTTCTTGTTAAAACGTCCATTGATGTCTTTTGTCCATTACCTAATTGGATCATTTGCATTTTTTAAAAAATTTGCTGTTGTGTTTTGTGTCATCTCTATTTATTTTTGTTGGTTTTGATAGATGTTTATCAATTGATTGATTTTTTCAATAAACCAGCTTTTTGTTTCACATTTTTTTCTGTTTTCAATTTCATGAATTTTTGTTATTGTGATGATTATTTTTCTTCTTCTGCCTGCTTTCGGTTTACTCTGTTCTTTTTCTAGTTCCTTGAGATACAAGTGTAAGTTATTGATTTGAGATCTTTTCTTATTTTTAATGAAGCATTTAGTACTATAAATTTCTTTCCCACCACAGCCTTAGCTGTATTTCCTATATTTTGATATGTTGTATTTTTCTTTCATTTTTTGAAATATATTTTTAGATTTTTATTTAAGACTTTATATTTAATCCATAGATCATTTGGAACTGTGTTGCATAATTGAAATGCATTTAAACATTTTCCTGCTCTCTTTCTGTTACTGACTTTTATTTTAATTCCACTATGGTCAGAGAACATACTCTATATGACATAAATTCTTTTAAATGTATCAGGGTTTGTTTTATGGTGCAAGAAATCATCTAGTATTTTAGTTAATATTTCATGAGCTCCTGAAAAACTGTATATTCTGCTGTTTTTTGTGGACTGATTCTATATTTAGAGAGAGAGATATATATAATTGACATATATATTTATCTGTATATGTGTGTCTGTGTGTGTGTGTGTTTGTGTGTGTGAATAAAATCTTGTTGGTTGATTGTGCTGTACAGATCTTCTACATGCTTGCTGATTGTTAAATTTTTGTCCAATAATTCTATCAATTGCTGAGATAAGGCTGTTAAAACCCACAACTATAATTTATTATTTTTTAGTTCTATAATTTTTCTCTTCATGTTGTTTAAGACTTTGTTATTTGGTGCATATATATTTGGAATTGTTATGTTTACTGGTGAATTGATACATTTATTATTAGTGTTGCAGTCTCCTCACTCCTTAATTTAGTGAGGTCCAAGATCTTGTCCCACAACCAAAAGAATGAGGCACACAAATACCAGAGAGTGAGTAAGGCAAATTAGCATTCATTAAGCAACAGAAAAGCTCTCAGCAGCAAGAGTGGACCCAAACAAGGGTTGCCAGAAATGGGGCTGAGTTCTGATCCCTTTATGTGACAGAAACAAGGAAGTCCTTTGTGGGTCCTGCCTTAATGGAAGGGGTAAAATTCCCTGCTGGGAGTGTGCTGTCTGTGCATACCTAGGTTTGGCAGTAGTGACTCCATCTTGATTATTAGTCATAAGTGCCTAAGCAAAATTCATGGGGGCACCAAAACTGCAATGCTAATGATATTACAATTAGCTCTGGGTCAAGTTAAGGACATTTAGTTGATTTATTGAAACATAATTGGGACAGTCCCTTCTGAGAGACATCTTGGTATAAGAGGAAGTTGTTAACCACATTTCCACATTCTAGCTACACCACAAAGGTAGTGCAGGTGCATTCCCATGGGTGCTGTCTTTCTCCCAAGACCCTTCCTCTCTATCTGCCCAGCCAGCCTCTAACTGCCTCTTCTGTTGTTAGTAATGTTCTTTGTAAGATTTTTGAATCTAACTTCTAGATTATCAGATATTAATATAGCCACTTTTGCCCTTTTATTGATAAATATTTCCATGGTATGTATTTTTATATTATTTTACTTGCAACCTACTGATACTATTGAATTAAAGTGTATTTCTTACTATAGCAATAGTTAAGGTTGCATTTTTTTATTTATTCAGCTAATTTCTCTTTTGATTGGTGTATTTATGTCACTTATATTTAATGTAATTATTAATGTACTAAAACCTAAGCATTTCATTTTATTATTTACTACATATTCATTTGTTTTGTTCTCATTTTTCAGTTTTCCTTTTTTTTGGACTTACTGTGTGCTACTCGAGCTTTCATGTTGCTTTACTTACAATGTTTGAATACATCTACAATATACACTCTTTGCTTTGGAAATTTGTATATACTTTTTATGCTACTCTTCATATTTTAATACCTGATTTAATATCCGATTTATAAAACAATATATAAATACCAATGGTTTTACACTTTTGATTAAAGCAAGGAAGCTCAGCTTATATTTATTTTCCTTTATCTTCTATACTTTTAAGTATCACTTCCTTTAGTATCAAGTGGAGTTATAATTTTTGTTTCTATCATCAACTATGATTTATAATACTCACTAGGAAAACACATCTATTGGATGTATTCATATTTCTGCTAATTCTATTAATATATCTTCCTTCTTTCTTGATGTTCAAAATTCCTTTTTTTTCTTTATTTTGTTTGAATAACAGTTTTAGTAAACATTTAATGGTAAGCTTGCTAACAACAAATTTTTAAACAGTTCAAAAAATATAATTTTCCTTTACTCCAGAAGCATAGTTACAACATCTGTAGCATTCAGAGTTGGCAGTTCTTTTCTTTCACTACCTGAAAAATATTGTGTAACTTGTTTCTGACCTCCATTGTTTCAGATGAAAAAACGTATTTTCATTTACATTGGTTTTCCTCTATAGGTGATGTTTCACCTATAGTTGACTGTTTCTATCTGGCTGCTTTTAAGACTTTGTCTTTAGTTTTGTCAACAACCTACATTGGGGAAAGGACACAATCTCCAATACATGCTTCTGGAAAAATTGGATATCCATATGCAGAAGAATGAAACTAAACTCCTATCACTCACCTTATACAAAAATAAACTCAAAATGGATTAAAAATTTAAATGTAAGACATGAAAAATTAGACTACCATACACTGTTGTTGGTAAGTTAAATTATTTCACTTATTATGAAAAGCTGTATGGTGGTTTCTCAAAACCAAAATAGAGACACCATATGATCTAGTGATCCCACTACTAGGTGTTTATCCAAAGGAAAGGAAATCATTACACTTAAGAGGCATCTGCACCTCCATATTTATTGCAGCTGTCTTCACAATAACCAAGATATGGAATTAAGCTAAATATCCATCAATGGATGGATAGATAAAAAATGTGGTATATACATATACCAAATTTGTATATACATTCATATATATATATATATATATGAATAATATTCTGCCATAAAAAGAATGAAATTCTGTCATTTGCAGAATCATGGATAAGACTAGCGAACATTATGTTAAGTGGAATAAGTCAGACACAGAAAAATTAATACTGTCTGTCCTTACCCATATGCAGGAGCTAAACAAATTTGAGCTCATTAAAGTAAATGGTAGAATTGTGGTTATTAGATGTTGGGAAGGATGTGGGAGCAGAGGTTGGTTAATGGACACAAAATTATAGCTATATTGGAGGAATAAGTTCTGTTGTAGTGCTCTATAGCTGGTCACATGGAAATAACCATAATTTATGGTATATTTTCAAAAAGCTAGAAGAGAGGATTTTGAATGTTGTCAACACAAAAGTATGATAAATGTTTGAGGTGTTTGAAATGCTAATTACCCTGATTTGATCATTACGCATTGTACACCTGTATCAAAATATCACTCTGTTTCCATAAATATGTACAATTATTGCATGCCAACTAACAATAAAAGGACAAGATAAAGATTCAAAAAATAGGAAGAAATATCATTTTTCTGATACAATTTCTTCTCGGTGTGCCCATGTTGTTTTATGATTGCAAAGCGTTCTTTTAAGTGCTTTTAAAGTATTGTTTTCATGCTTCTTAAAATTGCTTCCAGAAGTAATGTCAAACTCATTCACCTATAGTTTATGAGATCTATCTTCCTTTAAAAAACTAGTACACTGCCCATTTCTTGTCTTCTAAAACTTTTACTATTCTCCATAATCCTCAAATATATCTAGAGCAACTTAAAAATCTCTTTCCTAAACTTTCTTATTGTTTTGGAATGAGTTCTACTCCAATGCTAGGGCCCAGGGCTCATAGTGCCTCTTCGTTCATCTTGAGATTTAATTAAAAGCAATGTTGAGTCTTCTCTTTTGGATCTAAAGATCTATTTGATGAGAAAGACTGAAGAAAAATAAGGATAAGGGTATTTCCTCCATGTTTTCATGGCACAAAATCTTTGTTTGCTAACTGTGATAAGCAGAATAATGCCCCCCCCCCACCCCTCACAAGACTGTCCCTGTCCTATTCTCCATGTCAGGAAGGATATGCTATGTTATATAAGAATATATGATGTTACAATGCAAGAAAGTATTAAGGTTGCACATGACATTAAGCTTACTAAACAGCTGAACTTAAAATAAGAGATCATACTTGATTATCTGGGGGGGGCCAATTTAATCACAAGGATCCTTTAAATGTGGAAGAGTGTGGTAGAAAATATTTAAAGATACTACATTGCTAATTGTACTGGAGGAAAGAACCAAGAGACAAGGAATGGGGAAAGTGGACAAGAGACAAGAAATGAAGACAGCCCCTAGAAGCTGGAAAAGGCAAGAACATGTATTCTCCTTTAGAGTCCCCAGAAGGAAAGCAGTGCTGCTGGCACCTTGATTTTAGCCTAATGAAAACCATTTAAGATTTCTGACCTTTATAATTTTAAAGTGGTAGATTTATGTTTCTAAACTACCAAATAAAAATATTTTGTCTTTAGTTTTTAAAAGTTTAATCAAAATATTTCTTGAAATGTGTTTATTCCGTGTAGGGTATCTTAGGCTTCTTGAATCTATACATTTGTGTCTTCTGCAAATTTGAGGTTTTTTTGAAGCACTATTTCTTCAAGTATTCTTTCAGCCTCATTTTACTTTTTTTCTGGTACACGTAATAAAAATGTTGGATCTTTTGTTGTTGCCTCACACATACCTACATCTCTGTTCATTTTATATATCAGTCTATTTTATTTATGTTGTTCAAATTGGTTAAATTCTACTATTCTGCCCTCACATTCAATGATTTTACCTTCTTGCATCTCAATGGCACTATTGACTCCATCCAACACATTTTTCATTTCTGTTACCATGTTTGTTTGCTTTTATAATTTACATTTGGTTCTTTTTTTTGTTGTTTTTTTACAAATCAAGTTTGGTTAATATTTTGCGATTTTGTTATATATTTTAAGATAATTTCTATTTGATGTTGAAACATTTTTGCTAGATATTTTAAAATCATATTCAGATGATTCCAACATCTGATGCGTTTTGGTGTTGGTGTCAGTTAACTGTCTTTTTTCACTCAAATTGTTATTTTCTTGGTTCTTTGTATGATCGGTGATTTGTAATTATATTCTGGACATTTTGTCTATCATGGCAGACAATTCTGAGCTCTATTTAAACTGTTCCTTTTGGCAGGCAGTCACACTGTTTAGCTTTAGCATGTACATCCTGGGTGTGGGGCAGGTACACTGTGTACTATTTACTAGCTTGTCTGAGTTCAGTTAAACAGAACACACTCATATGCAACAAATTACATAAAGCAGATGTATCATTTACAGACAAACAGCAAGAGACAACAGGTACCTATGTGAGCCGATCCATTACGAGCCAGTAGCCCAAGGCTCAACAAAGTTGCCTGAAGTGGATGGAATGCATGTGAAGTGCCTGAAGTGGATGGAGTGATTGTGCATGGCCCACTTGTACCACAGTTGAGGGACCCCACAAGACAGCTTGCCCTAGGTTACACACCTCAGGACCAATGGGAAACTATGGCCTAAAGTTTTGAAGAACATTCTCTGTCAAGGGAGAGAGTAACAAGGCCTAGGCTGTTTCAGGCAGTTCTTCCCTGTCTCAGGATATTGCATTCTCAGCATATACTACAGTTGCTCTTGACAACTGCAAGCAAGAAAGGGGATAATTGGGTCAGTCCAAGGACGCCTGGAAAGTTGACCTGCAGTCTCCTGCTCCAACCAAGATATTTCCCTTAGAAAAGCTGGTGTATTTCATATGCCCATTGACCTCTCCAGATCTGGAGGTGGAGGTTTGTCTTGTCAGATCAATGTAACACCTTGGCTGACTCTGTCTCAGTGAAACATCATTGAGTCATAGCCAGAATACATTTTACTAGTCCCAGGAGGACTACTACCACTAGCAGCACAGCCAGACCTCTCTGCAGTAGTAATCTAGCCCTGGGTCTCAAAGATCTAGGTAAGAGGTTGCCATAGAGGTTAAAGAAGGATTCTTCAGGTGGCCCCACTGTCTACAACCAATGGGTCAGCTTCTGGATCTCCTCTACCTATGTTTCTACAATACCTAAGATGTTTATCCCAATACAGTAAGAGGTGCTGGCAATTGTATACACTTCTCCCAGTTGAGCTAAAAGAAAGTCTGGAGGGCCGAGTGCGGTGACTCATGCCTGTAATCCCAGCACTTTCGGAGGCCAAGATAGGTGGATCACCTGAGGTCAGGAGTTCGAGACCAGCCAGACAAACATGCAGAAACCCTGTCTCTACAAAAAAAAAAAAAAATACAAAATTAGCCAGGAGTGGTGGTGCACACCTATAATCCCAGCTACTCTGGAGTCTGAGGCAAGAGAATCACTTAGACCTGGGAGGCAGAGGTTGCAGTGAGCTGAGATCATACCACTGCACTCCAGCATGGGCAACGAGAGCGAAACTCCATCTCAAACAAAAAGAGTCTGGAACAATTCTGTTGTTTAAAATAACTTTCTGGGTGGATCTGGGAGATGTTTCCTTGGCTTCTAAGACAGTGGCAATGGAGGAGGCAATATTTGCCATGGTTTGGGACAGGTTTATTTTCATTTTTTTATGAGCAATAACTCCTATGAATGGTACCAAAGATCTCATAAAAGACGTAAACCCAAAGTCAGTTACACATCCAGTCAGGTCTTTGGTAAGTCTGGTATACAGCATTAGGCTCCTGAGTCAATGGAGCACTTCATTTTGGGGGTGAATTCTAGGAGCATCCCTAGCACACTCAATGGGGCAGGACCTGTAAGTTTTCCAGGCATGACTTTGCCCACCCTGCATTTCAGTCACCCCAGATTGCCCACAGATAAAGATGTAGCCCTCTGGCACACACAGACCCCCTGTGCTAGTATTATTTATGAGGATGAAGGTATTGGCACTCACTAGCTAAGTCTCATTGATGGTAGTAGTTGCCTGAGTTTTCCTCATACATTTTACCCCATACAATCCTAAAGCCTCTACGCAGAGGGCTAGCACTCTCTGATACTTCTTCTCTTCATCATCATGAACACACATCTTTGTAATTAAAGGAGCCTGGTGCATCAAAGCACCTGCCCACCAAAGATTCATTAGTTGTGGTCATGACATTTTTCCACAAAGTTATTTAAGTTAAAAGATAGCACCTTTGAATTCTTCCTATGTGGCATGTGCTAAGTCCTCACTCAGTAAGCTAGGACTTAGGGTCCATTACTGTACTCTGTGGCATTAGGAGTGCTGGAGTAGTTAACCACTGGCAAGATGAAAGGATCGTTCTAGTCAATGAGAGAACGAGGTCGTGGATGGAGCATCCAGCACTTTGTCAGGTTACCCATGGTGTAACCATGGCACTTTGGAAGAGGCCACTAAGGCATTATGCTCACAGGCCTATAATGCCCCATCCATGTGGAAAAGCAGACTGACAGTTTAATGCCCACCTCTCACCCTTTCCAGGGTCTCAGATGTTCTCTACCTATTGGATAAGAATTAGGCTGAGTTGGTATAGCAACCCGGTCTGTCTGTTTTAGTCCCAAGCTACTTCTGCAGACATCCATTGCCCTTGTTGCTTGACTCAAACCTTTCTGCCTCAATCATCCACTCCAGTACAAAGTTGGTATATCTCATAACATCATCCACCCAAATGGAAGGATCAGAGGCATCCAGCATCATTAGAGGGATTCTAGCAGTCTGTCATTCCTTAGTCCTGTCCCCAACCCCTGTGGAATCCCCTTATAGGGGAGGTACCCAAGGGAAGTATAAACTCCAGATTAGAGACAGGGTGGCCTCTCTGGGGTACTATGGCACCCTGAACTGCAATTCATCCCCAGGACATGTACTCTATAGGGGAAAAGGAAAAAGAATGGTTGAGAACCCAGACTGAGACTTTACAGGCACAGACAGCCTAGTCAGGTGGGTTTCTCATCCACCTCCAACCCAACCAAGCTCAGTGTCCCTCAATATGCACTGCAGTGCTGTTTCCTTTGCATTGGTGCATAGTGTTTAGTGTCCCTATTGCCCTAGTCAGATGGGCTACCCCCTCACTAGCAGGACATCTTGATGTTCTTTCTTCAGTTGCTTTGTGAGTTCCATTATTCAATAACTCTATTGGCCTGAGGATGACAATGTACTTAAAAAGCCCATCTTTTTTCACTAATGTGTACCCATTATCTAGTTGCTTGAATAGTAAAAAATATTCCTCGGTCCAAGTAAAATCCCATGGGCTATGTAAAAGGATGGCATAAATTCCTCTCAAGTGTGGCTATAGTTGCCTCAGCACCCATATGATTGACATATATTTGTCTTTTTCAGACAACAAGCTGTTTTTCTTAGTCCTTGTCCTCACGTGGATATCATCTAACAGTCCAATCCTTCCATTGCCATTGTCCTGATCAGATGGCTAGGCTTTTGGCAATGGCCCATAAGTCACTGAAAATATAGCAAGATATGCGATAGAGGTAGCCTGCATGGCCATCACCACTGCATTTAGTTTGGCCCATTGGGTAGAATGCCCATGTCCAGTCTCAGTCAAAAGATAGCCAACCACTGGCTGAATGGTGGTCCAGTGCATGTCGTCTGGCAGAGCTATCAGTAAACCATGCCTGTCAGGCCTCTGAGCCCAAGCTAAGCCATCATATCCCCTGTGACCTGCACTTATACATCCAGGTGGCCTGAAGCAAGTGAAGAATCACAAAAGAAGTGAAAATGGCTGGTTCCTGCCTTAACTGATGACATTACTTTGTGAAATTCCTTCTCCTGGCTCAGAAGATCCCCCACTGAGCACCTTGTGACCCCCGCCCCTGCCCAACAGAGAACAATCCTCTTTGACTATACTTTTCCACTACCTACCCAAATCCTATAAAACGGCCCCACCCCTATCTCCCTTCACTGACTTTCTTTTCAGACTCAGCCCGCCTGCACCCAGGTGAAATAAACAGCCTTATTGCTCATGCAGTGTCTGTTTGGTGGTCTCTTCACATGGACGTGTGTGACATTTGGTGCCTGTTATCACTCCCCTGCTACAGCATGGGCTTGTAAAACCTATAAACTCTCCTTACAATTCTCCCATTTTACCTATTCAAACTCCAGACAAGTCTTACAGGTTAGTTCAGGATCTGCTCTGGCCATCATGTCTCTGTGCAGCAGTTGCCATCACCCTAATTCTTTTAGAGGCCCTAAAAATCACAAACTATGCTCAACTCACTCTCTACATTTCTCATAACTTCCAAAATCTATTTTCTTCCTCACACCTGATGCATATACTTTCTGCTCCCCGGCTCCTTCAGCTGTACTCACTCTTTGTTGAGTCTCCCACAATTACCATTTTTCCTGGCGAGGACTTCAATCTGGCCTCCCACATTATTCTGGATATCACACCTGATCCCCATGGCTGTATCTCTCTGATCCACCTGACATTCACTCCATTTCCTATATTTCCTTCTTTCCTGTTCCTCACCCTGATCACACTTGGTTTATCAATGGCAGTTCCACCAGGCCTAATTGCCACTCACCAGCAAAGGCAGACTATGCTATGGTATCTTCCACATCTATCATTGAGGCTACCGCTCTGCCCCACTCCCCTACCTCTCAGCAAGCCAAATTCATTGCCTTAACTCGAGCGTCACTCTTGCAAAGGGACTACACATCAATATTTAAACTGACTCTAAATATGCCTTTCATATCCTACGCCACCATACCATTATATGGGCAGAAAGAGGTTTCCTCACTGCGCAAGGGTCCTCCATCATTAATGCCTCTTTAATAAAAGCTCTTCTCAAGGCCACTTTACTTCCAAAGGAAGCTGGAGTCATTCACTGTAAAGGCCATCAAAAGGCATCAGATCCCATTGCTCAGGGCAATACTTATGCTGATAAAATAGCTAAAGAAGCAGCTAGCATTCCAACTTCTGTCCCTCACGGCCAGTTTTTCTCCTTCTAATCGGTCACTCCCACCTACTCACCGACTGAAACTTCCACCTATCAATCTCTTCCCACACAAGGCAAATGGTTCTTTGACCAAGGAAAATATCTCCTTCCAGCCTCACAGGCCCATTCTATTCTGTCGTCATTGCATAACCTCTTCCATGTAGGTTACAAGCTGCTAGCCCACCTCTTAGAACCTCTCATTTCCTTTCCATTGTGGAAATCTATCCTCAAAAAATCACTTCTCAGTGTTCCATCTGCTATTCTACTACTCCTCAGGGATTATTCAGGCCCCCTCCCTTCCCTACACATCAAGCTCAGGGATTTGCCCCCACCCAGGACTGGCAAATTGACTTCACTCACATGCTCTGAGTCAGGAAACTAAAATACCTCTTGGTCTGGGTAGACACTTTCACTGGATGGGTAGAGGCCTTTCCCGCAGGGTCTGAGAAAGCCACCATGATGATTTCTTCCCTTCTGTCAGACATAATTCTTTGGTTTGGCCTTCCCTCCTCTATACAGTCTGATAACAGACCAGCTTTTATTAGTCAAATCACCCAAGCAGTTTCTTAGGCTCTTGGTATTCAGTAAAACCTTTATAGCCCTTACCATCCTGAATCTTCAGGAATGGTAGGACGGACAAATTGTCTTTTAAAAATACACCTCACCAAGCTCAGCCTCCAACTTAAAACTTAAAAAAGAGGACTCTGTCAAGGATAGAGCCCCAAAACTCACCAACCAAACAAGTAATTATGCTGAACCCCCTTGAGCACTCTCTAATTGGATGTCCTTGGTCCTCCCAATTCTTAGTCATTTAATACCTGTTTTTCTCCTTCACTTATTCAGACCTTGTGTCTTCCGTTTAGTTTCTCAATTCATACAAAACTGCATCCAGGCCATTACCAATCATTCCATATGACAAATGCTCCTCTTAACAACCCCACAGTTTCACCCCTTACCACAAAATCTTCCTTCAGCTTAATCTCTCCCACTCTAGGTTCCCATGCCTCCCCTAATCCCACTCGAAGCAGCCCTGAGAAACATCACCCATTATCTCTCCATAGCACCCCCCAAAATTTTCACCACCCCAACACTTCAACACTATTTTGTTTTATTTTTCTTTTTAATATAAGAAGACAGGAATGTCAGGCCTCTGAGCCCAAGCTAAGCCATCGTATCTCCTGTGACCTGCACGTATACATCCAGATGGCCTGAAACAAGTGAAGAATCAAAAGAAGTGAAAATGGCTGGCTCCTGCCTTAACTGATGACATTACTTTGTGCAATTCCTTCTCCTGGCTCAGAAGCTCCCCCACTGAGCACCTTGTGACCCCCACCCCTGCCTGCCAGAGAATAACCCCCTTTGACTGTAATTTTCCACTACCTACCCAAATCCTATAAAACGGCCCCACCCCATCTTCCTTCACTGACTCTCTTTTTGGACTCAGCCTGCCTGCACCCAGGTGAAATAAACAGTCTTGTTGCTCACAAAAAACCTGTTTGGTAGTCTCTTCACACTGATGCACTGATGCATGACAATGCCATGCTGTCAGTAAGCATGTCTATGAGTCCTGGGCCCCAGGTTGCCACAGGAGAATCCAATGGATCCTTACAGGCTGCTTAAAAGGGATAGTTTGTTGTAGTCCTGAATTAATAAAGTAATGTCCTATTCTCCACTTACCATGTAGTACTGCTTTTGTTAAATAATCCACTGGGGCTTGGGTAGTTTAGGTGGCAGGCAGGATATGCCCCACTGTTATGGCTTGAATTCTGAGTTGTCAAAGAGTATGTCCCCTCAGGCAATGGTGATTTTTGTGCTACAAGAAGTCGGGGGGTCAATACCAATAATGCACTCACAAGTGAGAACCATGGTTACTGACATCCAATATGGACCAAAGCCATATCACAGGTAGATAAGCACTACTGGTCAATGCATTCATTCTAAAACCTTCCAGTGTCACCAGTTTTTCTCCCTAAGAGGACCTGGAAGTATTATGTGGACTCCTGTATCAAAAAAAAAAGTCTGAATTTCTTTCTTTTCTCCTCTTATCTTGACAGAAATATAAGGCCTTTGGCCTCCATTTGGGGACCCCGAGAACTTGGTCCCATTTCTGACTCTGCCATTCAGCCCAAGACATTGGATTTGCAATGTCCTTTCATCAAAGAAACATGCCTGGCCTTTCTCTGTATCTGTCCTTTAGATAATGAGTCTCCCTTTCTGTGAAGGCCTTTATCACATGTATTGATTCCTTCTCAGATGCCTCAAGGAAGATCTGAGGACCCCTTTCTTCTTTCCCTCTCAGGTGCCTTAGTGTCTGGTTGAGTACACACTTCCCTCACTCTCTGCCCCCATGAATGACAGGGTAATTAAATAAATATCCCCAACCAAGGGACCTATGCTCCTCTATTTCCTCATTGCCTTTTGTTTGCCTTGATCCATGCAGCCATCTCATTCACATCTGTGGGAAGTGGCAGACCTAAATCCGACTTATCACCCTTCCTTCCTCTGAAAATATTCAATCCCCATGCCCCCAGGCTGCTGTCTTTCCCCTGGGCTGGGTACTAGGAAGTATCACCCCTCCTGCTTCTCAAATAAGCTATGATTACATTAGATGGGGCCCTGCTTGCTGGACGCATTTTGTGGATTAGGTTTACTGTGTGCTGCTTACCAGCTTGTCTGAGTGCAGGAGACAGAATACACTCATATGCAACAAGTTACACAAAGCAGATTTGTGACTTACAGGTAGGCAGCAAGGGACAAAAGAATGCTAGGATCTATGATGAGCTCGTTCCTGAAGACTCAAGAAAGCTGTCTAGGGCACATCGAGTCTCAGCTGTGCATTCCCCACTTGCACCACAGCTGAGGGGCTTTTTTTTTTTTTTTTTTTTTTTTTCGAGATGGAGCTTGGTTCTTGTTGCCCAGGCTGAAGTTCAATGGCACGGTCTCGGCTCACTGCAACCTCTGCCTCCTGGGTTCAAGCGATTCTCGTGCCTCAGCCTCCCAAGTAGCTGGGATTACAGGCGCCTGCCACCACGCTAAGTTTTTTGTATTTTTAGTAGAGACGGGGTTTCACAATGTTGGCCAGGCTGGTCTTGAATTCCTGACCTCAGGTGATCCACCCACCTTGGCCTCCTGAAGTGCTGGGATTACAAGGCATGAGCCACCACGTCCAGCCAGGACTCTTTAAGACAGCCTGTTCAGGGTTATATACCTCAGAGCCAATGTGAAACATTGACTTAAAGGTTTGAGGGACATCTTGCTTCCAGAGGAAAGAGCAACAGGCCCAGGCTAGTCCAGTCAGCCCCTCCTTATCTCACCATAATGTATTCCCAGCACAATCTACAGTAATTATTAAGACCTACAAGGAAGAAAGGGAAGAGAACTGGGTCAATCCAAGGCCACATGGAGAACTGTCCTGCACTGGCCAATTGTTTTGGCTGTAGTTTCAATACCAAGTTAATGTTTAGAGCTTTTGCATTGTGATTTCAGACTCTTTGATTAATATGGTGCTGCTGGGAATTCCACTGCTCCCTGTTAGTGCTGCCTATGGCAGTGGAAGCAGTTTCTCCAGGTTAGGCTACCAGGTGTCTGAGGTATGTGGTGAGGGGTGTGGTAGAATCCCCCAACCAATGTCCCCTGGCTACTCTGGGGTCATTGGGAAGAGAGTCTTAGGCCTGCAGGGACAAAGCAGCTTCTTAGGCCAGGCCACTTTCTCTACTAGGTCCCTCTTCCTGATTCTATTTTCCCACCTTTGTGCTTCCTGGTAGAAAAGGAAGCCTCAAGCTGTACTGGGAAGGAGAGCACCTCTCTTAGCATTTCTCCTAGCTGCTTCTCCTGGATGGTGGTGGGTGTCTCAAGCTAGTGGCTCCTGATTGATCCAAGGGAGGAAGGAGCTTACTTGAGGTATCTTCTGTTGCTAGATTGGGGGATTAGGAAAAATAAGTCTGAAGGCCTTCTTCAGGACTTCAGGGTACACAAGATGCCTTGCTGTTGTGCTGTTTCACCATTCCTTGCATATCAAACTAACTCTTCTTCTGTTTACCTCCATCTCTTAGAGCTTTTTCATGTTAGTCACATGTGTCATTTTCAAAATATACAGTTGTGCATAACAAAAAGAGGCGGGAAAAACATGGATCTGTGCCATATTGTCTGAATCCGAAGTTCCTTGCATACTTTATACTAAATAAGCTTTATCTGTGAGCTATATTACTAGTATTTTCTTTGCCTATAATTGTTTCAGGTGTCACATTTAAGAGTTTGCTTGATTATGATATTTAAATATTACAGAATGTATTTGCAGAATATATTTGCAGAATAACAATATTCTGCAAATAATGCCCTTGATATTAAAATTGAAAATCACTTTTCGTAATAGATCAAGGAAATTAGAACCTAATGATTTAATGGTGTACACAATTGCAGCATTAGTTTTCTATTCAAAGCAACATAAAATAAATGACAAATTGAAAGAAAAATAGGACTTTATTTACTCTATTCAAATATTAAAATAAATAATAATATGTCTATTGAAATGTCATAATCAGGATATCATTTATTCCAATTAATTGATTAAATATGTAATCAGTTAAATGTCATAGATTTTATTTTTATTTTTATAGAGGGAAGATGTCATTCTGTCACCAGGCTGGAGTACAGTAGCTGGATCATAACTCACTATAACCTCAAAAAAGCCTCCCAACTATCTGGGATTACAGGTGTGAGCCACCACGATAGGCTAATTAAATTTTTTAATTTTCTATAGAGATGAGGCTCTCCCTGTTACCCAGGCTTGTCTTGAACTCCTGGGCTCAAGGGATCCTCCCACCTCAGCCTCCCAAAGTGATAGGATTACAGGTATAAGCCATCATGCCTGGCCCTAGAATTTTTAAATTAATGGTGGTTGATACACATATTTACATTGTATTTTAGCCAGATTTACTGAGGTATAATTTACTTATGCAAAATTTACTAATTTATTTATTTATTTATTTATTTATTTATTTATTTATTTATTTTTTGAGACGGAGTCTGTCTCTGTTGCTCAGGCTGGAGTGCAGCAGCGCAATCTCGGCTCACTGCAAGCTCCGCCTCCTGGGTTCACGCCATTCTCCTGCCTCAGCCTCCTGAGTAGCTGGGACTACAGGCACCTGCCACCATGCCCGGCTAATTTTTTTTGTATTTTGAGTAGAGACGGGGTTTCACCATGTTAACCAGGATGGTCTCAACCTCCTGACCTCGTGATCCGCCCGCCTCGGCCTCCCAAAGTGCTGGGATTACAGGCGTGAGACACTGCGCCCGGCCGAATATTTCCATCATAGCATATACTCGAATGCATCTTAAAGTATTTATAAAGGTAATACTCATTGTATTTACTTATATGACTTTTTAATTAGATTATAAAATCCAGTTACCTTTTAGTATGCTCAAAATTGTGTCAAATAATATTAATTCTTGAGTTAATTATGCATTATAAATTATTGTCTCTTAATAAAATTTCACGTACACTTTCACTCTGTAAAGCTGGAATGCATGTGGAGTTGCTTCAATTTTTCTTTTTTGTTTGTTTGTTCGTTTGTTTGTTTGAGACAGAGTCTCGCTCTGTCGCCCAGGCTGGAGTGCAGCGGTGGGATCTCGGCTCACTGCAAGCTCCGCCTCCTGGGTTCACGCCATTCTCCTGCCTCAGCCTCCTGAGTAGCTGGGACTACAGGCGCCCACCATCGCGCCCAGCTAATTTTTTGTACTTTTAGTAGAGACGGGGTTTCACCATGGTCTCGATCTCCTGACCTCGTGATCCACCCGCCTCAGCCTCCCAAAGTGCTGGGATTACAGGCGTGAGCCACCGCGCCCGGCCTCAATTTTTCAATTGTATTTTCACTTTTCTCTTTTTATGCCTACCTAAATTTGTTCCCATAATTGAATTTATCATTTAGGAGTGAACTTTTGTTTAGGAAAATGTAATCTTTTTCATCAGCATACTCAATATTTCAATTTTCCATTATAGATTATAAGAATAAATCTTTAGGTAATATAGGCAAACAAAATTTAATATATAGAATTAGTTTCTTACACGATTGGAGAGTTGGTGGAGCAGGTCTTGGGCTGATCTTCTAAATGATTGCTAGAACTCCTCCAGAAAAACGACAGAGCTGGGACTGTTGCTCCTTTTGCCATGACTGAGAAGCTGGAGAATCAGGATCTCCTGTGCAACCACTGGCACTAAAATTATGCTAACTTTGCTATTTGTTTTTTTCCCAGTTTCAAAGTTTATCTTATTAACTTAAAATTTAAACAAAATTGTTAGTCTAAACATCATTAAATGTACTAATGGGAAACATATTTACATAGAGAATAATAAAATAATTTTTTGTAACTTGAGGCACATTGTCCATTTTACAAATGTACTTTTAGAAAAACTGCTTTGAGAAACAATAATTTTTTCTGTCATCCTTCATAAAAGCTAGACACACATTTCTAATGCAAATTTCTTTTTTTTTCTACTTTGATGTGGAAGCTGGGAAGCTCGAATGTTTGCATTTTAATTTAACAATACGAAGAAAAATTTCATCTGTTTCTCTCTACATTGTTGGCCTTAGACTTACTGTAGCAGCCTCCATTCATATCTCTTACAGGGGTACCTTATAGTTTCATATCAGGTCATTCCTGTTCCTCTTTCCTTTTGTGATGCACCTCTTCTTGCTAAAGATTTTGGTCACTATCTTTTGTTTTGTGTTTACTTATTTTAGCTTGTATATAAGTTCTGTTCTACACAACATTTCTGATTTACATGGCAGGAAATGTGTGAAACAGTTTGCCACCTTCCTGACTGATCTGGGCCTAAACTGTGCCCCTATACTTTGAATAAACAGTTGCATTCTCTAACACATATTTTATTTGATCCAAACAATACATTAGTCCAACTACCAAACACACATCTTAGATCCTCTGTAGCTGTAACATTTTCAACAGTCATATTTATGGAATCCATCTCCCTCTGTTATGTTTTTATTGTTATCCAAATAGAGGAGATAGATATAAATGAACTCACTCTGGTCAGCCAGGGACCACACAGTGGCTTAAGATATCTTAATCCAGGTATCTGCAGACTAACCCTAACCTAACAGTGAGTTGCTACCTTTGTTTTTTTTTTTCTCTAAGCATTAAAATACTTCTGTCATAGCTGCTTGCTTCTTGATCATAGGATCTCAGCCATGGTTCATATTTGAATAACACAGAATGTTGGCCACAGAACTAAGGACTGGACATTTGGTCATTTGTGACTGTCGTTACAGGAAAGTAAATGGTTTTGTTACACTGCTTGTCAGGAAAAAGAATAGGAAGGCACCTTCTATCTCAGGCTCTTTTCCTTAAAGAAGGTAGGTTTAATGTAAAACCTGAATTGTGAGTAAGCCTGGGGATATCATTTTTAGCTGTTCCAAATTGAGCAAGTTCTTAGTCAAACTACCAGAGTTTTGGAATATACCTGAGTAAGCCAGTCTGAAATAGCCGATGGTCCAGCTTAAGACTATTCAATATCCATGCACCTGCCTTTTCTAAAGCTTAAACTTCAAAAGAGTAACAGTAACAAGTACATGATCCTGTCAAATATAATTCAAATATATGTTGCACAAATTAAAATGCAGTGGTCCTATCCAAAATAGGTATCCATGATATTCACTCCTCTTCGGATTCAGTCTCAACTATGTCTTAATATCCTGAAATAAGATAATAAATTATGAAGTTATTCAAACCAGCCTACCCTAAAAATGATGGGAAAAATGGAAGATAAAATAAGACAAACAATTATATACATGACAATGCAGAAGAGAAGAAAACCCAAGAATGTATTACACACTTAATTTTATAACTGATCATGGAACTGTGGATGGTATTTGTACCATTCTTTTTATATTATTCATTCCACACTTCTCTATAGTATCCTAAATTATCCAAGTTTCCACAGCAAGAGCCCACTCTTCATGAACAGTGCCCTTAGTTGTCTTGTCAAATTGGAGTTGTTTTAATCTTCCATTAATGTTTACCACTTGACAGAAAATCCAAAAGGCATCTGAGGAGTCCAACTCCAGGCAGAAACCCTATGTGTAACCTTTCAGGCCTAACCATAGGCCATGACAATGGCTTTACCTGGCAGGCCTCACTAGAGAAAGATACTCTCCCTATACCAGAATTGGCAAACAGCCAGTGCATTACAATATCTAATGGGAGCTGCAGTCTAGGACTCATTCCCTGCTAGCCAACCATCCTCCTGTGCATGTCTGCCATTCAAGTCTCAGGCACCCCCATCTGAGCTATCCTTATTAGGGACCCTCAATAGAAAACCTTTGCAGAGAACTCCTTATGATAGGGAGAGAGGGATAAGGGAGAGGAGAAAGGGGAAACATTGAAATCATTATTCTCTATTCTGAATCAGAACTCAGTATTTTCCCATTCTTAGCCCTTCCTCCTCTTTCTGTCCCAAGGACCCAGGTCCATAAGATGAAAGGAGCTTTTTGTTCATGGCTCCTTGGTCAAAAGATCCTTGCTGAGAAAATTCGCACATCTGCATTTGTGCTGATCTACATGACCTTGGCCTGGAGCTGTTTCATGGGACAAAATGGAACATTGGAGGAGCTAGTGATCTTTCCTCTTTAGTTTCTTGCTTAAACTATCTCAGTTAGTAAAGATTTGACTGTTACTGTCATTTTGGCTTATTGTTTTAATTAGCTATTTCAACTCCATGGCAGCTTAGCTCTTGACAGCATTCTGGAAAGTACATAGGATTCTAGACATTTTTACTGCTTTTGTTATATGAATTACATGTCTTCATAATAAGGAATTAAGGCTGGGAGTGGTCACTTGTAATCACAACACTTTGGGAGGCCAAGGCGGGTGGATCAACTGAGGTCAGGAGTTTGAGACCAGCCTGGCCAACGTGGTGACTGAAATCCCATCTCTACTAAAAACGCAAAAATTAGCCAGGCATGGTAAAGTGCGCCTGTAGTCCCAGCTACTCGGGAGGCTGAGGCGGGAGAATCACTTGAACCCAGGAGGCGAAGGTTGCAGTGAGCCGAGACGATAGTGCCATTTCACTCCAGCCTGGACGACAGAGCAAGACTCTGTCTCAATAACAATAATAAGAATAATAAGGATTTAATATCCAAACCATTCTTGTAACATATTTAATATTGCCATTCAGTGGTAAATAAAAATAATATACAATCATGCCCTGCCTAATAAGAACATTTCAGTCAATGATGAACTACCTACAGAACAGTGGTCCCATAAGATTATAATGAGCCAAACAATTCATATATATATATGGAGAGAGGAGAGAGAGAAAGAGTTAACCATTAAACAGCCTCAGACAGGTCCTTGAGGAGGTATTCTATAAGGAAGCATTGTTATCGTAGAAGATGAAAGTTCCACGCATGTTATTGCCCTGGAAGACCTTCCAGTGGGACAAGATATAAAGGCAGAAGACAGTAATATTGATAATCCTGACCCTGTGTAGGCCTCAGCTACTGTATGTGTTTGTGTCTTATTAATAAAATGTTTTAAAAGTAAATAATATAAATTTAAAAACTTTATTTTTCTTTTTTTATTTTATTATTATTATACTTTAAGTTTTAGGGTACATGTGCACAATGTGCAGGTTAGTTACATATGTATACATGTGCCATGCTGGTGTGCTGCACTCATTAACTCGTCATTTAACATTAGGTATATCTCCTAAAGCTATCCCTCCCCACCTCACCCCACCCCACAACAGTCCCCAGAGTGTGATGTTCCCCTTCCTGTGTCCATGTGTTCTCATTGTTCAATTCCCACCTCTGAGTGAGAATATGCGGTGTTTGGTTTTTTGTTCTTGCGATAGTTTACTGAGAATGATGATTTCCAATTTCATCCACGTCCCTACAAAGGACATGAATTCATCATTTTATGGTTGCATAGTATTCCATGGTGTATATGTGCCACATTTTCTTAATCCAGTCTGTCATTTTTGGACATTTGGGTTGGTTCCAAGTCTTTGCTATTGTGAATAGTGCCGCAATAAACATACGTGTGCGTGTGTCTTTATAGCAGCATAATTAATAATCCTTTGGGTATATACCCAGTAATGGGATGGCTGGGTCAAATGGTATTTCTAGTTCTAGATCCCTGAGGAATCTCCACACTGACTTCCACAATGGTTGAACTAGTTTACAGTTCCACCAACAGTGTAAAAGTGTTCCTATTTCTCCATATCCTCTCCAGC
Organism: Homo sapiens; assembly: GCF_000001405.40. Taxonomy (NCBI): domain Eukaryota; kingdom Metazoa; phylum Chordata; class Mammalia; order Primates; family Hominidae; genus Homo; species Homo sapiens. Next base: position 41,622,533 of record NC_000009.12, on the reverse strand, counting down.
ACCTGTTGTTTCCTGACTTTTTAATGATTGCCATTCTAACTGGTGTGAGATGGTCTCTCATTGTGGTTTTGATTTGCATTTCTCTGATAGCCAGTGATGGTGAGCAATTTTTCATGTGTTTTTCGGCTGCATAAATGTCTTCTTTTGAGAAGTGTCTGTTCATGTCCTTTGCCCACTTTTTGATGGGGTTGTTTGTTTTTTTCTTGTAAATTTGTTTGAGTTCATTGTAGATTCTGGATACTAGCCCTTTGTCAGATGAGTAGGTTGCAAAAATTTTCTCCCATTTTGTAGGTTGCCTGTTCACTCTGATGGTAGTTTCTTTTGCTGGGCAGAAACTCTTGAGTTTAATTAGATCCCATTTGTCAATTTTGTCTTTTGTTGCCATTGCTTTTGGTGTTTTGGACATGAAGTCCTTGCCCATGCCTATGTCCTGAATGGTAACGCCTAGGTTTTCTTCTAGGGTTTTTATGGTTTTAGGTCTAAGGTTTAAGTGTTTAATCCATCTTGAATTAATTGTTGTATAAGGTGTAAGGAAGGGATCCAGTTTCAGCTTTCTACATATGGCTAGCCAGTTTTCCCAGCACCATTTATTAAATAGGGAATCCTTTCCCCATTGCTTGTTTTTCTCAGGTTTGTCAAAGATCAGATAGTTGTAAATATGCGGCATTATTTCTGAGGGCTCTGTTCTGTTCCATTGTAGAAAAAAGCTTATATAATAAGGGTATAAAGAAAGAAAATATTTTTTGTACAGATGTTCAATGTGTTTGTGTTTTAAACTAAGCGTTATTGCAAGAGTCAAAAAAATTATAAAGTAAAAAAGATACAGTAAGCTAAGGTTATTTTATTATTACAGAATAGTTTTTAGAAATGTAATGTAGCCTAAGTGTACAGTGTTTATTAAGTCTACAGTAGTGTTCAGTAATATCTAAAGACTTTGCTTTCTCTCACCACTCACTCACTGTCTCATCCAGAGCAACTTCTAGGCCTGCAAGTGCCATTTATAGTAACCATCCTATACAGGTGTGCAACTTTTTATTTTTTATACCATATCTTTTTATTGTATGTTTTCTATGTTTAGATATAAAGATGTTTATCATTGTGTTTCAATTGGCTACATTATTTAATATAGTAACCTGATGTAAGGGCTTGTAGCCTAAAAGCAATAACTTCTACCTTATTGCCGAAGTGTGTAGTAGGCTACACCATCTAGGTTTGTAAAAGGACACTATGATGTTCACCTAGGGAACACATTTCTCAGAATGAATTCTCATCATTAATCAACTCAAGACTGTACTTATAAGTGAATCCACTGTCATTACTATAGTTCAGGTCACCTTAAGTTTCTTCTTGGACTTGCCAATGAACTGTGGAATTAAGAAGCTCTCTGCCTACAGTCTTGTTTATCTATTGTAATCTGTTTCTTGTAGTCCCTATTTTAGATCTCATTAATGTCTTGTCACTTCCATTAGAGTAAATTATAAACACTTTGGATGGCCTGAAGACATTTGTAATTTATCCTAAACTCATCTCTACTCTCATCGCTTGACATCTCCCTCTTCTACCCACACATATATATTTAAGCCCACGTAATTACTGCAATTACCCCAAATTCTGTACTTCTCACCAGTGTCTTGCAAAACCCACTCCATCTAACTAATAAGACTTTTCATTTAACTCTCCAGTTGTAGTTGATATTCTAGTTTCAAACTCTATTTTCTCTGTGAAGGCTGTACTGATATCACAATTTTGTTTCTTCAGTGTGAGCATTGGCAGCCTGTGGCCTATGGTTTTGGTACAGCCTGCAAGGTAATAATGGTTTTTAGAGATTTAAATGATTGAAACAATTTTTTAAAATAACATTTTGTAGCATATAACGATTGCAGAAAGTAAAAACTGCAGTGTTTTCATAAATAACAAGGTTTTTTTTTGGACACAAGATCATTCACTTACATGTGGTCTATAGATGTTTTCAGGCTATTATGTCAGAGTTGAGTGGTTGCAACAGAAACTGCATGATTGTCAAAGCCTAACATACTTAAAATCTGACCCTTTGTAGAAAAAGCTAACATTTGATCTAAAGTTTTCTGTAAAGATACATCTACATTATGTTTATCGTAATTTATATTTATCTGCCTACTGGTTGCAGTTTTGAAAAACTATAATCTTCCAGAAAATGGAAACTATAATATTTTTAATTAGACCTCAAGCAAAATTATTTTAAAATGTGGTCTCAATTTTTAAGAAAGTGGGGAAGTATGCTTTTTTTTCTTTTGTTAAACTTCTTTGCTTCCAGTCCAAGAAGTGACTGTCATTTATTTTTATCTTATTGCTTCCTTTCTCATATTAGCTTGATAAAAAGTAATGAAATAATATTCAGGTTTCTTAGTAGAGTCATGTTGTAAACATAAACTTTTTTTTTCTAGCCACTCTCAAAAAATGGAAAGCATCTGCTTTATGAGTCACCTAATTAATGACATTGAATTATCTAGTAAGTGGACTCTTCAGGTTAATTAAATATCTTCATTAACTTTTTCACTGCTTTTAAAAATAACATTTACACATTTATGCTAATAGGTTCATCATGTGTCCTTAATCAGTTATTTAGCTTTGGTGCAGAGTTAATAATTCCAATATTTGTTCAAACTGAAGAAAATCCAGGACTCAAAAAAGAAAGGATATTTTATTCAGGTTTTGAGAAAATCATAAGTAAAACCCCCAACTTATTTATCAATAATTGTATGTTACATACATTTCCATATTTACAATTTTGATAAAATAGTTAAAATTAATATTTATCTTTAATAATTTAAATATTAATTAGTTATGTATTTATTGGCTCATATTATTTACATTATATATATATTTATATAATTTGCAGTCTGACAATGCAATAGAAAAAAAACCAAAACATTTTCTGAGAAGAAATTCAAGCCAGCTGCAGAAATGTGCATAAGTAACAAGAAGCCAAATCCTAATCATGAAGACAATGGGAAAAATGTCTCTAGGCCATGTCCTAGGTCTTCACAGCAGCCCCTCCCATCACAGACCCAGAGGCCTAGGGGGAAAAAATGTTTTCTGGGGACAGGCCCAGGGCCCCTCTCTGTGTGCAGTCTAGGGACTTGGTGCCCTACATCCCAGCCACTCCAGCTGTGACTAAAAGGGACCAAGGTACAGCTTGGGCCAGGTTGTCAGAGGTCGCAAGCCCCAAACCTTGGCAGCGTCCATGTGGAGTTGAGCCTGCATGTGCACAGAAGTCAAGAAGCAAGGCTTGGGAGCCTCAGCCTAGATTTCAGAGGATGTATGGAAATGCCTGGATGTCCAGGAAGAAGTTTGCTGTGGGGGAGGGGGGGTGATCATGGAGAGCCTCTGCTAAGGAAGTGGGGAAGGGAAATGTGGGGTTGGAGCCCCACACAGAGTCCCCACTGAGGCGCTGCCTGTGCGAGAAGAGGACCACCATCTTCCAGACCCCAGAATGGTAAATCCACTCACAGCTTGCATATGCACCTAAAAAAACCTCAGATGCTCAACACCAGCCTGTGAAAGCAGCTAGGTGGAAACCGTACCTTTCAAAGCCACAGGGGCAGAGCTGCCCAAGTCCATGGGAGCCCACATCTTGCATCAGCATGACCTGGATGTTAGACATGGAGTCAAAGGAGATCATTTTGAAGCGTTAAGATTCAACTGCCTTGCTGGAGTTTGGACTTGCATGCGGCCTGTAACCCCTTTATTTTGGCCAATTTGTCCTGTTTGGAATGGGTATAGTTACCGAATGCCTGTACCCCCATAGTATCAAGAAAGTAACTAACTTTCTTTTGATTTTACAGGCTTATAGGTAGAAGGGACTTGTCTTGTCTCAGATGAGACTTTGGACTGTGGACTTCTGAGTTAATGCTGAAATGAGTTAAGACTTGAGGAACTGTTGGGAGGGTATGATTGGTTTTGAAACTTGAGGACACATTTAGAGGGGACACAGGCAAAATAATATGGTTTGGCTCTGTGTCCCCACCCAAATCTCATCTTGAATTGTAGTTCCCATAATTGCCATGTGTTATGGAAGGACCTAGTGGGAGATAATTGAATCATGGAGGCAGTTTCCCCTATACTGTCCTTGTGGTAGTCAGTAAGTCTCACACGACCTGATGGTTTTATAAGGGGTTTCTGCTTTTGCTTGGTCCCCATTCTCTCTCTTGCCTGTTGCCATGTAAGACATGACTTCTGCCTTCCACTATGATTGTGAGGTCTCCCCAGTCATGTGGAACTGTGAGTTCATTAAACCTCTTTTTCTTTATAATTTACCCAATCTCAGGTATGTCTTTATCAGCAGTGTGAAAACAGACTAATACACTGTCTTTAACATTTTTTCTATTGTTTTGACCTTGGAAACTGATGATTATTTGTCTTCAAGATGATCTTTTTGTGGAGTATCTTACTGAAGTTCTCTGTATTTCTTGAATTTGAATGTTGACCTCTCTATCTAGGTTAGGGAAGTTCTCATGGATGATATTTTGATCCATGAGATCAAAAATATCAAAAGTCAACTTTTGCTAAGTTGACTCCATTTTCTCTATCCTTTTTAGGTACACCAGTTGTAGATTCAGTCTCTACATAATCCCATATTTCTCAGAGGTTTTGTTCATTCTTTTTCATTCTTTTTTTCTATTCTTATCTGCCTATCTTATTTCAGAAAGCCATTCTTTAAGCTCTTAGATTGTTTCCTCCACGTGGTCTATTCTGCTGTTAATACTTACGATTGCATTGTGAAATTCTTGTGGTGTTTTTCAGCTCTATCAGGTTGGTTATGTTCTCTATACTGGCATTTTGTCTGCCAGGTCATGCAATGTTTTATTGTGATTTTTAGCTCTGTTGTATTGGCTTACAACATACTCCTATAGCTCAATGAATTTGATTACTGTTTATATTCTGAATGCTATTTCTGCCATTGCAGCCTCAGCCCTGTTCTGAACCCTGGCTGGAGAGGTGATGCAGTTATGTGGAGGTAGGAAGTTACTCTGGCTTTTTGAGTTTTCAGTATTCTTGCACTGATTCTTTCTCATCTTTGTGCACTTATCTAACTTCAGTCTTTGAGATTGCTTACCTTTGGACGGTATTTTGTTTTCTTTCATCCTATTTGATGATGTCGAAGATTTGTTTGTGTTATAAGGTAGATTCAGCTGACTGGCTTCATTTCTGGGAGATTTTATGGCACCAACACTCAGCTCCCAACTTCTGGACTGTGTGCTCTAACTCTGGGGGACTTGTATTAGGCCCCAGCTTTGTTCTCTTGTGTTGGGTCCATCCCGCACACTCTGGCTGAGCGACCAATGAAAAAAGTATTCAGACACAGTTATTTTGCCTGAGAATGCAGCTAGGGGACTGCACTGCTTAGCATCACCAATGAGAGTACAGTCCCACTAAGCCAGAGAACTTTGTATTAATTTAGTACAGATTTGAAGACAAAGGCCTGGAGCAAACATAATTTGTGGGAAATTAACATTGTTGACCCCCAAGTAGAGAGCAGTCTTGCACATGAATGATCAAAGGTTGGTTTCCTGAGACATAAGTAAACCAATTTTTCTAGATATGTTTCTTTACATTCCCTTGTTATCTAACCTTTGCCCTTAAGAGAATTTAGCTGCCTTCAGCTAAATTATTCTCCAAAGTTTTTGGCCTTCCAAGAAGGTTTGCATTTTTCCCTATAACTTTTCTTACATCTTCTCCCATCACCCTTGAGGCTGGAAATTAAAGAAAGAAAAGTAAAATTAAAAAGAGAAAGAAACAATCTTTCTGTATTAGGCTGACTCATCCCAAAGGCAGTAACAGGCAAAGCCCAGACCCAGACAAAGTCTCGATAGCATTATCTAAGAAGCTGGGGCTCAAAGAATGTGCTCTGGAGAGTCTCCCAGCGCTCCCTCAACATAGGGAGAAGAAAAACAAATTTTCCTTTCTCTTTTGATTCTGTTATTCATCTAAGCAGCACAGTGAAGATCATGAGACACCTGAGCAGGCCTGGATTGCAGTCCCCTAGATGCCATAGCAAATGTTATGAGATAAGCCCATGCAAAGCACTGGAACAAGCCTAGATAACAGCTATCTGGGCTGCATAGCAAGAGTCATATGTAAGCCTGAGTTGTGAACTTGTCGTAGTATGATTGACTGCCTTTGTTCTTCTTCTGTATCCTTGCTTTTGAATCATTATACTTTGCACCACTGTAAGCTTGTTTCAAGTTAGACCACCCCCTTTTAGAAGTGTGCGTAAAAGGCAAGTGCTGTCTTTGTTCAGGGTCCAGTCTTTGGATATTAATCTGCTGGTTCTGAGTGCACTCAATAAAAATCCTTCTGTTTCACCTACCAATCTCTCCAGTCTCCTGATTCCCACAACAACCTGATCGATCTCTTACACTGTGGCTCCTCGAGATTTGGAGTCCACTGTGCTGGGGATAGCAAACTGCAGTACCTGCAGCAAAGTACTAGTGGATATAGGGGTGTCTGCCTCTCTGCAGGTGTTCTCCACAGTATTGGAGGCAAGGCAGCTGTTGGGGGAGCAAGGGCCTTCTGCTGGAGACAGAGTGCACTGCTGCACTGTAGGTGGTGATGGCTTGGGGTGGGGTGCTGGCCAGTGGAGGTCTTGGCGCCTTATCTGTGGTCTGCAAGCAGGAGCAATTGCTCAGGTTGTGGGGGGATCCCCTGCTCTGTGTGCAGCACAGCACAAGGGCAGGGCACTGGTGTAGATGGGGCTTGATGACTCTGTGCCCAACAAGGATCCATCTGCAGTGGTGGTTGGTGGGGATTATGGGGGGCACACTGCATTCCCATGTGCTGTTGAAGCAAGTAAAGCCCACCCATGCAGATATATGCCAGCAAAGTGATGTGGGGAGTTGCTGTCTCATATCATTTTTAATAAATCTTCTGATATTGTCTCAAATCTTGGAAACCTATGTCAGCTCAAAAAGACATCCTTGTATAAAACTGAAATGCTTCTACCTTTAAAATGTATATGTGATAGATTATTTATTCATAGTAGCTGAATTTAATGCAATTAATGTTGTAATGAATACAGGACATATTAATATGCTAAGAGTAGACTACTTAAATGTTTGCATTTTCAGTAACTCAAATATAAGCATGTCTATACATGAACTAAAACAGAATTTTGCCCAAATCACTCAAAAAATTAGTTAAATTAAATATGTTTAAAATATACTTAAATACTTTGTATATAATAGATTGTCAAGTAATTAAAATAATTTACATGTTTTATTTAGGTGTCCTCAACTTTAAAAATATATATCTACATATAATTTACATTATATTACTGACCACATGGCTAAATATGATAGTTTTGCAGAAATCAATTCATATTAATTATGAAAGACCTACTTTTGGTAAAAATATTTCTCAAGTTTGATATCAATTCTGACTCTATTATTGACATTGATGTTAAATGTAAACCTCTGTTTTTGTCTAAAATTTGATGCTACAAAATATTTCTGTTGTCCATATTCTTCCAGGGACAGAATATCATGAATTAGCATTTTTTTTTACTTATATATCACAATATCACATACTCAGAAAGCTGTTTTGATAAAATACAACTTTATCAGTCATTGCCCAATACTGCAATTATATGTCACAAATGTATCTGTATAACGAAACGTAACATATGCAAATTTTTTTGCTGATTATAATTAATGAATCAACCAAATGAGAAAAAAACTCTCAATTCGATATTGACTTAAATTTTCCAATTTACTAAAAGTGTTGGTAATATTTGTTTTAAATATTTAAATGTTTGAATCATATGAATATGTGAAATGAATAAATATTAACGGTATCTTTTACAAGCAGACACTTCAACATTTTGGAGAGGTAAGTGCAAACATATTTTTTGTGTGTTCATTCACGTATAAACAATCTGTGATTAACTTTGATCATACTCCTAAAAAGACTAGGATTTTTTTCTGTTTTGTTTATTTTTATATAAAATTTACATAAAATAGGGTGAACAAATTTAAGTAATATTTATAAGTTTTGACAAATGCATATACATATATAATTAAAATATAGTAATGTTTACTATTATGTTGTAGTAACCATCATACCACAAAGTCCACTCATGTTCTTTCTCATTTAACTGCATCTCCATTCCCAAGGCAACAACTATTCTATTTACAATAGAATAGTTTTTGTCTTCCAGAAATTCATATGAATGGAACCATACAACATGTACTTTTGTGTACAGATTAGTTAAAATAATGTTTTTGATATTCATAAATGCTGTTGCATATATAAATAGTTGGTCTCTTTCAATAGGTAGGTGGTATTTTCTTGTGTGAATATACCAGATTTTTTTCTATTTGTTGTTGAACACATCAGCTTTACTATTTTGGGGTAATTAAAAGTTAATTCATTATTACAATTCTTATTCAAGTCTTTCTGTGGAGAAGAGTTTTTACTCCTTTTGAATAAGTGCCTAGGAGTGACTTGATTATAGGGAAGTTGGGTGGATGAATAATTACTTTTATAGAAAACAGCCAAATTGGTTTTCAAATAGTTGCAAATTTATTTAATTTAAATTGTCATTTTGTAAAAGTATTTTTAAACATATTTTTCTTTGGTAGGTTACATGTGACAGTACATGTATAGTAGTTGAATATCTGCTGACATCTTTATTTTTACAAAAATAAATTCTACTTCCATTCAAGTGCACAAATATGACCCAATAAATTTTCCTAATATCTCTTTCTAGTTAATACCTCTCATTAATGAAGCAACCACTTTTCTCATATCTGCACAGTAGTTGTATCTGTTTTTGGAATTAAAACAGTGTGCACTAATTTCTGCCTGGCATCTTTTGGTTCAACATGTGTTTGAGATTAATTGTGTCATTGTGCGTATCAAAAGCTCATTATTTGTTAATTGGTGAAAGGTAATCTCTCTTGTGTGATTATGTCACACAATGTTTATCCACTTTTCTTTGATAGACATTTAGAATTTTTCAAATTTTTGACTATCTTAAATAAAGTTTCCATATACATGTTTATACAACTTATGTTTGGTTATGTTTTTTCTGATCGAGGGCCTGTAAACACCTTATAATGGAGTTCTTTGTCATAGTATAGGTGTATGCTTAACATTATGAGAAAATAAGATATTTCCAAAGAGTTTTCAGAAGTTTTTAAAACATTTTACATTTCTACCATCAAGGTATGAGAGTTCCAGTAGCTCTAAATCCTTACAAAACTTTGTGCTGCCAGTCTCTGTGAATCTATTAAAGAAATTTTAACCTAACTACAGTTTAATATAATGGAAGTTTTTGTTAATGTTATCTTTGTGAGTGCTGGATATTTTGTATTTCTGTACAAAATATGAGCTTTTTCTCTAGGACACAGTTAATTTGTTCAAAACCGCTTGATCCTTTTAGATACTTCTTTTATGATTTTTTGATGCGTTCAACTCAGTACTCAGTTTAAATCTAATTAATTTCTACCCCTGAGGCAAGACCTTTTAAATTGCTTTACCAAATGCACTGTGAATTGAGCTTTTTTCTTTCATTTGGCTGGCAAATACAGGTATAATCCAGGTCATATGTGAATGTCAGGCACTGGTTTTTGTTGTTGTTATTGTTTGTTTGTTTTTAATCTTTGAAGATGCTTGTTTCCCTGGCAGTGAGCAGATTACTCACATGTATACACTAATCAGTATTCTGCTAAGCACTGAAAGGAGAACATCTGTAGATATCAGAGATTTCTCTCTTTGAATCTCTAGCTTCTCAGACCTAGAAACTCTAATTACCTTAGTCTCCTGGAACTCTTGGCTTTGTACAACTCTAGGAGCCCACTTTCTCTGCCCCACTGCTGGAAACTCTAGCCACTAAATTAGGGCAGTAGCAGGGTTTAACTCCTTTGTTTTCTGTCTTTCGGGAAGTACTTCATTCCCTCATATCCAGAGTCTTGTATTTCTGTGGGTGTTTCCTTGATTTTGTTTTTCAAGCAAGAAGATAAATCTAGCCTTCGGGTAGTCTTTCTTTAATAATTAGTGAGGGGTACTATTATACCTCATTACATATTTGTGTTTCTTCATTCAAAATATTTCTGTTCAGAGTAAATCCTGACATCAGAAGCAAGATATTCTGAACTATTTTGGGGTATTTTGAATTCAGGAACATTTCAAAACGGAGCAGCAGGCATGTTGATGGTATTTAACAATGTCATGTCTCTTATTCTCTGAATATTGTCGAAGTGTGAAATTCTCTTAAGAGTCACTTGAGAGCATAACAAAGCTAAGAGGTGGGCAATAAATATTAAATGTTCAAACTTGCCCTCTTCACATATTTAAACATAGCCTTTCTTTTCAGCTACTTCTAACACTCTTTTTAGAGTAAGTCATTAACTAGGAGGAATAACATCTTTGAAAAAGTGAAGCAGTGTAGGATAATGTTTCCCTTATGTTAAGTGTATCTGTTAGGTTTTCTGGTGTATTTTCAGCAGACTTCAATTAAAATATGTAAATAAAATGTTGTATAGTATCTTTCAAATATAGAATTCTGTTTTAATAAACATGTTTATCCAAACATATCATGAAGTAATTATTATAATTATGGCTGATATATCTTTGCTTTATTTAATAAAATGATTAATAACATTAACTTTCTGTTTTCAAAATTTAAAATATTATATGTTAGCAGAGAGAACAATTTATAGCGATATGTACATTTTTTTCCATTAAGTACACTGGTATAGTTTAATAATAATGCCTAATAAGATCAATGGAATTATTTCTTGTTCATTTATATGTCATTTACCTAATTATTCTCAAACTCAGAATGCAAAGGGAAATCAATTATGTTACTATGCCTTTGTCATAACTATTGCCTCATAAATAGCATGCATTTAGATACACGCTTCATACTATTGCAATTCAAATACTGTGAAATACCAACTCAATTTACCGTTGTTTTGTAATTTTTTGGAAATGAAAAATTTCTTATCCACCTAAATGTAATCTTAACTAGAATGCTTTGGTAAACTTTCTTAACAAATTTTTCTTCATTATACTTACATGTATTTTGTGATATAATACAATGTACGTACAGTTTCAGTTATATCAGTTTTTAAGAAGATTTGTATTTTCCCCCCGATATAATGAAAATTGATTTGGCAGTGACTACTAGCATTACAAAGGTGGTTGGCATTTTAATAACTTGAATGAGAAAATCTGCAGCTCCATATCAGTGTGTAGCAACACAAATACATTTTATCAAAAAAGAAAATAATTTGCCTGAACAGTTAACTGAAGTTAACATTATTTTTATTTTTAATCTTCAAGATTAAATCCGGATAAACAATACCACTATACTAAAAACATAATCAACATACTTGATAGTTTTATATATTAGGTAATAGATTTTTGATGTGAATACCTAAAATGGAAAAAAGTGAGTATTTTTAATTCTTGGATTATAAAGCCTTTATAAGATAAATGATTTCAAATTACTTCCTTCAAGTGTAGCACAAATTTTGAACTTTATCAATTTATTTCCTTTATCTACAGAGGTGATCAAACTCTTGATTTTTTGGTTTAATCTTTACTACAGGCTTATAGATTATATTATTTTTCTCAATTATTAAGTCTCCACCTGTATCAAAAAATGATGCATATCTACTTCTGTCAGGTAACGGCAGATAATATTAATAGATATATAAATATTTTATAAAACCTTCTTAAAGGAAGAAAATGGTAAGTATGTAAGGAATTACTTGATCAAAAATCACTTTGGGAGGTTGAGGTGGGTGTATCACGAGGTCAGAAGTTTGAGACCAGCCTGGCCAACATAGTGAAACCCCATGTCTACTAAAAATACAAAAATTTGCTGGGCATGGTGGTGAATGCCTATAGTCGCAGCTACTTGGGAGGCTGAGGCAGGAGAATAGCTTGAACCCAGGAAGTAGAGGTTGTGGTGAGCCAAGATCACACCAATGCACTCCAGCCTGGGCAGCAGAGCAAGACTCTGTCTCAAAACAAAAAGAAAGTATGAGAATTAATTAGGGCTAAAGTATCTGATATTTTTCGAGAAGGTTGTTTGATCCAGAAGAAACTCAATGGTGGATAAGTGAGAAGGCAGTAGTAGAAATGTCAGGCAAAAATGGGAAGTTTTCTTGGAAATCCACTTCCTAAAACCTGTGCTATTGTTTTAAAGGCCTGAAATATCAGAGTATGTTTAAAACAAACGATTACTGGCCCTTGTCCCTCCACTTCCGGGAAAATGTGTGGATTGCTGTCCTGAAAATGAATAAACCAGGTTAAATAGTAGAAATGGGAAAAGTTGTGGTTTTGAAGGATAGTCCACAGGCTGGCTGTCACAGCAGGAAGCTACTAATTTAATTTATATCGTTCTTAAAGTAATCTACAGAGATAACTAGTAAAGATAAAGAAAATGATTCTATATAGGAAGTCATCATTCCAGGATTTGAGGAATCCTTCCAAGTAATTTTGGCAGAAGCAGTAAGCATCATGCTTTCAAAGCTAATAAAGAATGCAAGGAAACAGGACACATTTTGCAATAAGTAGCAGGAAAAATAATGAAAAAAGTCACAAAAATTGCAGATCTGGTATTATTACAGACACATTGAAAAACATGTATTGTATTATGTTCTAAGAAGTAAATTTGAAAATATCTGCCAAATGAAAACAATACAATGTAATCTTTCAGTTTTAACATGAAACTAATAACAAATTTTAAAGATAAATGATATTATGACTAAAATTAAACATTAGGAGCATGAGTATGATAATATTTTGGACACAGCAAAAGAGCTAGATCACTGGAAGCTAAATCAGAAAAGCAAATGAGCACAGTTCAATACAGTGAGATGAAAAAATGGAAATGTAGAAGAGTGGTTATCACAAATAATGAGTTGTGTGAGGTGATATATTTAAATAGAGAGCTAGAATAAAATAAATGGAGCAGATAAATATGTGAATACTTAATGGTTTAAACTTTCCAAAATGATGAAAGATACACGTGTCCATTCAAGAAACACAGTAAATTTCAAGGAAAAAATAACCACTGAATTAACACTTAACAATAAATCTGATGTGAGAGAAAGAGAGAAAATGAGAGCTGGAAAGACAGAGAGTGACAGAGAAAAAGAAATCCTTAAAACAACCATAGGGGGAAAAAAAAAACACTTTAAAATGTGGCAGCCGTACTACTTATTAAGAGCAACATAGTAACCTAAATACGTTTTATAATTTACTTCCTTTTGTCACACTAAAGATATCTTGATTTACAATCTTGATTTTTAAACCCAATATATAAATCCTTAATTTATGAACACCTGATACTCACCAAGGAAACCCTAAAAGACAGAAGAGCCAAAATGGCCATCAAGACAGAGCCAGGAAGATCCTCCACTGAAAGAGCTGACTATCAAGAAAACCAGCACACTCTGAGCAGATCTTCAAAAGGAAAGCATTGAGAGTGGAAGGAGAGAGGATGGAGACACTGGGCTAAAGGATCAGAAAGCTGGGAACCCAGCATGGGGTTGTGGAGCACCAGGACTCATTCCTGGCCCTGAAAGGTGAGGGAGGGGGTGAGTTAAATACGATGGAGTGGCTTACTCTTTCCAAAGAGCTCCAGAATCCTAGCTTTAGGAGACTTCACAATCCCCATGGACATTCGAGCTAGCAAGGAGAGTTGCTTGGAGAAGTAGCAAAGACAGGATTCCAGTATGTGTAGAGCCCAGATAGTTTGACATAAGAATGGTTCCAGTGAAGCACAGCCAGGGACACCCATTTCCTAAGGCTTACCACACGCCTCTGAGTGACTTAGGTCATTATTGATTGTCAGACCTCCACAGAGAAGGGCTGTCTTGCCCATGGGATATGCCAGTGTGATTAGATGCTCTCCTGTCGACTGGACTCTCCTGGGGTCCCCGCCAGGCCATACCCTCTTGGAGGGCAGCTTTGCATGCCCAACGAGGGTGCTTCTCAGTGGCCATCACCATAGCAGCAGACTCTACTCTGCTCTCATTGGAGAGCTTCTGCAAATATACCTCCAACAGTGCACACCTACTTACAGTCCCCCCTCACTGCATTGCCGGCATGCACTGTGCACAGTCTCCAATCACTGTTTCGCCAGTGTGCACATATGCAGAGTCCTCACTGCAACTGCATGGGCCCCACTGGTGTGTGTGTATAAACCCTGACAACCTGCCACTGCCAGGGTGAGTATGAGTATAACATGCCACACTGCACCCCTGCTGCAGCTGGTGCACATGTGCGTAAGCATGGACCCCTCAGCAAATGCTCCAATGAAGCATTTTTGTTGGCATCCCCCGTTGGACTGTTGTTGCCAGTGGACTGAGAATGCTGTGGCCCTGTCAGTGCAGCAGGTACTTCATCTTGAGGGGGCATATAACAAAGCTGTGGGCCAGGTCCCAATCCCCCCAGTGTTAGAGCACACATCCCAGGAGAGCTGAGCTGAGCCTTGGCCACCTGAAATCATCCAGAGATGAAGCTAGTCAATTAAATGCAACTTATAGCATAGTAAACCCTTAACGGCATCAAAGTATACAAGTAAAAAGCCCCATCCAAAACAAACAAACAAACTAACTTCAACGATTAAAGGAACATTAGCTCACAGAGATGAGAAAGAACCAGAACCAGCATAACTACACTGGCAATTCAATAACCCAGAGTGTCTATTTTTAGATGACCACACTAACTCCCCAGCAACAGCTGTTAACCAGACTGAAAAGGCTGAAATAATAGACAGAATTCACAAGCTTGATGGTAATGAAGGTTACTGAGATTCAGGAGACAGTTAAAAGCCCATCCAAAGAATCTAAGGAATCAATTAGAAAGAAACAAGAGCTAAGAGACGATATAGTCATTTTTTTAAAAGACCCAAACTCTTGCCAGGCACAGTGGTTCACATCTGTAATCGCAGCAATTTGGGAGGCCGAGGCAGCCAGGTTACCTGAGTTCAGGAGTTCGAGACCAGGCTGGCCAACATGGTGAAAACCCATCTCCACTAAAAATACAAAACTTAGCCAGGCATGGTGGCACACACCTGTAGTTCCAGCTACTCGGGTGACTGAGGCAGGAGACTGGCTTGAATTCAGAGGTTGCAGTGAGCCGAGATCACACCACTGCATTCCAGCCTTGGTGCCTTGGTGACAGAGCAAGACTCCATCTCACACACACACACACACACACAAAAAAAAAAAAAAAAAAAAGGAAAGAAAGACAATGACCCAAACTCGTCTAAGAGCTGAAAAACTCACTATGAGCATTTCATTGTTTAACTGGAAGTATTAACAACAGAAAGGACTAAGCTGAGGAAAAAAACTGAGAGCTGTGAGATGGATTCATTGAATCAACTCAGTTAAACAAATATAAAGGGGTGGGTCACTGTATTAGTCTGTTCTCATGCTTCTATAAAGAACTGACTGAGACTGGGTAATTTAGAATCAAAATAGTTTTAATTGACTCACAGTTCTGCATGGCTGGGGAGGCTCCAGGAAACATACACTTATGGTGGAAGGGGCAGCAAACATGTCCTTCTTGATATGGCTGCAGGAGGGAGAAGTGCAAAGTAAAGTGGGGGAAAGCCCCTATAAAACCTTCAGCTCTCATAAGAACTCACTCATTATCATGAGAACAGTATGATCCCCATGTCTAATCACCTCCCATGATGTCCTTCCCCCAACATGTGGGGATTACAATTTGCATTACAATTCAAGATGAGATTTTGGGTAGGGACACAAAGCCAAACTATATTATTCTGTCCATGGCCCCTCGCAAATCTCATGTCCTCACATTTCAAAACACAATTATGCCTTTCCAAGAATCCCCCAAAGTCTTAACTCATTTCAGCATTAACCTGAAAGTTTGAGTTCAAAATCTCATCTGAGAAAAGGCAAGTCCCTTCCACCTATGAGCCTGTAACATCAAAAGCAAGTTAGTTATTTCCTAGATACAATGGGAGTGCAGATACTGGGTAAATACACCCATTGGAGATAGGAGAAATTGACCAAAACAAAGGAGCTATAGGCCCCATGCAAGTCTGAAATCCAACAGAGCAGTCATTAAACCTTAAAGTTTCAAAATGATGTCCTTTGACTCCATGTCTCACATCCAGGTCACACAGATGCAAGAGATGGGATACCATGGCTTTGGGAAGCTCCACTCCTATGGCTTGGCAGGGTACAGCCTCCCTTCTGGCTGCTTTCACAGGTTGGTGTTGAGTGCCTGCAGCTTTTCCAGGTGAGTGGTGTGAGCTTTTGGTGGATCTATCATTCTGGGATCCGGAGAATGACGGCCCTCTTCTCACAGCTCCACTAGTCAGTGCCCCAGTGGAGACCCTGCATGGATGCTCTGACCCCACATCTTCCTTCTGCACTGCCCTAGCAGAGGTCTCCATGAGGGCCCTTCCCCTGCAGCATACTTCTGCCTAGACATTCAGGTGTTTCCGTACATCCTTTGAAATTCAGGCTGAGGTTCCTAAAGCTCAACTCTTGTCTTCTGCACACCCACAGGCCCAATATCACATAGACTCTACCAAAGGTTGGGGTTTGCAGTATTATTAAAATGCTCATTCTGCCCAACCCAAGTTACAGATTCAATGCTATTCCTATCATACTACCAACAACGTTTTTCGCTGAACTAGAAAAAAAATTCTAGAATAAATTTGGAACCAAAAAAGTGCCTGAATAGCCAAAGTAATTCTAAGCAAAAAGAACAAAGCTGGGGGCATCACACTCCCTGGCTTCAAACTATACTACAAGGCTACAGTAACTAAAACAGACACATAGTGTAATGGAACAGTTTTGCGAGCACAGAAATAAAGCCATACATAAACAATCATCTGATTTTTAACAAAGCTGACAAAGACAAACAATGGGGAAAGGACATCTTATTCAACAAATGGTGCCAGGATAACCTGCTGACCATACACAGAAGATTTGAACTGGACCCCTACCTTTCACCATACACAAAAATCAACCCAGGATGGATTAAAGACATAAATGTAAAACCTCAAACTATAAAATCTCTAGAAGAAAACCTTGGAAGTACCATTCTGGAAATATTATGCAAGAAATAAAACCTACTTGATTGTGGTGGATTAGCTTTTTGATGTACAGCTAGATTTGGTTTGCTAGTATTTTGTTGAATATTTCTTTATCTATGTTCATTAGAAATACTGGTCTGAAGTTTTTTTTTTCATTGCATCTCTGCCAGGATTTGGTATCAGAATGATGTTGTCCTCATAGAATGAGTTAGTTATGAGTCCCTCCTCCTCAATTATTTTAGATAGTTTCAGTAGGTGTGGTATCAGCTCTTCTTTATACATCTGGTAGAATTTGGCAGTGAATCCTTTGAGGCCAACACTTTTTCTGATTGATAGGCATCGTATTGCCAATTCAGTTTGGACCTTCCTATTAGTCTGTTCAAAGTTTCATTTTCTTCCTGGTTCAATCTTTGAAGATTGCTTCCAGGAATTTATGCAGCTTCTCTGGGTTTTTCAGTTTGTGTACATAGAGGTGTTCATAATCATCCCTGAGGGTTGTTGTATTTCTGTGGGGTCACTGGTAATGTCCCCTTTGTCTCTTTTGTGATTGTGTTTATTTGAATATTGTCTCTTTTTTTTCTTTATAAGTTTAGATAATGGCCTACCAACATTATTTTTTCTTTCAAATACCCAACATTCAGTTTTGTTGATTTTTTTACATTTTTTTCTCATCTCCATTTTGTTAATTTCAGTTATGATTGTGGCCATTTCTTTTCTTCTACTACCTTCGAGGTTGGTTCTGTTTTGTTTTTTAGGTTCCTCTATCTGTGATGTTAGGTTGCAAATTTGAGATCTTTCTAGCTGTTGACATAAGTGTTTAGCACAATCAACTTTCCTTTTAACCATGCTTCAGCTGTGTTCTAGAGTTTCTGGTGTGTTGTATTTTTGTTTTCATCAGAGTCTAAGAATTTCTTGATTTCTGCCTTGATTTTATTGTTTACACAAAAGTCATTCAGGTTCAGGTTGTTTAATTTTCACTTAATCCTACAGTTTTGGCAGATCTTCTTGGTATTGATTTGTATTTTTATTGTGCTCTGGTCTGAGAGTGTGGCTGGTAAAATTTTTTTTTTATTTGTTGAGAATTGACTTATAGCTGAGCATGTGGTTGATTTTAGAATATGTGTCACGTGCAGATGATAAGAATATATATTCTGTTGTTGATGTGTGGAGTGTTCTGCAGATGTCTGTTAGGTGTATTTGGCCAAGTGTCAAGTTTAGGTCCCGAATATCCTTGTTAGTTTTCTGCCTCAGTGATCTGTCTTACACTGTCAGTAAGGTGTTGAGGTCTGCCACTGTCATTGTGTAGTTATGTAAGTTTCTTTGTATATCTCTAAGAGCTTGTTTTGTGAATCTGAGTGCTCCAGTGTTAGGTGCATATATATTTAGGATAGTTAAGTCTTCTTGTTTAATTGAATCCTTCATCATTACGTAATGCCCTTTATTGTCTGTTTTGATCATCGTTAGTTTAATGTCAGTTTTATCTAAAATAAGAACAGCAACACCTGTTTTTCTTTGTTTTTCATTTGTTTGGTAGTTCTTTCTCCATCCCTTTACTTTGAACCTATGGGTGTTCTCACATGTGAGATGGGTCTCTTGAAGACAGCATACAGTTGGGTCTTGATTCTTTATCCACTTTGCCACTCCATGCCTTTTAAGTGGGTGTTTAGCTTGTTTATCTTCAATATTGACATGTGCACATTCGATCCTCCCAGCATGTTGTTAGCTGGTTGTTATGTAAACTTGATTGTGTAATTACTTTATAGTGTTGATGGTCTATATACTTGAGTGTGTTTTTCTGGTGCTAGGTAACAGTCCTTCATTTTCATGTTTAGCACTTTCTTAAGGATCTCTTGTGGTCTCTAAAGGCCTGGTGGTAATAAATTCCCCTAGCTTTTGCTTATCTGAAATGGATTTTATTTCTCCCTTGTTTATGAAGCTTAGTTTGGTGGGACATAAAATTCTTGGTTCAAAATTTTATTTTTTCAAAAATGCTGAATATGGATTCTTAATGTCTTCTGACTGTGGGATATTGCTGAGAGTTCCCCTGTGAGTTTGATGTAGTTTCCACTTTATGTGACCTGCCCCTTGTCGTTAACTGCCTTTAATATTTTTTTCTTTTGCATTGACCTTCAAGAATCTGATTACTTTGTGTCTCTGCAATGGTTGTCTTACATAGCATCTTACATAGGTTATCTGAATTTTCTAAATTTATATGTCAATCTCTCTAGTGAAATTGGGGAAATTTTTTACAGAATCCCTTACTTCTCCAAGGTTTTTTCTTTTCTTTTTCTTTCTTTTTTTTTTTTGAGATGGAGTCTTGCTCTGTAGCCCAGGCTGGAGTGCAGTGGCATGATCTCGGCTCAATGCAAGCTCCACCTCCCGTGTTCCTACCAATCTCCTGCCTCAGCCTCCTGAGTAGCTGGGGCTACAGGCACTTGCCACCATGCCCAGTGAATTTTTTTTTTTTTGTATTTTTAGTAGAGACAGGGTTTCACCGTGTTAGCCAGGATGGTCTCAATATCCTCCCAAAGTGCTGGGATTACAGGCATGAGCCACCATGCCTGACCTTTCATTTTTTAAAATTCTTCTTTTCTTTATTTATTTTCTGGCAGTGTTAACTTAAATAATCAGTCTTCAATCTCTGAGATTCTTTTCTTGGCTTAGTCCATTCTGCTGTGAATATTTCCAATCATTTTATGAAATTCTTGTAGTGTATTTTGTAACTCTACCTGCTAGGTTTGGTTTTAGTTTGTTTGTTTGTTTGTCTTGTTTTGTTTTTTCAAATGGCTAATTTTTTTCTCTTTAATCATTTTACTGGATTCCTCAGATTCTTGGAAATAGTGTTCAACTTTCTACTGAATTTCAATGATCTTCATTTCCTTCTACCTCTCAGTTCTATATCTGTCATTTCAGCCATTTCCTTCTATTTAACAACCATTGCTGTAGAACTAGTGCAGTCATTTGGAGGTAAAGTGACACTCTGACTTTTTGAGTTGCTAGAGTTCTTATGTTGGCTTTTTTCTCATCTGTGTGGGCTGGTGTTTCTTTAACTGTGGTATAATTTGAGCATAGTCAGTTGACTTTGTTTCTGGATGTTTTCAAAGCACCTTTTTGCATGATCTTTATTAGTAGCTGAATTATTGTCCTGGGTTTCACAGAGGCTTATATTAGCAAAGTAATTTTAGAGTTGAAGTTTCTGCTGCAATCTGGCTGATGACACTTAGGTATAATGGCTGATAGGTAGGCTCTTGTTCAGCCTACCTACCTATAATGGCTGATAGGTAGGCTCTTGTTCATACACAAATATATATTTTCTCACATTTGCAGCCATGCTCCGTGTCAGTATTCTGTGTGTGTAGGCTTCCCTCCTACTGAAATGCTGGCTGCATAGCTTGGCTTGTCACTGCAGTGCTGCACATCACAGCCCTGGGGTGAGCTCAAGGTTTTTGTTTCCTCACAAGCTTGGGGACAAAAGGGGTGAGGACCTTGGCAGTGGTAATGTGTGGAGGTCTATCACTTGTCTTTTGCAGCTCCACCATACAGAAATGCAGAGATGCTGCCAAATGGAGTGGTCAACCTTTGATGGGGCCTGTGCATTTTGGAACCAAGCTGGGGGACACTACTGGTGATGAGCAGAGGGTGTCAGGGCTTGTGAGAAGACAGATTCATCTCTTCTCTGTAGGGTAGCTGCAGTGTGCTGGAGGTGTGAGTAAAGCACTTGGGGTCTTGTTCCCTCCCCAGTTGGAGGGCAGCAAGGGCAGTACTGCTGAATAGCGGTTGCAGAAAAACTTTCAGTTGCTTCTGGGATCTCCACCCCAGAGAAATGCAGAACCACTGCCACTGGGCATTTTCAGCCTGGAGTGGGGCTGCTGCACTATGAGCCTTTGCTGGGACCCCTGCCTGGTGAAGAGCAGGGGATCAGGGGCTCACAGAGAATAGAGATTGGGCTCCATGCCATATGGTGATCATATGGTAATCATAGTGTGCTGGAAGCATGAGTAAAGCATTCAGGCTCTTTTATTTCTTTCCCAGTCTAAGACAGCAAGGGCAGGTACTACTGCATTGGCAGTGGCAGTTGGCTGTCATTTGCCTCTGGGAGCTCCATCACAGGATAACACAGAGCCACTGGCAATAGAAATGTTCAGCTTGGGTGAGGTAGCTACTCTGCAGGCCCAAGCAAGGAGTTCTGCTTAGTGAAGGATAGGAGTTGGGAGCTCACAAGGAAGAGAGACTGGGCTCTACGCTATATGGCAGCTGTGTCATGATGAAGGAGCTAGTGAAGCAACCAGGATTTTGTTCTTTCCCCAGCCCAAGGGGAGTTTCTTAGTCCTTTTTTACACTGCTGATAAAGACATACCTGACACTGGACAATTTACAAAAGAAAGAGGTTTAATCAATTTGTAGTTCTACATGGCTGAGGAGGCCTCAAACTCATGGCAGAAGTCAAGAAGAGGAGCAAGTCACATCTTACATGGATGACTGCAGCCAAATAGAGACCTCGTTTGGGGAAATTCCCATTTTTAAAGCCATCAGATTTCATGAGACCCATTCACTATCATGAGAACAGCATGGGGAAGACTCACTCTCATGATTCAATCATTTCCCACTGGGTCCCTCCCACAACATGTAGAAGTTATGGGAACTACAAGATGAGACTTGGGTGGGGACACAGAGTCAAACCATAGTATTATACCCCTGGCCCCTCCCAAATCTCATATCTTCACATTTCAAAACCAATCATGCCTTCCCAACAGTCCCAAAAAGCCTTAACTAATTTCAGCATTAACTCAAAAGTCCACAGTCCAAAGTCTCATCTGAGACAAGTCAAGTCCCTTCCACTTATGAGCCTGTAAAATCAAAAGTAAGTTAGTTACTTCCTAGATACAATGGGGGTACAGGCATTGGGTAAATACAGCCATTCCAAATGGGAGAAATTGGCCAAAACAACAGGGCTACATGCCCCATGCAAGTGTGAAATCCAGAGGGACAGTCAAATTTTAAAGCTCCAAAATGATCTCCCAGTAACTCTATGTCTCACATCCAGGTCATGCTAATGCAAGAGGTGGGTTCCCAAGGTCTTGGGTAGCTCCTCCCCCGTGGCTGTGTAGGGTACAGCCTCCCTCATGGCTGCTTTCACAGGGTGACATTGAGTGTCTTAGTCTTCTCTAGGTGCACGGTGCAAGCTGTCAGTGGATTTACCATTCTGGGGTCTGGAGGACGGTGGCCCTCTTCTCACAGCTGCATTAGGCAGTGCCCCAGTAGGGACTCTCTGTGGGGGCTCCAACCCCACATTTCCCTTCCACACTGCCCTAAACAGTGGTTCTTTATGAGGGCCTCACCCTTGCAGTGAACTTATTCCTGGACATCCAGGCATTTCCATACATCTGAAATCTAGGCAGAGATTCCCAAACCCCCATTTTTGACTTCTGTGCACTCACAGGCTCAACATCAAGTGGAAGCTGCCAAGGTTTGGGGCTTGTACCCTCTGAAGCCACAGCCTAAAGTCTACATTGGCCCCTTTCAGCCATGGCTGGAGCAGCTGGGACACAGGGTGCCAAGTCCCCAGGCTGCTCACAGCATGATGACCTTGGGCCTGGCCCACAAAACCACTTTTTTTCTCCTAGGTCACCAGGCCTGTGATGGAAGGGGCTGCCATGAAGACCTCTGGCATGCCTTAGAGACATTTTCCCTATTGTCTTGGGGATTAACATTCATCTCCTCATTACTTATACAAATTTCTGCAGCTGACTTAAATTTCTCCTCAGAAAATGGGATTTTCTTTTCTATCACATTGTCAAGCTGCAAACTTTTTGAACTTTTATGCTCTACTTCCTTTATAAAACTGAGTGACTTTAACAGCACCCAGGTCACATCTTGAATGCTTTGCTGCTTAGAAATTTCTTCCATGAGATACCCTAAATCATCTTTCTCAAGTTCAAAGTTCCACAAATCTCTAGGCCTGGAGCAAAATGCCACCAGTCTCTTTGCTAAAACATAACAAAAGTCACCTTTGTTCTAGTCCCCAAGATCCTCATCTCCATTGGAGACCACCTCATCCTGGATTTCATTGTCCGTATCAGTAACATCATTTTAGGCAAAACCATTCAACAAGTCTCTAGGTGGTTCTAAACTTTGCCACATTTTCCTGTCTCCTTCTGAGTGCTCCAAGCTGTTTCAACCTCTGCCTGTTACCCAGTTCTAAAGTTGCTTCCACATTTTCAGGCACTTTTCAGTAGAGCCCACTCTACTGGTACCAATTTACTGTATTATTCCATTTTCATGCTGCTGATAGACAGACCTGAGACTGGGCAATTTACAAAAGAAGGAGGTTTAATCAACTTACAGTTCCACGTGGCTGGGAAGGCCTCACAATCATGGTGAAAGGTAAGTAGGAGCAAGTCACATCTTACATGGATGGCAGCAGGCTAAGAGAGAGCTTGTGTCAGGAAACTCCTGTTTTTAAAATCATTAGATCTCATGAGACCCATCCACTATGACGAGAACAGCATGGGAAATACCCATCTCCATTATTCAGTCATTTCCCACCAGGTACCTCCCACAAAACATGGGAATTGTGGGATCTACAGGATGAGATTTGAATGGGGACACAGAGCCAAACCATATCAGGCAGCAAGGGTGGTACCACTGTATGTAATGGCAGAGGGGCTGTGGGTTGTCACTGGGAATTCTATCCCAGAGAAATGCACAGGTGCCACTGTCTGAAGTGTTCAAGTGGGAGCAGGGTAGCTGTGCTGGGGCCGAGGTCGGGAGGCCCTACCCAGTGAGAAGTAGCAGGAGCAAAGACAGACATGGAAAAAAGTCTGACAACACCTCCATAAGGCAGATGTGCTGAGCTGAAGACCTGCTATAATCCTTAAGCCTCTTTGCTATCTCTTGATCTGAGGGCATTATGGGCAGGGGCTATAGCAGGCAAAAACGGCAGGCCTGTCTTATACCTATGAGAGCTCTGTCCCAGGGAAATGCAATGCTGCTTCTGGCCCAAGTTGTCAGGCTGAGGTAGGTGGCTGTGCTGGAGGCTCAAGCCAGGAGGCCCTGACCAGTGAGGAGTAGAAGGGGCCATGACCAACATTAAAAACTATATGACTGCTTTTCCAGAAGGCAGCTTGCCCTGTGCTGGAGGCCCACAACAGTCATAACACTCTTCACTCCCTCCTGACCTTGAAGGCAGTTGGGTAGTGGCTGGAGCTGCAATAGCAGCAAAAACAGCAGATATGTCTATTGCATCTGGGAGCTTCATCCCAGAGAAATGCAGAGCTGCTGCCAGTTGAAGAGGTCAAATGGGTGTTTCATGGCTGTTCTGGAGTTCCAGGTCAGTGTGCCTTGCCTGGAGAGGTTAACCAGAGGCAAGGCATGAAGTCCCTCTGCTCCTCAGAACCATGAATGTAGCCACTAACTTTTGGCATGCAGAGAACTTGGCGTTCTTGTTGGTGAAGCTATGGCAACTAGCACTGGGGTGCTTAGGGGTCTAAGACCCCTGGGACTTCTCATGTGCCTGATCTGGAGCTCTGCCCAGATTCTATGCAGCTCTCCTTGTTAGTCTGAAGGCCCCAGGGGGAGGGACTCAGGGTGGATCACCTGTGCCTATGATTACAAAGGTCCGTGACAGAAGTATGGGGCCATGGGGCTCTCTCTCAGTCACTATTTCTTTGTGGTAAGGATCCTCCCCTGACTCCACCCAATCCTGGGTGGGTGGCTGTTGTGTCTTGCTGTTTTTGTTCTCCATGGCTTCTGTTGCTTCCTTGCTGAATCCCAACATGTCCTCTTGGAAGATCCAGTTGAAGTGCTAGTGTTTACTGGCCAGTCTATTTCCTTTTCACGAGAGTGGAGCATACTAGCTGCTTCTAGTAAGTCATCTTGGCACTTGATCACAAAAGACATTTGTTTTTCACAGTTCTGCAGGCTGGCAAGTCCAAGTTAAAGGTGCCAGCAGATTCAATTCTTGGTAAGAGTTCTTCCTGGCTTGCAGACAGCTGCCTTCTCATTGTATTTTCACTAGGAAGAAAAAAGAAGGTCTAGTGTCTCTTAATTGGATAAATTTTTAAAACCAAAATTATTGAAGGTGATTCTAATACACCTTTCTCAGTAACTCATATAAATATACCGGATGCATTATTAAGATTATTAGTGTATTTAAAAATATACAATTTCTGGCTGGGCGCAGTGGCTCATGCCTATAATCCTAGCACTTTGGGAGGCCAAGGCGGGTGGATCATGAGGTCAGGAGATCAAGACCATCCTGGCTAACACAGTGAAATCCTGTCTCTGCTAAAAATACAAAAAAAAAAAAAAATTAGCTGGATGTGGTGGTGGGCACCTATAGTCCCAGCAACTATGGAGGCTGAGGCAGGAGAATGGTGTGAACCCAGGAGGTGGAGTTTGCAGTGAGCCGAAATCGTGCCACTGCACTCCAGACTGGGTGACAGAGCGAGATTCCCTCTCAAAAAAATAAAATAAAATAAATAGTTATATAAAAATAAACAATTTCTGCCCTTATTTATCTATATAATTTTGTATAATTATTTTATGATTGCTTATTATTCATTTTAGTGGCCACTTTGAAAATAATTAATGTTTGTATAAAAATAAACATTAATTTAATAAACTAACAGAATAGCATATAAATTTCCACTAACATCCTATCAAAATTTATATAATTATAGTATTTTATAAGTCATTTTAGTGCTATATAAAGTTAAGAAAAATGGCCAAAAGTCTAAAAAAATTTAAAAAAATAAAATAGGAATAGAAAAAGGAAGAAAATAATTTATTTTTTAAGTTAAAAAATCATTTTTTTAAATGTAGAGAAATACATGTTTTTAAGAGAACACATACCTTTAATCACAAGAAAAAAGTGCCTTTAAAAATAAAAATATTATATAACATAATAATATAAAAGTTTCTTTTTGAATTTTGAAGTTGTTATAGTTTTAAAATTGTATGTATTTGGCATTTCTTTTATTTTGCTTTATGTTAACATTCAAATTTCATCTTCGAATTTTAATTATCCTTAAAAATTTCTAGGTGCCTCTTAGTTGAATTCTAGACAAAATTTATCTTTACAACTTTTTTTTATTATACTCTAAGTTCTAGGGCACATGTGCAAAATGTGCAGGTTTGTTATATATGTATACATGTGTCGTGTTGGTTTGCTGCACCCATTAACTCATCATTTACATTAGATATTTCTCTTAATGCTATCCCTCCCCCATCTTTTTATCTGCTATACAAATATATTTTTATGCAATATCAGTCATTAATATAGTTAATGATATAGTTAGCATAGTTAATTACAAAACATAGTAATTTTATTGTTAAATATTATAATTTTAAATTATTATTGATGGTTTTTACAATATGTATCATATTAGTAATACACCTTAACACACCAAAAGTATGTCAGCCCATAATGATGTTATTTTACTCATTTATTTTAGTTTCGTGTTTGAAATTTTTATGTTCAGCTAATAGAAAAAAAAATAACAAGACAGAGAAATACAAATATAGCAAATATCGTCCAAGCAATAATCCCCAACTGAACAATGCCAAGATATACATTGTCTGATTTCTTCTTTCATTTAGATATTTGCATGAATTTTAAAGCTTTTGTATATTTTTTATTTTATTAAAAATAATTTTCTGTCTTGCTTAACATGTTACTTATTTAAAAACATAAAATATTTAATCTACTTCATATCATCCAAATATATGAATTAGCTCATTTTCTCTTCTCTATATATGATCTTGTGTCTTTATTCAGACAAAATAGTTCTGTCATTTAAATGTTTCCTTATCTTTGGCATAGTGTGATTTTTCTTTTTAAAATTATTATAGTTCAATAATATATCAAGCTAGTGGGAGAAAAGCAAAGGTGAATTAAACTATGTTTCAGTAAAATGTAAAAAAAAAATCTGATTTTAAGTAATTACTAACTATGTACAGTCACGAACTCATGAACCAACAGTATAGAAGAAATAATTGGTGCGATTTGGGCAAACTAGAAAAAGCCAAGAAAAATGAAAAGATCTTTTTATATGATCATTCTTAATTAGAGCCACTGACAGTGAATGTAAGAATGTTTAATGTATGTGACCTATAAAGATTTGCTAGATTCTGACTGACTCAGAGGTTATATATTACTTCTCACACTTCTTTATTAAAATTATTTTGTTTTTTTTTTTTTTTTTTTTTGAGACGGAGTCTCGCTCTGTCGCCCAGGCCGGACTGCGGACTGCAGTGGCGCAATCTCGGCTCACTGCAAGCTCCGCTTCCCGGGTTCACGCCATTCTCCTGCCGCCCGCCACCACGCCCGGCTAATTTTTTGTATTTTTAGTAGAGACGGGGTTTCACCTTGTTAGCCAGGATGGTCTCGATCTCCTGACCTCATGATCCACCCGCCTCGGCCTCCCAAAGTGCTGGGATTACAGGCGTGAGCCACCGCGCCCGGCCATTTTGTTTTTAACTTAAGCATCATTTTTATAACTAAAGTGACAGTTATACATGAACAAGTATAATAGTTTGTCTAAAATATTTTGTACTAAAGCAGGAAGACTGAAGTGTGAATAATCTCAGTAAAAATGTATAAAATATATTTTGGACATGCAGTCACTAAAGTGACAGTTATACATGAACAAGTATAATAGTTTGTCTAAAATATTTTGTACCAAAGCAGGAAGACTGAAGTGTGAATAATCTCAGTAAAAATGTATAAAATATATTTTGGACATGCAGTCATTCATTGAAATGTACACATGAAGTAAATCAAGTGACCTCATCATTGAATAAATTGAGAAATATATGAGGTTGAATTAATTTCTTCTTCCACAGAATTTTTTTATTTATTTCATTTTTGTTCAATGTTTCTTGATATAAAATAGATTATTTTCTATTATTTTCAGATGTCTCAGAAATCTTTCCAGTTCTTTCCTACGGTCTTCAATACATTTTTAAAAATTAATGCAAAATGTGGACCATTTAAAAACTAGATTTTCTCAAAGATTGAGTGTTGAAGGTAGTGCCCCTGGAGATTATTTGTTAAAGAATGTTTAAAACTAACTAGCACATGCCTAGTCTTTGACATGATTTGTTTTGTAAGATCCTTGTCATCATGATATGTATTCAGGAAAAGGAGTATTCTCAGATTACAGATAAAGAAGCTAAGTCAGACATGTATTGAGTATGTAACTTGATGTGAGCCATAAATAAAAATGTGCCAAATATATTAGGTAATTGTATAAATCTAAAGCATTCTATAATAGTATATTATCTCTGGCTGGTGAATCTAGCAAACACAACATATAGTTATCTCTCCATATAGGTGGGGATCAATTCCAGGGGCACCTTCATGTACCAAAATCCACATATACTCAAGTTTCCCAGTTGGCCCTGTGGAACCTGTTTATAGGAAAAGGCAACCCTACAGAAAACACCGCACTTTTTATTGAGTTTGGTTGAAAAAATAATATGCATATAAGTGGACCTGCGTAGTGTACACATGTGTTCAAGGGTCAACTGTAGCTGAAAGCAAACCACATTTAGTTTGTACATATATTTTAGAGAGAATATTTGTGAAGTGTTTTATTTTTTAAAAAAAAAAGCTAACTAAAGAACTAAAAGAACCAAAAGCAAACCAAAATATAAAAAATAAACATTTTTCTAGCTCTGCAATGTAAGACATTTACTTTAAATTATTCAAATGTACCTAAATAGGAATCTAATTTCAAGTTTATGCTATTTTTGAAGTAAGAAACATGCTGTGTCATTTATGAAACTAGAAATATATGATTGAAAAAGAGTCTACATAGTGAGAGAACTTGACCATAATCTTTGAAAGTAAAATCAAACGAAAGCTTATGTAAAAAGTGTGATCATTAGGCTTTAATTTTTAAAATATGATAATAAAATAAGAGATATTGAATGTTGCTAAAATTTTTAAATATGTTATGATAACAGCATACATGGAATATTATACATTTATTCAAATTATGTTTTAAAAATAATGACATAAACATACTTCTTATACATTATGATTGAAATGCTGAGGTTTTATTTAATACATAACCAATAAAGCTAAGAACCCCTTAAAAATCAAGACGTACTCCTTAAATAAAATATTGAGTGAGTACTTATAAGGCAATAAGTTTTGTAAAATATGCTAAAAATTTTTAAAAATTCTCTACATATTCGAGACATACTTGAAGATACTGTGGGTTTTGTTCCAGACCATCACAATAAAGCAAAAATCACAATAAAACAAGTCAACAAAAATTTTTGGTTTCTCAATGCATATAAAAGTTATGTTTACATTGTACTGTAAAGGGTGCAATAGTATTATGGTTAAACAAATAATGTACTTACCTTAATTTTAAAAAGCTTTATTGCTAAGTAATGTTAATCATCTGAGCCTTCAGTGAGTCATAATGTTTTGGTTGCTGGAGGGTCTTGCCTCAGTACTGGTGGTTGCTGACTGATCAGGGTTGTGATTGCTAAAGGCTGGGGTGGCTGTGGGAATTTCTTTTTCTTTCTTTTTTTTTTTTTTTTTGAGTCAGAGTCTCACTCCGTCGCCCAGTCTGGAGTGCAATGGCACCATCTCGGCTCACTGTAACCTCCACCTCCCAGGTTCAAGCAATTCCCCTCCCTCAGCCTACCAAGTAGCCAGGATTGCAGGTGCCTGCCACCACACCCAGCTAATTTTTGCATTTTTAGTAGATATGGGGTTTCATTTTGGCCAGGCTGGTCTCCAACTCCTGACCTCAGGTGATCTGCTCTCCTTGACCTCCCAAAGTGCTGGGATTACAGGTGTGAGCCGCCGTGCACAGAGTTTCATAAGACAGCAATGAAGTATGCTGCATTGAATGACTCTTTCATGAAAGACTTCTCTGTAGCATAGGATATCATTTGATAGTACTTATCCACAGTAGAACTTCATTCAAAATTAGAGGCAATCCTTTCAAGCCCTGCCATTGCTCTATCAATTACATTTAGGGACTATTCTAAATCCTCATTGTTATTTCAATAATGTTCACAGTATCCTCACCAGGAATAGATTCCATCTCAAGAAACCACTTTCTTTGTTCATCTATAAGAAGCAACTGCTCATCTGTTAGTTATATTACAAGATTGCAGCAATTCAGTGACATCTTTAGGCTCCACTTTTAATCCTAGTTCTCTTGCTATTTCCATTACATCTGCAATTACTTTCTCCTCTGAAGTCTTGAACCCCTCAAAGTCATCCATGAGGGTTGGAAGCAACTTGTTCTAAACTCCTACTAATGTTGATACTTTAGCTTTCTTCCATGAATCACAAATGTTCCTAATAGTATCTAGAATGGTGGATCTTTTCCAGAAGATTTTTCAGATCCATCAGAGGAATCACTATCTATGACAGCTACAACCTTACAAAATGTATATATTAAGTTATAAGACCTGAAAGTCAAAATTGCTTCTTGATCCATGAGCTACAGAATTGGTGTTGTGTTAGGTTGCATGAAACAACATTAATGTCCTTGTATATGTTCATCAGAGCTCTTGGGTGACCATGTACATTGTCCACAAGCAGTAATATTTGAAAGAGAATCTTTTATTTGGATCAGTATGTCTCAACAGTGGGCTTAAAGTATTCAGTAAACCATGCTATAAACAGGTGTTCTGTCATAAAGGCTTTGTTGCTTCATTTATAGAGACAAGCAGAGTAGATTTGGCATAATTCTTATTAGCCTTAGGATTTTCAAATGGTAAATAAGCATTGGCTTCAACTGAAAGTCACTAGCTGCACTAACCCCTAACAAGAGTGTCAGTCTGTCATTTGAAGCTTTGAAGCCAGGAATTGACTTCTCCCCTCTAGCTATGAAAGGCTTAGATGAAATCTTCTTTCAATATAAAACTGTTCTGTCTACATTGAAAATCTGTTGTTTAGGGTAGTCACATTCATCAATTATTTTAGCTAAATTTTCTAAATAATTTGCTGAAGCTTTTTCATCAGCAGTTACTGTTTCACTTTCCACTTTTATGTTGTTAAGATGGCTCCTTTCCCTCTACCTTAAGAACCAACCTTTGTCAGCTTCCAACTTTTCTTCTGCAGTTTTCTCTTACCTCTCTCAGCCTTCATAGAATTGAAGAACATTAGAGCTTTGGTCTAGATTGCGTCTTGGCTGAAGATAATGTTGTAGCTGATTTGACTTTCTGGCCAAACCACTAAAACATTCCAAGTCTCAGCAATAAGGCTGTTTCTCTTTCTTATTGTTCCTGTGTTCACTGGAGTCGCAGTTTTGATTTCCTTCAAGAATTTTTTCTTTGCATTCACAACTTGGCTAACTGTTAAAAACAAGAGTTCTAGCTTTAGATCTAAGTTGGCTTTTGACATGTCTTCCTTGCCAGGCTTAAGTATTTCCGGCTTTTGATTTAAAATAACACACATGAAAGTCTTTCTTACACTTGAACACTTAGAGCCTATTATAAGGTTATTAACTGGCCTAATTTCACTATTGTTGTGTCTCACAAATTGGAGTCACTAAGAGAGGGAGAGAGACAGGGAAGTTCTGTTCAGTGGAGTAGTCAGAAGACACACAATATGTATTGATTAAGTTGCTATCTCTTAAAGGTATGGTTTGTGGTTTCTCCCCATATTACAGTAGCAACATCAAAGATCACTGAATACAGATCACCATAACAGATATAATAATAGTGAAAAAGCTTGCAATATTGTGAGAATCACCAAAATGTGACACGGAGACATGGAGT
The DNA here is from genome assembly GCF_000001405.40 of Homo sapiens. NCBI lineage: Eukaryota > Metazoa > Chordata > Mammalia > Primates > Hominidae > Homo > Homo sapiens. Next base: position 41,590,702 of record NC_000009.12, on the reverse strand, counting down.
GAGCACATGTTGTAAACAAAGTGGCTCTAGTAGACTTCCTCAATGCAGGCTTGCCACAAACCTTCAATTTGTGAAAAAGGCAGTATGTGAAGTGCAATATAGCAAAGGTATATGTAAGGTACCAGTACATCACCATGATAGACCCAAACTTTATACCAGGCACTACCGAAAGAGTAAAATTAGCACAACAGTTAGCATAGACAACATGACAACTTTTGTAGGGCCATAGTATAGTTTCAGATATTGTTCACATTCTCTGCAACAAAAGAAGTTAAGATACATTACAGAAAGGAGAATATGAAAGCAGTATTAGTAAAAGGGAATATCCCAACAATAGGAAAGCACCCCATTTGGATATTTACAAAAATTCTAAAAATTATCTTGTGAAAATGTGAAATCCATATTTTAAAGGTCTTCGAAAAAGAGAAAAATAGACTAAAATTTTATTAATTAAAGTAAATATTAACTCCAATAAATGAGGAGAATTAGAATGCATTAAGGTGTTTTAAAATTATAAAACTTACTAAAGTAATTTGGAAAAAAATGTGTATCGATAACACTCATTTAAGAAAACATGGTCACGATTTAGTCAAATCTCATCTTTTGTCCCTTGTTTTTGTTTTTAAAAGTTGTAATAATAATTGATATTTACTCAATATCTTCATATATTGAGTAAAACCATATACCAAACAAAAATTGCATCCTTTATATAAGTAGAGAAATTAGACTTAAAATAAATAACAAGTGAGAGACCATGGTGCCAACCTAGTTTGTCATTTTTCTTTAGAAAATCCTAAGTTATTTGTTGTCAAAATTATCAATATTTTATATTTTGTTGCTCTTGCAAGTAAAGCATTTCTAATTAAAGACCTTAGGGCTTCACATATCCTTCAGATAGCTGGTAAAATGCTGCTTTTTGCTAGAAGCCTTCTCCGCCCTTTCTATATAACAGCAACCTCTCTTCTCAGTTTCTTGTCATCTCCAGTACACCTTCTAGCTGCTTTTCTAATTTTATTTTTCCCAAGCACAACTTAGCACTTTACTGGAAGTCATCTGTTTTCTGCTTCACAAAGCAAGGACTTGTCTCCGTTGTGCCCAGCTCTAGCCTCAGGGCCTAGAAAAGTACTCAGCATGTAATGTGCACCAAATACATGTATATTGGATTAATATTTAAATGTGTATATACTTAGCTGTGAATAAATAGCATCAATATTCGTTTTTTAAATGTTAAAAATATAAAGTGTATAGCCTTCAAAAGTACACTGTACATAAATAATTTGAAGGTGATGAAGAGGACCCTGAAACAGGAATGGATTCCTAATTCCTAGCAGGGATTTAATGGCCATCACGGAGCAGCCAGATGTTATAAGATAAGGATATAAGATCTGAGAGGCATGGCAGGTAAGAATAGAGCTAACATACATTTTACTTAAAATTTTTGAATTGGCTATATTGAAAAAAGTTTAACACATGTTACCACAGCAAACACTCTAAAAACTCTCTACTAAGAATTTTGGCTTAGACCAAGGCCAACATTGCTCTGGACATAAAATGGCCTTTTATACATGATGATGATATTTTCAAAACTAAGTAAGTTAAGTACATTATTTAAAAGATTTTAGTCCTGTTTTACCTGTTATTTCACTACTAAAGGATTTTTCTACTCTGAGTTCACTTTATCATTCTTTTTTCAGAATTTTATCTGTGCTTATTTTAAATAAACATGAAAATTACTACCATTTAAGATAAATATCCTTTTATCTTTCAATTATTTTTCCAGAGCAGTGCTTTAAGTATTCATATAATTATGAGAGTTTCTAAAATTTTACATATTTTATAACAGTTCATTCTGTGTGAGTTTTCTTTTAATTTTTATAAGAAATATCTTGAGAACAGTGATACATAATATATTATGCAAAACCTGAAAAAAATAGTAAGTGATTTCCAGCATCAAAGGTCATTTATTCTTCTGAGAGCCTAGTGACCTTTAAGTTAATTTCCTATTTTATGGATTTTTATAAATTACTTAGTATGTGGGTTATGTGTACAGAAAGCACACCACGTAACTTTAAATTGTTCTCAAATCATTTTGTAAGTCATCAGATAAGTAGCTACTTAAGTAATCTATATATTTGTAATAAATATTTGTGTAGAAATAATAGAATGAGGAAGTCCTTCTTCATAACTTTGAATAAAACACTATTTCTCCAGTTAACCTGGAGGGCAAATAAACCTTTTAAAAATATAACAGAAAAGTTCGATAAGAGCACAAAGTGTGTATTAAGTAAATGTTACAAAGGATAAATGGAAGTGAAATACCTGGATTATCCTTACTGAGAATTCAACACCTATAAGTGAATTATAAGTGAAATCACAACTATCACAAACTTTGCTCCATCTCATTTTGGAATTGTAACAGCCTCAAGGGCATAATAACTTTCAAAAGACGGTCACTGAGTGCCAACTATATGCCAGCCCATATGCTAGGTACGGACTGCTAGGTTTTTTTCTTACTAATTAGAATCACTTAACTGCTTGAAAATGTGCATTGGTGGTAAACCTATTATCAGCCCTTACTCTATCTTTAAAATTTTAAGTTAAATTTTTGATTTAATGTAGAATCATTTTATACACACACACACACACGCCACACACCGAAACATATAACTATTTTTCTTGAAATATCAAAATACCACAAAAGCATTATGATTTTGTTTTCCTAAAATGTTTTAGTGTAAATGACAGTTAGATCTGTAGTCTGATTGCCTTAAAAAGTTGTTTCATCTCTCTGAACTTGAATTATTATTATTATTATTTTTTGAGATGGAGTCTCGCTCTGTAGCCCAGGCTGGAGTGCAGTAGCACGATCTCGGCTCACTGCCAGCTCCACTTCCCAGGTTCACGCCATTCTCCTGCCTCAGCCTCCCGAGTAGCTGGGACTACAGGTGCCCACCACCACGCCCGGCTAATTTTTTGTATTTTTAGTAGAGACAGGATTTCACCATGTTAGCCAGGATGGTCTCGATCTCCTGACCCAGTGATCTAACCCCCTTGGCCTCCCAAAGTGCTGGGATTACAGGTGTGAGCCCGAACCCTGAACTTGAATTTTTTAATCTGTAAAATGACATGATAATATTAATATGCTGATCAAAGTTTGTTTGCTCTCAGATCAATTTCCTCAGCAGTTTTCTTTTATTTTTTCACTGTAACAGAAATCTGCATTTCCCATGCTTCCTTGTCATCTAGTCTTTGGGTAGATTCAGGCAAGGGAAGGCAAAAGCCAAAGATTGAAGGACAGGAAAAGGCAAGGAGAAGGGCCACTTCTGTTTTCGTTTGTTTGTTTTCTCTGCTTCTAATGACACCTACATCAGAGGTCATATTTCTCCCTGGTCCCATTTCTCACCAGCAGTAATTCTACTGTGAAATGGCTCATTACTGGATCTCTGGAACTTTAGTTTCTCCCATTGACCTTACTATCATGAGGAAAGGATTAGTTCTCTGCTAGTGCTAATACTTTCATCACTATTCCTTGCTTTGTTTCTTAGTTATTTTCACCCCGATGTTACCTGCTCCACATAATAAAATCAGATTGTTTGTAAGTCCTAGACTAGTTTCTGCCTTGCTGGCTATATCCTCAATGAAGAGCAAATATTTACCTCATGGGAGAAATAGACCTAATGGATTTAGGAGTTTAGCAGTTTACAGGGCACAAATTAAATCTCAATAAATATTTACTCTGAGTAAAAAAGTACAAAATAGAAGTACAATTCTTTTTTATTGTCATTGATTTCAGAGCAAAATGAATCAACAGTTGACAAATTAAGGATTAACTTATGCAAGATTATTCAACAAATATTTATTATTCATTTGCTCTATGCCAGAAATGTGTCTTCATGCCAGGTTAAGAAAAAGAGAAAACAGAAAAAAAAATAGCTGTCCCTGACTAAAAGAGCTTACGTTCTTTCTTTTTGGGCGAGAAAGGCAGTGAAAAATTAAAAAAAGAAACGCAGTATTAACATGCGGATAAGTTCTAGGGTGAAATTTGAATGCAGATCCAGAGTGACTGTCTGCCTCTCAAAAGAATTCTGCTGAGATGTCTAGAAGTAAGTAGAGTAGCAAGCAAATATCTACAGCGCGTGTCTCTTTCAAAGACAGAAAAACAAAGTGGTTTTTAAGGTGGGTGAATCTTGGCATTTCCAAGAAATATCAGGAGGCTCTTAAGGATAGAATGACCAAAACAATGAGGGCTGTGATAAAATAAATTGGGGGAGGTATGGAGAAGGATCCCATATTGTTGCTTTCACAAACAATGACAAGGTTTTGGGTTTTACTTTGAGAAGGGGAACAATTAGAAAGCTATGAGCAAGACTGTGAAATTATTTGATTTATGTTTTATAATCATTCTGACTCCTGGCTGAAAAACAGCCTCTAGGAATGAAAGTGAGAGAAATAGGGTCATCATTTATGAAGCTATTCCAATGATCCAGTGCTTTGGCAGTTGCCTGGACATGGCTAGTAAGAGGTAAAAGTAATCTGATACATCTTAAAGGCAGGTGTTCATGGATTTGATATGGCAAATGAAAGAAAGAAACCGCTATGTGTTATATTCCTTGAGCCAAAATTGAGGTGTAAAATAAACATGCTCACATAAATGGTTGATTATGTTCTTAAATGAAGGAGAAAATAGTTGCAGTGATGTTAAGTCATCAACCATTTAAAATGTTGCTTTTGAAAGAGATGAATCAAGGAAGGGATGGACATGAATTTTCCTTACCTAAAAAGCTAGTGAAAATTAAGAGTGACATGAACAGGATTAAAACTTTATTTTATAGTGGTACTGAGATGAAACATCACACTATCTGACTTCATAGCTTAAAAATATAATCACCCCACCAACTTCTCACTCTTTTCAAGGATTTTGTGAGTAACCAGCTTTAATTTGGAAAACCTAGACTTCTACATACAGATTGTTATGTTTGTGAGTATGATTATTTCTATCATTTTGTTTTACATTGTGCTTTATCATTCAATAATTAATATCTATCATTTTCCATTAACTAATTTATTTTATGACCATTTATTATTATTATTACCCTATGGTAGTCAATAATTACTGATACATATTCCATTGTTTTTTGGGATTTGATATAGAATCAGAGAAGTTTGTTGCCAACTCCTTTTTAGTTGAATATATATTGTTTTTGTCTTATATTTAGTTTTTGTAAAACTTCAGATTTTTCATCTTGCCCCACTATTTATTGCTAAAAATCATATCCAAATATGACAAGGTTTAGGAACACACACAGTTAATGAACACATGTTAAAGTATAATAACACAGAATACATTTTTGAAAGTAAGTTTATTAAAATTAGCAATATATTTCTAGTTATATGCATAAGGATATACCAACATGGATTTTGCCTGCCCAATATTAATTTTCTCTTAATTTCTTACTTACAGAACTTCAATTTGGTCATGAGTCTAAGCCCCAAATTATGTTTGCTGTCGTATACTCATGACAGCTCTTTTTCTTGATTTTTCTAGCCTTTATCCATTTGGAAATGTGAACCACCTTTTATAGGTGAGATACAGTATAGCTGAACACTTCTCTAAAGGTTTCTGTAAAAAAGCATAAATGTACAAGCCTATCATCCCGATTCTATTTAGTTTGCCTTGAATATGAATGTGATAAATGAAGTAAGATCTCACATCTTGCAACATGAAATGGGAGAAGGGTCAACATAGAAGAAATGTCAGAAGAAATGAACCAATAGAAAATTCCTCATTTGCTAAATTTTGTTAAAAGAAAAAAATAGATTTTAATATTAATCTGATCTACACAGGCAAATGTTAACTGCAATGAAAATGTCTTTTAGATAATTCAGAACACTTTCCATCCTTGGTAAAAGTATTCATTTTACTGACTCACTATTATATATTTTGTTAAGTTAGAAACTCATATTCAATCAAAGGAAATAAAAGTTCCCCCTAATTTCTAGGAATATAAAAAAATAGGTACACATAGCTTAGATAATATTTTCTATATTTGTTCAAGTAAATCAGTTTAGTAATTGTTTGAAATACTTCCAATTGATATGAGTCCAATTTTAGAAGGAATTTTAGTTGGAAGTGTTATTCTCTTTATGAAGATGTAAATGGCTCTGTTTACTGGCCAATATTTACATACACATACAGTCAATGAATGTTAATTTGCACACAGTGGCATATATAATTCAAAGTTCATTTTATTAGTTAATTTAGATATGGTTCAATGAGAGTTTCAAACTGAGGGCATAGAGTCATATAACATACTCTAGAAGAACAACTCACAAAAACTAAAATAAATTGCTTTACCATGTTTGCCTTTGTATTTCACTTTTTGTGTTCTGAAGAATAAGCATGGTAAAATTTACATATATCTAATGCATATAATGGGCAATGTATGAATTATTTTACAAATTACTCATAACCAGAAGAGTTCTGTTGGATTTTACCATATGGCCAGATTCATCTTGCCTTTCAAACTTATGTAAGTAATTTTTCCAAATCTCTTTTTTTCCCATAACATACATGCTGCTGAGTCCACTCCTCCAAACTAAGTAAAGATAGGAATGCTCATGGCCAAATCATAAGTATAGAAAGTGACTTTTGAACTGATGAAGACTTTCTTCTTGTCTACGCTTTAGTCAGGCTTCTAGGAACACTCTTTTTGACTCTACTTTGTCCTTGGGCCCTGTCTTTACACTGCCTAGTCCAGCTGTTGCAAGAATGCTGCTAAGTCAGTTTAGAGAGAATCTCCCACTCTTGATATCTGATCACTCTGGCTTGCCTTCAGCAAGAATCCTCTTACGTTAGCTAACAAGAAATCCCCTACCCTTGATGTCTCCTCTTAGTAATTTGTATTCATTGACAACCTTTCACTCTGCTCATTAGCTGCACTTCCCAGATATCTTTGCTGTGTTCAGAGTTGAACCTTATCTCTCTTGCCTGTTAGAATCATCTTGACACCTATCATTTTAATCTTAAATAAAGTGATCCTTAACCATTTTAACAAGTGTTGGAAATTTTTTTATTCAGCAGAACTAACAAATTGTTTGCGAACTATTGAAATAGAACTATTCTATTACGGCCTGCAGATATTTTTCTCAATTATAATTCACTTTCATACTGTGAAAGTATCTTTGCTTTGTGTATATCTTTTTCATATAAAAACTTTTAATTTGGCAGGGAATAGTGGCTCATGCCTGTAATCCCAGAACTTTGGGAGGCCCAGACGAGTGGATCATGTAGGTCAGGAGTTGAGACCAGCCTGGCCAACATGGCAAAACCCCATCTCTACTAAAAGTACAAAAATTATCTGGGCATGGTTGTGGGCACCTGTATTCTCAGGTACTTGGGAGACTGAGGCAGCAGAATCGCTTGAACCCAGGAAGCAGAGGTTGCAGTGAGCCAAGATCAGGCTGCTGCACTCTAGCCTGAGTGATAGAGTGAGTGAGACTCTGTCTCAAAAAACAAAAAACAAAAAAACCTTTCGATTTATTTTCCAGAGGTCTATTTTTAATTTAGTAACAAGATTTTAAAAAATATTTATAAAATTAAATAACAATAGAATGTTAGAACTAGGCCCTATAAAATATAAAATTGTCAAAATTGGTTAGCATGATTGTAGCTTGAAGGATCCTATTGTTAATGTGGCAACTTCTGAAACCAAACATCATCATGCTTAGCATCAAGAGCTAAAGTAGTCATGAGTTAATGGAGAAGAACAACTAAGGAATTGGCTGCCGAAGTAAAGTTTATGCTAAATTTAAATGAAATGAAATAACAAAGTAGTTTGAAATGAACATTCCATTGATTATTTTTAAAATTTTATTTATTAACAAAGTAGCTTATACTAACTGCCCACTGTCTATCCCAATAGTTACAGCAATAACATATAGTTAACATTTGTAATTAAATATTTCATTTCATACAAATAGTATTTTAAAATTCAAGTGTTGATTTTTAAGCCTTTGAATGTTTGGCTGTTTAAAATTTAAGTGCATATAAAAATTGTAGAAAAGGGTCATTATTAATAAAATACTCAAAATATGGTAAATTTTGCATGATGATTTAATATATGCAAATTGACAAGTGATGTGAATAGTACATTTGAATAGAGAAAATATGTACATAAATGAATGGTATTTCAGAATCTAAGCAAATTGATGACTACATTATGTACTTGTCCCCAATGTAAATGAAATATTAATTAGAAAACTTTTTTTTTCACTAAAGGGCTGAACATAAAGTGTGATGGCAAATTGGTGTGTTCTTGTATTTCTTGTCTTTGGGGATTCTTTTCAGTATATTTTCACTTAATGTTTTAGCAACATTTTTCGTCATCCTTTTACACTTATAGCTGGACTATGCTTAGTGATAGAAAATAGTTATATAATGGGATTATACTTGGCCATATGAATTTGATGGTATGAGTTAATCTGTGTTTCATCTTACTTGTGTCTACTTGTAAGTCATTGATGCTAATGTTATTAGTAATTTTTAGAGGGTAGAAATGTTTTCTATATGACATTTTTGAGAAAAGGAAGTCAATAAATCCCATTTGATATGCAACAGAAATAAAGATCTCTTATTTCAATTTTAAAATGCTTTATAACTTACATTGCTTTGTTTTATGCATTATTTGTTTTGATCAGATGCAAAATGAGTCAGTAATGTCATCTAACCACAAGTTTGATACATTTTTTTAAAGAAAAATTTCCAAAATACTTTAACTGAGCAATAGGCTAATACTTCATAAATTAAAATATTTAAATACTCAATCTTTCTGAGTGGATATTTGTTGCATATCTGATAACTTGGCCTAATTCTGTAATTGGGATGAGAACTACCCAATTTTATTGGTAACCTCTTTTCTGCTCTGCAACTTTGGAAATACTATGGAGGACTCCAAATTCATTTGAGACAAAAATATTAAAAATGTATCCCCTGATTAGGATTTCAGTTCCAAAGCTCTCCTTGGAGGGATATAGAGCTGGAGAAAATCACATTTATTTTTCGTCTCTTTAATATTGATATATAAAAGTCAGGTTAAAATTAGTATCAAATTGGGAAGCCTGCATGGTAAACCGGCTGGAATAATACACTCTGCAATATGAAGGAAAAAGGAAAAATTTAGTTGATTTATTTACCTAACTATAATTTTTTAAAGAATTTTAAGTTTCTAATAAATTTAACTATAAATTTTTAATTTTCTATCTTTCATTTAGTACCATCTATATAAACTTTTCCAGGCTACTTCTCTGAATCACCTGGCAAAATCTTATAATTTACCACCTAATTGAATAAAACACACACACAAAATAATCTATTTTGAATAATAAACATCATTTATAATTATCTTGTTGAGATTGAGAGTAATCATCAGGTGTGGAAAAACTATTGAGGAAATTTTAACAATTTAAAATGTAATAATCTTTTTTGTATTATGTGTGTTTTATACTCAGAAGTGCATATGTTTTATAAAATTATGTGAATTTATAAATGTGGTCAATATTAATATTAAATTGTATCTTTTAATAGTATCTTCAATTATCTTTTTTTTTGCTGCTGGATTCCATTTAGAAAAAAAATGTTCTATATAGCAGTGTTGCTTTCTTTTTCTTTTCTTTTTGCTTTTCTTTCTTTTTTCTATTGATAAAGTATTTACTTGATCTTGGGGAAGAGGTATATAATCAAGTGACCACATTTTTCTTTGTTACATATTATTAAAAATTTATAATCAATCTTTCCAAATTGTAATCGGTCTGAAACCCATTTGCTTTACTCAAATTATTTAGTGACTGTAAAAGTTTCAGAAACATATGAAAGTTACAAATTAGCTTTAAATGTGTCATGTTTAAAGCAGTTGTTTTAAAAGCTAAGTCATTATCCATTATTATGTAACTAGTATTCTAAATATCACATCTTTGCATTGTTTGACTTTTAAGGCATATGAAGTGTTTTGGATCAGAGAAATCATTTGCTTCACATCCCTAAGAGACAGACTCTATGGGTACTGAGTCATGCTAACAGTGGCAAAACCTGACAAACAATAAGCATCTTTTTCAAATATTTTAAACATTTCACATAAAAATTTACTTTTAGCATACATTGCAGCCATCGAGGAAGCCTAAAGTAAGGAAAACCTCAGTGAAATATGATGAAGTTAATAAAAAGAAATAGCCATCATTTTATTTGTTTAAATTGCCATTATCTCTCATATAATTATGTACAATATATAACATAGGATAATTAAGTCAAACTGTGTACCTACAGATATGGAGAGCCTTATATTTTAGGAAAAAGTAAAATGTAAATTAACTGGTAAAGATGAGCTTTTCAATCTATAAGGCATAGACACTTTTCCTTGGTGGATTTGAAAAGGTTCTTATAAATCTGAAAATAAGATAGTTTTTCTATAATAAATGGTAAAAAACACTTTCACATCTTAACCTTATCATAGTATCACAATGCTGGAATGTTTTTACTAGGAAATAAGTAAGCTAATTCAATTATAAATTGCAGTAGAGGAAAGGATGAAGGTTAAAAAACACTATTCAAATCCTTAGTCATGAGGTTGAATTCATTGAATCAGAGTGTGAATATATATCTATATTTGAGACAGAATGTGTATGTATGTGTGTGAGTGTGAGTGTGTGTGTACAGTCATTAGACATTTGCCTCATGGACAGTGGAGGAAAACATTTGCTGAGCTGCTTTCCTACCTTAAAGATTTACAACTGCACTGTTTTCAAGATATACTTTCTATATCTCAAATAATTTAATATATTATGTTTAGTTGTTGATATAACAAGATATCTGAATACCCCATAATTGAAATTATACCTGGAAATAAATACTTGAAATACTTGCTTCAGTGACATTTGTGGAAGTATACTTATTTAAGTTCAAATTATAGGTATATTGAACAAAATGATATTGGATTCTTCACTGGCTGCATACTTCTGAAACTTGTAAATAATTTGAAATTAGTTTCCAAGAACAGAAAGACAAATATTAGATAGGAAATACCAAATTCTTAAGATTCATACATATAAAAGTGAAATAAAAATCAAACTTAATCTTATCATGAATTTTCTACTGTGGCTTAATTTTAGAACTTGTTATAAAAATAGAAATGCTATTAATTTAATTACATTTATTAAAATCTAAAAATAGGTGATTATAGCTAGGACATTGACAAATGTAACTATACATGAGTAAATATAACTGAGGATAGCAACACATGAAATATATCATAAAATTGAATTATTCTATAAATAGTATTAAGTCTGTATTACTTGGAACTTGATTCCACTTAGAATGTCCCTGCTTTTATTTATTTATTTATTTTTGTAAACAAAATGAACAAGAGGTTATTACACTTCATTCACTGAGAAAAGGTAACACTACATCAAAGATAACTCACATACTTGCAGAAATATGGAAGGTAGTTCTTTCTTTTTTTTTGTTAAGAAATAGGGTCTCACTATGTTGCCCAGGTTGTAGTGCAGTGACTATTCAAAGGGGTCATCCCACTACTGATAAGCAGAGGAGTTTTATTCTGCTCAATTTTTGAGTTGACCACTCCTTAGGCAACCTGGTGGTCTTCTGCTCCCTGGAAGCTAACATATTGATGCCAAACTTAGTGCAGACACTTCATCAGCATAGTGCATACAACCCAGAACTCCTGGGCTCAAGTGTTCCTCCCGCCTCAGCATCCTGAGTAGCTGGGACAACAGGTGTGTGTCACCTGGCTGAAAGGTATTTTTAAATACAAATGTTGTCCAGGAGTGACAGAAGCTGGAGAATTGGACTACTTGATGGAGGCTTTGTACAAGCTTTGAACAATAATAACAACAAAATTGAAATGCCAAAAATATTGTTTAATTAGCAGTTAACCACCAATAAAAGGAAGCCAGCCATTTCACACAGAGGATTTTGTTAATTGATTGCGTGATTCAAGGAAATAATATTATTAGGTGTGTATTAGTCCATTATTGCATTGCTATAAAGAAATACCCGAGATTGGGTAATTTATAAAGAAAAGAGTTTCAACTGACTCACAGTTCTGCATGCTGTACAGAAAGAATGTTGCATCTGCTGGGCATGTGGGGAGGCCTCATGAAATGTATAACCATGGTGGGAAAATGAAGAGGGAGCCGGTGCTTCATATAGCGGGGAGCAGGAAGAAAAGTGAGAGGTGAGGAGGTGCTACACCCTTTTAACAACCAGATTTCATAATAACTCACTCACTCACTATCATAAGAATAGCACCAAGGAAATGGTATTAAACCATTAAAAAGAAACCACTCCACAATCCAATAACCTCCCATCAGGCCCCACCTCCAACACTGGGTATTACAATTTGACATGAGATTTGGTTGGGGACATAGATCCAAACCATATTATTTTGCCCTAGTCCCTCCCAAATTTTGTCTTTCTCAGTTTGCAAAATATAATCATGCCTTCCCATCAGTCCCTCAAAGTCTTAACTCACTTCAGCATTAACTCAAACATCCAAAGTCTAAAGTCTTATCTGAGATGAGGCAAGCCCCTTCTGCCTAAGACCCTGTAAAATTAAAAAAAAAAAAACACCCAAGATATAATGTATAATGGGGGTACAGGGATTGGGTAAATACTCCCATTTCAAAAGGGAGAAATTGGCCAAAAGTAAGGGGCTACGGGCCCCATGCAAGTCTGAAACCCAGTAGGAAAGTTATTAAGTCTTAAAGCTTAACAATCTCCTTTGACGCCATCCAGGGCATACCACTGCAAGGGGTGAGCTCCCAAAGCCTTGTGCTGCTCCACTCCTGTGACTTTGCAGGGTTCAGCTCCCACAGCTGCTCTCAAGGGCTGGTGTTGAGTGCTTGCACCATTTCCAGGCACACGGTACAAGTGCTGGTGGATCTACCATTCTGGGGTCTGGAAGATAGTGTCCCTCTTCTCATAGTTCCCCTAGATAGTGGTCCAGTAGGGACACTGTGTGGTGGCTCCAACCCCACCTTTCCCCTCTTCAGTGCCCTCGTAGAGATTCTCCATCAGGGCTCTGACCCTGCAGCAGATTTCTGACTGTACATCTAGGTTTGTTCATACATTCTCTGAAATCTAGCCTCAACTCTTGTACTCTGTGCACCCTCAGGCTTAATGCCACATGGAAGCCATCAAGACTTATGGCTTGAACCCTCTGGAGCAGCATCCTGAGCTGTACCTGGGCCACTTGGAGCCATGGCTAGAGCTGCAACAGATGAGATGCATGTAGTAGTGTCCCATTCTTCCTTCGTTGTCCTCTGAGCCTGTGATGGGAGGAGCTGCCGCAAAGGTCTCTGAAATGGCCTGGAGGGTATCCCTCATTTTCTTGGCTATCAGCATGTGCCTTCCTTTTAGTTAAGCAAGCAAGTTTCTGCAGCTTGCTTGAATTTCTCTCCTGAAAATGGGCTTTTTGTTCTACCACATGGCCAGGCTGCAAATTTTTCAAGTTTCTACACTCTGCTTCCCTTCTAAATATAAGTTTCAGTTTGAGGTCATTTCTTTGCTCACACACATCAAAATAGTTTGTCAGAAGTAGTGAGCTTACCTCCTGAATGCTTTGCTGCTTAGAAATTTTTTCCACCAGATACCCACCAGAACTTGAGATACTCTCAAGTTCAAAATTCCACAGATCCCTAGGGCAGACCCACAGTGCAGCCAACCTTTTTGCTAATGCCTAACTAAAGTGACCTTTGCTCCAGTTCCCATTAAGTTCCTTATCTCCATCTGAGACCTCCTCAGCCTGGACTTCATTGTGTGTCTCTATCAGTAGCTTGGTCACAACAATGTAACAAGACTCTAGTAAGTTCAAAACTTGCCCTCATCTTCCTGTCTTCTTCTGATCTCTCCAAACCCTTCCAATCTCTGCCCACTATCCAGTTTCAAAGCCACTTTCACATTTTCCGGTATGTTTACAACAATATCATATTCCTCTACCAATTTTCTATATTAGTCCTTTCTTACATTGCTCTAAAGAAATACCTGAGACTGGGTAATTTATAAAGAAAAGCAGTTTAATTGGCTCATGGTTCTGCACGTTATACAGAAAGCATGATGCATCTGCTGGGCTTCTGCGGGGGCCTCAGTAAGCTAACAATCATGGCAGAAGGTGAAGGGGGAGCCAGCACTTCACATGGCTGGAAGCAGGAAGAAGAGTGAGAGGTGGGGAGGTGCTATACACTTTTAACAACCAGACTCACAATAACTCACTCACTGTCACAAGAACAGCACCAAGGAGATGGTGCTAAACCATTTAAGAGAAACCGCCCAATGATCCAATTGCCTCCCAACAGGCCCTACCTCTAACAGTGGGACTTACAGTTTGACATGAGATTTGGGTGGGGACACAGATCCAAATGATATCAATGTGTTAAAAGGAAAAGGAGATAGCAGTGGGAAATGGATATTTAACTTCAGTTTATGAGTTTTTATTTTAGAGTTCTAAAATTATGTCTTATACTGCCTATACAAGTGCTAGAATAGTTTCTGTATTAAGTGGTAGATATTAATATCCAAATATCATACTTACCTTCTTTGACCTTGCAGTTTAAGACGGCATTTTAAGAAAGTAAACAAACACATTGATTTTTTTTTTAAAGGAGACATTTTTCAGTAAAGGATATAAGTATGTTAACATGAGAGATATAGAAAAATTACAGATGGACAGACAATCCTACATAGAAACCTAAGGAAGTATTTAACTCAGACACAGAGATTGAGAAGAGTAAAGTGGGTGAAATCTGGGAAAGAATGCTTCCAGTAGAAGAAACAGAATATTGAAGGAACAGAGATTGATGTCAAGAGTTCAGGGAAACAAACCAGAATAAGAATGTTTAGACAAAAGGCTGATGGTAGAAGGAAATTAAGACTGAAAGTTATAGAGAGCACAGGCTTACTCGAAAATTAGTAGACAAAAGAACATCTGTAAGTTCAATCATGAAGGAGTGCCAGAATTAAAGAGAAAATAAGGAAATAATAAAGGGAATCTTTTGATGTGAGGAACCAATTGGGCTACCAACTCAGCCTGCCAGCCTGCCATTCCAGTGACAGTAGGAAATAAATGTTCTGTAAGTTATTTGGAAATTAGAGGACAAAGTAATTGTTTGTTCTATAGGTAGAGAAGCATTTTTGTAAATGATAATACAGCTGTTCTACCGATTTCTCTTAATTTTCAAAATTTTTGAAGGGGTACACATTTTCATGATTTGTTCATTCTGATTTCCAACTCATATTTGTTCATCATTTTCTCTTTACTTTTTAAAAAGTTGAAAGACATTCGTGTCACAAAATTTTCACAGGATAATTTTTCTAGTTGCAACTGTAGATTTATGTGGATATATACAAATCTCTCTAGTGACACATCTAAAGATTAATGTTATGTTCTGTTCCATAGGGAGCAAATATACCACATGAAACATTGCAACTATGAATCCAACTAGACTGTATGGGAAACATATATTGAAAAATAAATTAAAATTATAAGTTCTATGAGAAAACACAAACATTTGAGTAAAAAAATGAGAAAGGTTTAGTGGTGACTTCTTCCCATGTTAGAAAAAAGGATTCATAATGAACAACTTTTTTTTCATGTATTTCCTACAATTGAGTAAAATAATAGGACTAGGTAAGTTTACTGGTTTGCATTTTTTCATCTGGGTCTGGTTTTTCATTTCAATTGTTAGCCATTGTATTAACTACTTTCACCATTCAAAGGAATGAATGATCTGCCATAGTATTTTCTGCAGTTCCATCTCTTGTTTTCAGTATCATTCCAATTCTGCATCTATCTAATTTTGATCTCTGTTCTATTTATTTTCCTGATTCATAACATTTTGCTTTGTGCTGAGCTCCTAATTGTCTCTCTGTCATTCTCAACATTTTAGCCCTATGGTCTAAAAGATGCCCAAAAGAATGTAGCATATTCTAGTATATCAGTGGGACAACATAAACAACTTGCTTAATTGTTAATCTATTTAAAAATGAAACAGTGTTTTTCATTTTTTCAATCAATTTAATGCTGACTAGATCCTATAACTACATTCTACTTTTTATAACTAAAGAACTCCAGAAAAATAAATGTAATAGCTTTGCTGGAAAAGATTAACCTTACAGTGCCTTCCTAATGCCCTTACTTTTTTTTTTTTTTGAAAAGTGTTTTCTGGTACACAAAAATAATATTCTGAAATATCTCTCTGATATTTGATTGCCGGATTTAACCTACATACCTCTGAACCTTGGTTTTTCAGACATGCAAACTGCTTAACAAGTTCCAATGCATTAATCAATGCACCATTGCATAACTTACAGTAAGAAAAGTTGGTAGATATTTCAGCAATGCCATAAAATATGCTTCCATTTAACACTTTGAGACAACCAATACACTATTTATATTATTGAGACAAAACAAACCTAAGATCACAGAAAAATATTTATTTTAATAGAATGGTATTTAAGTAGATAGTTTTTTTGTTGTGTTTTTGTTTGTTTGTTTGTTTGTTTGTTTTTGAGATGGAGTCTCCCTCTGTCGCCCAGGTTGGAGTTCAGTGGCCCAGTCTTGGCTCACTGTAACCTCCCCTTCCCAAGTTCAAGCAGTTCTCCCTGCCTCAGCCTCCTGAGTAGCTGAAATTACAGGCATGCACCACCACGCCTGTTTAATTTTTGTGTTTTTAGTAAAGATGGGATGTCACTATGTTGGCCAGGCTCGTCTTGAACTCCTGACCTCAGGTGATCTGCCCACCTTGGCCTCCCAAAGTGTAAGTAGATAGTCTAAATGATTATGGGTTTCAATAGGTTTTGTTAATTTGTTTTAGTTGACATACAAGAGCACTACAAAACCACATTATTTTATTTTAATTTTTACCAGTAAACTTCATTATATTAAAGGCCATATTGCCCACTGAATATGATTTTGATAAGCACAACTTCTATAATTTACAACTTACTGTATATGGTCTAATATAAATTACATTTAGCTATCTTGAATAAAAGATACGAATCGCCAAAAACTTAATATATAAAATAATTTCTACAATCAATTAAGCCACATGGGGCCTGGTGTGCAAGGGCTGCAAACAGCAGCATCCTAGGTAGTGTGCAGCAGCCTGTTCCTTGCGTACAACAGCCTTTGCCATTGGACATTTATGTCTTGGATCTAGTGCTTTCCCTAGTCTAGGTTTAAGACCGGATGTAGTATGCCTTTGGAAAGCCTCAGGACCCAGAGGTCAGAGTTCACATTGGCCATGTTCATCCATACCAAGCTGCAAACCCTGGAGCATGTGACTGAGGCCTTATTTAGGGCCAAATTCAAGTTCAGTGAATGCCCAAAAAGCCACATCTCAAAGAAGTGCGATTTTACTAAGTTTAATGCATATACATTTTAAGACTTGGTGGCTGAGAAACAACTCATCCTGGATGGCTGTGGGGCCAAATATAGCCCTGGAATCATGGGCCCCTGGACAAGCAGCTAGCCCTGCATTAGAAAAGAGCTGCCCCCTCTTTACGCATGCCCACCAGTGAATTCTATTTCCTGTACATCTAATAAATCAATCTATTTATGTATCTATCTATCTATCTATCTATCTATCTATCTATCTATCTATCATCTAAATAATTCAATAATATGCAGTAGATTAAAAAAATAAACACAACTTGATGTCTAACTACTGTGGATATATTTTGTCAGTTATTAACATTCCCCTTTCAGGTTAATATCAAGTCAACAAAAATTTGGAGTTCTCTTGACCCTTTCCCCAATGTGTAAATTAGTAATATAATGTCAATATTCAGACAGGCAAATAAACTAAGCTCCCTTTGATGAAAACGACATGCAGTAACGCTTCCCTACTGAGAATCATCTTAGTTTGTGAAATCATAATCTGGAATGGCTATATCTGCAAAATACATTAAAAGAAAGAAAATATGAAAAACATAATCTACAATACTTTTATGTATATCTAATCATTTTATATTTCTTTTTTATTATACTACTTGAAATACATACATAAAGGATAAAGAGTTTCAACAAATCTCAAAAAGGAAACCTAATTATGTATAATATTCTGACTGATTTTGTTTGCTCACCAAATTGAAATTGAAAAGAAAAAATACAGCACTCTATAAAAAAAAAAGATTTCAAAATATAATTATTGTCTCCCTTTGAAAATATAAATGTTTAAATAATGGTGAAATAGAGAACATAAACATTCACAAATATTACATATCCATTCAACATTTTCAGGTATTATTTTGTTTTGTTCAAACCTCCCCTTCTGTCATTTTTCTCTCCTTTCTTTATCTTTAGCATAACTGAGCTGCTTTCCAAACATCTATAGTTATACCAGACATAGCATTTTCCAACATCAAACATGGTTTTTCTTAAACACCAGCTCCAAATATTAATTCCCAGGGAAAATGACATTTTCCATATATGAGAAATATTGGAACCGATATAACAAAACTCATTAACATTTATAACATTTGAAAATAATTTCACAAAAGTTTTATTTAAAAAATTATATTGTAAATTTATGTAAGAAATTCTCTATCCATTATATGACTTGTATAACATCCACAGTATACTAAGAAAATATTTTTAAAATATAGGATAAGTTGTCTAAATAATAAATTTTTAAGACTGCTTAGAGCCACTATTAAAAATCTGAGAATAAAGCATGAATATTTTTTGATCTATAGAGATTATATATCAGCATGCTGGCATTGGCTTTTATTACAGAATAAGCATTTTAATCTTCATTCACTCTCATCAATTCACTACAGAAAGCAGCTTAAAAAAAAAGACCATCAGTTGTAGAAAACAGTTAGTATTTCGATGGTTTACCTGGAAGTTTACTGGGCATAAATTTATAAAATACATTTATTGATGGAAATAAACTGTTTTACTAAACAATATTACAGAATTCTGAATAGATGCTGATTAAGCAGCAAATCAACAAAACTGTTTATTTACCAGTTTGGTGGCTATTATGCTAATTAGATCATCTGTTTAAAATGTGTCCATATGGACAATTTTTCTGTAAATGTTTTCTTTATCTCCACATTGTGTGGTAGTATTTTCATATAACCAAGTAGAAATTAACTTAAAAATTAGTTATTTAAAGATGACAATAGAAGGTTTTGAACTTTGAGTTCCAAAAGGCAAGCAAATATTTCTGAAATAAAATATATTATATATATTTAATTTCTAATTTAATTTACATATGAAATATTTTTAAAATTCAAATGAATTTGAGCTATTTTCACATTGATTGGACTGTTTTTGTACCTCATTTTGCTTGGTCACACTAAAGTGAGATTCATCATCTTGTGGCACCAAAGGAAAACCAGTGTGATTATAAGGAAATTATTATAGTTAGACAACTGTGCATTAATTTCATCATTAAGGACCAAACATGTATACAGATATAAATACTTTTCTCAATACATTACTTGCAACATATGCACAATTATGTAACAATTATGGTGAACTAAGTCTCCTAGAAATTTCCAAAATAATTTTTTTGTCTTTTTTAACCTCTAAATCCATATAAATCAAGGGAAAATATTCTTGCACATATGTATATTTAAACATGAACCTAGCCAAAAGTAAGAGAAATTTTAAAAAGTATAACATATCAAAATGTGGAAATTTCTGTGTTTAGGGAAAAATCTATCCCATTAAGAGCTTGCATTAGAAAAGAAAAATTACCTTGAAATTATGATGAAAGCTTCCAACTTGTTATTATAAAAATGAGAACAAATTAATTATGAAGCAATCAGAAAGAAGAAAATAATAAAGGTTAATGAAGAAATAAACAACATTAAATGGAGAAAAATTATATAGCTAAGTAAATTAAACTAAATTTAGATCTTTGAAGGGATCAATACAATTGTTAAATCTCTGGCCAGACTAAGGAGAAAATAATAGGAAATAAATAATTTACAAATTTTAAGAACGATAGAAGTGGCTGGGGGTGGTGGCTCATGCCTGAAATCCCAGCACTTTGGGAGGCCGAGGCAGGCGGATCGTTTGAGGTCAGGAGTTCCAGACCAGCCTGGCCAACATAGTGAAACCCTGTCTCTACTAAAAATACAAAAATTAGCCGAGCGTGATGGCGCATGCCTGTATTCCCAGCTACTCGGGAGGCTGAGGCACAAGAATTGCTTGAAGCTGGGAGGTGGAATTTGCAGTGAGTAGAGATCAGGCCACTGCACTCAAGCCCGGGCGACAGAACGGGACTCTGTCTCAAAACAAATAAACTACAAAAAAAGAATGATAGAAGTAACATTTCCGTTGTCCTACAACAGTTTAAGGATAACTAAATGAATACCATGATGAAATTTATAAATGTAAATTAGTTAATTTAGATTAAGTGTATAAATCCCTCAAAAGACACAAACTAAGGCAAACTCAAAAAGAAAGCAATAACATGCACATCCCTATATATCTGTTTTAAATTTATTAATACCCACCTAGATAAACGAACTGACAAATTTTACTAATATTTAAGGAGATATAATTTATACATTACACAAAAGTTTAAGAAATAAAAAAGAGGAAACACTTTTGTTTTTTTTTTAATAAGAGGTTGCTTTGTATTTTTTTATTATACTTTAAGTTTTAGGGTACATGTGCACATTGTGCAGGTTAGTTACATATGTATACATGTGCCATGCTGGTGCACTGCACCCACTAACTCGTCATCTAGCATTAGGTATATCTCCCAATGCTATCCCTCCCCCCTCCCCCCACCCCACAACAGTCCCCAGAGTGTGATATTCCCCTTCCTGTGTCCATATGATCTCATTGTTCAATTCCCACCTCTGAGTGAGAATATGCGGTGTTTGGTTTTTTGTTCTTGCGATAGTTTACTGAGAATGATGATTTCCAATTTCATCCATGTCCCTACAAAGGACATGAACTCATCATTTTTTATGGCTGCATAGTATTCCATGGTGTATATGTGCCACATTTTCTTAATCCAGTCTATCATTGTTGGACATTTGGGTTGTTTCCAAGTCTTTGCTATTGTGAATAATACCGCAATAAACCTATGTGTGCATGTGTCTTTATAGCAGCATGATTTATAGTCCTTTGGGTATATACCCAGTAATGGGATGGCTGGGTCAAATGGCATTTCCAGTTCTAGATCCCTGAGGAATCACCACACTGACTTCCACAATGGTTGAACTAGTTTACAGTTCCACCAACAGTGTAAAAGTGTTCCTATTTCTCCACATCCTCTCCAGCACCTGTTGTTTCCTGACTTTTTAATGATCGCCATTCTAACTGGTGTGAGATGGTATCTCATTGTGGTTTTGATTTGCATTTCTCTGATGGCCAGTGATGGTGAGCATTTGGTACAAGGAGGAACTGGTACCATTCCTTCTGAAACTATTCCAATCAATAGAAAAAGAGGGAATCCTCCCTAACTCTTTTTACGAGGCCAGCATCATTCTGATACCAAAGCCAGGCAGAGACACAACAAAAAAAGAGAATTTTAGACCAACATCCTTGATGA